>NC_000003.12:135826786-136129816 GCF_000001405.40 Homo sapiens
ATAGAACAGAGCCCTCAGAAATAATACCACATATCTACAACTATCTGATCTTTGACAAACCTGAGAGAAACAAGCAACGGGGAAATGATTCCCTATTTAATAAATGGTGCTGGGAAAACTGGCTAGCCATATGTAGAAAGCTGAAACTGGATCCCTTCCTTACACCTTATACAAAAATTAATTCAAGATGGATTAAAGACTTAAACGTTAGACCTAAAACCATAAAAACCCTAGAAGAAAACCTAGGCATTACCATTCAGGACATAGGCATGGGCAAGGACTTCATGTCTAAAACACCAAAAGCAATGGCAACAAAAGCCAAAATTGACAAATGGGATCTAATTAAACTAAAGAGCTTCTGCACAGCAAAAGAAACTACCATCAGAGTGAACAGGCAACCCAAAAAATGGGAGAAAATTTTCACAACCTACTCATCTGACAAAGGGCTAATATCCAGAATCTACAATGAACTCAAACAAATTTACAAGAAAAAAACAAACAATCCCATCAAAAAGTGGGCGAAGGATATGAACAAACAGTTCTCAAAAGAAGACATTTATGCAACCAAAAGACACATGAAAAAATGCTCATCATCAACTGGCCATCAGAGAAATGCAAATCAAAACCACAATGAGATACCATCTCACACCAGTTAGAATGGCAATCATTAAAAAGTCAGGAAACAACAGGTGCTGGAGAGGATGTGGAGAAATAGGAACGCTTTTACACTGTTGGTGGGACTGCAAACTAGTTCAACCATTGTGGAAGTCAGTGTGGCGATTCCTCAGGGATCTAGAACTAGAAATACCATTTGACCCAGCCATCCCATTACTGGGTATATACCCAAAGGACTATAAATCATGCTGCTATAAAGACACATGCACACATATGTTTATTGCGGCACTATTCATAATAGCAAAGACTTGGAACCAACACAAATGTCCAACAATGATAGACTGGATTAAGAAAATGTGGCACATATACACCACGGAATACTATGCAGCCATAAAATGATGAGTTCATGTCCTTTGTAGGGACATGGATGAAATTGGAAATCATCATTCTCATTAAACTATCGCAAGGACAAAAAACCAAACACCGCATGTTCTCACTCATAGGTGGGAATTGAACAATGAGAACACATGGACACAGGAAGGGGAACATCACACTCTGAGGACTGTTGTGGGGTTGGGGGAGTGGGGAGGGATAGCATTAGGAGTTATACCTAATGCTAAATGACGAGTTAATGGGTGCAGCACACCAGCATGGCACATGTATACATATGTAACTAATCTGCACATTGTGCACATGTACCCTAAAACTTAAAGTATCATAATAATAAAAGAAAAAAAAGGAAATACAAAAATTAGCCGGGCATTGGTGGCATGTGCCTGTAATCCCAGCTACTCAGGAGGCTGAGGCAGGAATCGCTTGAACCTGGGATGCAGAGGTTGCAGTGAGCCAAGATCGCGCCACTGCACTCTAGTCTGGGCGACAGAGCGAGACTCCATCTCAAACAAAAACAAAAACAAACAAAAAAAAATGCTTCTGCACAACCGAATAGTCATTTCTCAAAAGAAGACATATAACTGGCAAACAGGCCTACAAAAAGGTGCTCAACATCATTGATCATCAGAGAAATGCAAATTAAAACTGCAATGAGATCATCTCCCCCAGTTAAAATGGCTTTTATCCAAACAACAGGCAATAACAAATGCTGGTGAGGAGGTGGAGAAAAGGAAACCATTGTACACTGTTGGTGGAAATGTAAATTAGTACAATAATTATTGAGAACAGTTTGGAGGTTCCTCAAAACATTAAAAATAGAGCTACCATACGATCCATCAATCCCACTGCTGGGTATATACCCCAAAGAAAGGAAATTAATGTATTGAAGAGGTATCTTCACTGCCATGTTGATTGCAGCACTATTCACAATATCCAAGATTTGGAAGCAATCTGAGTGTCCATCAACAGATAAATGGGTAAAGAAAATGTGGTACATATACACAATGGAGTATTCTTCAGCCATAAAAAACGAATGAGATCTTGATTTGCAATGACATGGATGGAACTGGAGATCATTATGTTAAGTAAACAGGCCAGGCAGAGAAAGATAAACTTCTCATGTTCTATTTATTTGTGAAAGCTAAAAATTAAGACAATTGACCTCAAAGAGATAGAGAGTAGAAGGAAAGTTACCAGAGGCTGGAATGGGTAGTGAAGTAGTGGGATGGTGGGAGAGTGGGGATGGTTAATGGGTACAAAAAAAATGTTAGAAAGAGTAAGGCCTAGTATATGATGGAACAACAGGTTGACTACAGTCAATAATAATTTAATTGTACATTTTAAAATAACTAAAATAGTATAATTGGATTGCTTGTAACAGAAAGAAAGGATAAATGCTTGAGGAGATACATACCCATTTACCTTGCCTGATATGATTATCACACATTGCATGCCTATATCAAAATATCTCATGTACCCCACAAACATATACATCTACTATGTACCCACAAAAATTAAAAATTTTAAAAAAATGCCAGAGAGAGATGGCCCTCCCTATTGGAGCATGTCTCCTTCCATCCACTCACTGTAGAGGAACAAAGCCCTTTCTGAAATGTTTCTCCCAGGGCAGGAGACAAGAGAGGGAACTGAATCCTCACAAGCCTGTCCCAGGTTATGTATGATCTAAGGGTCTCATTTAGCTAGAAAGATCCAATTCTTGAGTTGTTCCAGGTTCCATCACTTCAAGCCCAAAGGTTTGAGACCTTTTAAGGACCAGCGGACAAGATATTTTTCTCCCTAATTGAAAATAAAAATACAGTAGTTTCAGAGGCATTTCTTAAGGTGTGAACTATTCTTCCCCACAACTTTCAGAGCCATTAAATTCTTTGAAATGAGGCATTGGATGATAACCGCTTTCTCTGAGTGGTTTCTGATGTAACTAACAGGAGCAGTCCTGGACTTCTAGGCATTCTGTTCATTACTCTGATAAGTATCATGTTTAAGATGAATTCATTAGGATGATATTTCATAATACATTAGGGAATGCATTATATGATCCAAATGTAAAGGTGATGAAGATTTCTCCTCCTCTCTCTTACCTGCTGCTGCAGAATGAAAGGGCACCATCAACCTGTAAAAGGCAATGACCTCATTCACTTTAATAACCTCTGCCCTTTTGCTCATGATATGTTCATTCTAGACCAGGGGAGAAAAATTTATGGGAGTATTTAGGTTCTGGTCTGCCACCACCTTTAACAATCTTAATTAATCTCTGAGATAATCATTCCCATTTCTTAAAAAAAAATAGGCCAACTTAATTAGGATGAGAATGCTTAAAAATTCTCTCTTCCTTCAGATTTCTACAAGTTTCTGAAAAAAAAAAAAGCCCCTAGTATGAAAATTAAGATCTGAGGTATTACAGCTGGTGAAGATTTGCAAAAGACACCAAAAGATGATATGTAACTAGATTTATTTTCTTTACAGTTTTATGTTAGTGCAACTTTATTTTAGTAGACCAAGGATTGTTCCCAGTGGGGAAGGGGCGCCAGGGAGCCAACCATCAGCACTGCTGCCAGTCAGATCTGTGAAGCAGAGTTGCTGCCTACACAGTACAATGTAAGGGCACCAGGAAATCCTTCCAAATATCCCTTCCTGCTTGAAAATGCCGTGAATGTCTTCTATGTGGAAGAGCCATTCCTTCCAAAAATATAGCTACAGTCCAAAGAATGTTCCCTAACACACCAATAATTTGAATCAACACTAGGATGTAATTGGTCACTAATGGGTTCTTCCATATAAATAAGTTTTTATTAAGGAAAAGGGGCATCTGGGAAAGCAAAGGGACACAAAAATAGGAACTAGAAGGTGATGACAAGTTTTTCTAAATCCCCTCATAGCAACCTGGCCTATCCCTAGCAAGACAGGTCAAATAAAACTACTTTTAGTAAATACAGCAGGAAGAAGTCAGGTCTAAATTCTGTTTCATATTAAGTGAAAAACTTTCTGTGACATGCCTAGAGACAAAGTGATCTTTTATAGGCCCTCCTGGCATGACCATGGCCCTATGCTTTTTTTGTTTTTTTGAGATGGAGTTTCACTCTGTCACTCAGGCTGGAGTGCAGTGGCGCCATCTTGGCTCACTGCAACTTCTGCCTCCCAGGTTCAAGCGATTCTCTCGCCTCAGCCTCCCAAGTAGCTGGGACTACAGGTGTACATCACCACACCCGGCTAATTTTTGTATTTTTTGGTAGAGACAGGGTTTCACCATGTTGGCCAGGCTGGTCTTGAACTCCTGACTTCAAGTGATCCACCCACCTTGGCCTCCCAAAGTGCTGGGGTTACAGATGTGAGCTACTGCACCCGGCCTATGCTCTTCTTTCCCCCACCACCCTACCATCCCTTCCCTACCCCTCACTCCCACCCTCCCCACCTTGCTGAACTGCTAGTCCTGCTTGTTCTGGCCTTTTCTTACCTGTCACATGCCCACTGCCCACTTTACATTCTCTGGGCCGAGGACAGAAAATTGGTTTCATCTCATCCAACTGATTAGGAGTGGCTACTTGGAGTGTGTTAAAAACTGAATAGTGCCTGAGAATTTATCCTTCTTGTAAGTTAAAAAGTTAGCCTGCCAAAGTTTTATGGATGCTAGTAGAACGCATGAGATTCCTAGGTCAGGGATAAAGGATCATCTAGCACTCACAGCAAGAGTAGCCACAGTGTCACCATTTTTACACTAGTTCCCCAAGCCTCAATTCCCACAGGGTGACATGAAGAGTGCCAGGTGACTGCCGTACACACAACAGGTGCACTGCACAAGAAGAACCCTGAGCTTAGGAAATCCAAATCTTTTAGAATGAATTTCAGCATGCCCTTTGCTCTGGACACTATCTTCTCTATTTTCCCAGACTGTAAGCAAACCTGTCCTTCTCTTGGAAAGAGACATTGGATCTTAGAAAAATAGTCTAAAACAAAGAGCAACAGTGAGTGCTTTGCTCATGAGATATGCAGATATGCAAGAGACTTGTGAAGGATTATCTCAGAACAATACTCACCCCTCATTTCTATAGCATCTTAGCTTCTGGAGAATCTTCCCATGAATCTCCCACTGTTGACCACTTCAATTAATCAGATGAGGTGAGGCTGAAACCAAATCTTTTCAATCTGTCTCATACAGCATTCAATTAGTCCAGTATCAACAGGACTTCAAGTAACAGGATGGAGCCAACCTGCAGTACTGACCTCAACTGTACCCCAAAGAGTCCCAGACCCAGCTGAACAAATCCTGTAAGCTATCGGGGTTACCTTAGAGATCCAGGTGGCTTTCTCCTTAAGTTTTTGTATTGACCTTTCAAATTGGCCCAAGCTATTGATCAAGACATAGCAGGATGGACTAGTGATTGCACAGCCTCTGCATTGGCCCACAGAAAAAAAGCCTAAGGCAATTCTGTCAACCATAACAACCCTGGCTAATAAGTTAAGGCTAATCTGAATGCTTTCCAGGACAAAGATAGTGTAACTAATCACTTTAGCTAACATCAGGGACAGGTTTTATACCGCCTTTTCTATTGGATGACTCCCATGATAAAGATAACTGTCTGCAAGGTGTGCCAAAATAATTACTCAATCTCTAGGAAGCTCCCGAGTGACCAAGGGTAGCTTTACTGCAGAGAAACAGTGCAGTTGTCTGAGGGCTACATTATCTACTGATGATGTTTCCTCAAACATTTGAAGGTCCCTTATGATCACCCCTACAGAGAACTTCTCGGTGCAATAATGCACTGGGCCTCCTTTTTGATGATAGAGGTCTGAAGAGATTGCAACTTTTCCTTGATTACTCTCCTTCACAGGATCCTTATTTTGTGAGAAGACCTCTGATTTTTCCAAGATTCATTAGCCAACTCTGCTGACAGAGGTGTGATAGCACTGCAGTCAGGGTCTTGGAGTCTGAGGCTTCTGACTTGCCAGCTGTGTTAGTCTGCTAGGGCTGAAATAAGAAAATGCCACAGATCAGGAGGGTTAAACAGCAGAAATTCATTCCTCACAGTTCTGAAGGCTGGAAGTCCAAGATCAAGATGTCAGCAGGTTTGGTTTCTCCTAAGACCCCTAGGCCTTTGCAGATGACCACCTTTTCACTCTGTCGTCAATGGCTTTTTTTCTGTGCACGCACACCTCTGGTGTCTCTTCTTCTTCCTCTTCTTACATGGATGCCAGTCATATTGAATTAGGGCCCCACATTTACGATTTTATTTAATCTCAATTACCTCTTTTTTTTTTTTTTTTTTTTTTTTTTTGGAGACAGAGTCTCACTCTGTCCCCCAGGCTGGAGTGCAGTGGCGTGATCTCGGCTCACTAAAACTTCCGCCTCCTGGGTTCAAGTGATTCTCTTGCCTCAGCCTCCTGAGTAGCTGGGATTACAGGCACCAGCCACCATGCTCAGCTAATGCTTGTATTTTTAGTAGAGACAGGTTCTCACCATGTTGGCAAGGCTGGTCTCGAACTCCTGACCTCAGATGATGCACCCCCTCGGCCTCCCAAAGTGCTGGGACTACAGGCATGAGCCACCACTCCCAGCCCTTAATTACCTCTTTAAAGGCTCTATCTCCAAATACAGTCACTTTAGGAGTCAGGGCTTCAACACATGAATTTTGAGGGGACACAGTTCAGTCTGTAGCATCAACCAACAGGACATCATCTATATAATGATAGTGGTGGACATGAAAGGGTAGAGGCACACTCACTAAATTCTAGTCCACCCCCTTGTAATAAATGGCAGGAGACTTTAGGTACACCTGGGAGAATACTACTAACATATGTTGGAGACCTTGAGTGTTAACAGGAACCAATCTTAATCCTTAGATGTCAGTGGTATGAAAAAGAAAGTGTTGACACATCCAAGACAATATGCCAAGTGCCATCACTCTGTGTAATAGACACAATAGCTGAATCTGGGTGCCTTGTCCTCCCACAGGTCTGAGTAGGATAGTGACTTAGGTACTCATATCCAACAAAGTCAGAAAAATTTAAATCCTTCTTCTTCCTAAAATTCCCCAGCATATGCAGATGAGTATGTATCATCTTTAATCTTCCTTGAAGATAGAAATACCTCATCCCACCTTTATTCATCTTTCTCCTTAAAGTAGCTGAAGTCGGGGTAGATAGAGAGTGGGGATCAGGGAGTATGGAGGGATGGAGTGGCTCCATGTATTAAATGAGGTTTTCATTTACATTTGATTTTAAGCATCATGGCAGTAGCTCGCGGCTCAACCAAATGAACTCCCAATGTTTTCTGCCCAACTAATACTCTGTATTAGGCAGAAGATCCTGATGGCCAATACCATCTATGTCAATCTTGGGAACCCCTTCGCTGAGCAGCATTTTTTTCACATTGCTTTTTGGTTGGAACCATGGGGATTTGCATCCTCTTGCTGACTCAGGCTTAGCTTACACAGCAGCAACCTTCATTGATGATGCCACCTTAATCCAAGGCATCTGTTATTGCCAGGGGTCAGTAAACTACAGCTTATAGATGAAATCCAGCCTGCTCCCTGCTTTTGTAAATAAGGTTTTATTGGAACAAAGCTATATCCATTCATTTACGTAATGCTGTGGCTGCTTTTATACTACAGTGGCAAAGTTGTAGTTGCAACAGAGACAGTATGGCCCAAAAAGCCTAAAATAATTACTATCTGGCTCTTTACAGAAAAAGTTTACTGATCCTTGTGCTACATTATTATCAAGATAATATCCATTAAGATCTGGCCCAATTTCATCAAAAGAGCTAAGGGGATTTTCCAGAGTGGTAGAGCCAGTCATAAGAATCTGTCTCAATTTCTTTGGTTCAGTTTCTCATTCTCTAATGAGTCACTTTCATTAGCATTGTAAACCCAATCCAGAACAGTTAGAGCCCAGATACTAGTCAATGTCTCAACCATGATTTCCCAAGGAAGTTTGTCTTTCTCAGATCAGGGAATCTCTCCAAGAGGGCCAAAGCTCAAATCTCCCTTATAGTAGTCAGAACTTTCTGAAGAAAAAACAACAACAACAAACACACACACACAAAAAACACCTGAGAGAGCTCTACTCTTGTCTCCAATGGATGTAAATTTGACATAATAAATCGCAGAAGAGGTGGAGCCACCAAAGTCTCAGCTATTGCCATTCTTCCTTAACACATCCACCCTGTCTCCCAAGTAGCCAGCCAAAGTTTTAATGATTTCTGCCCATCACATTCACAGAGTTTTCTCCTTTTATGCTCAGTCCAGGTATGCATCTCTGCAACTACTGTCTGGATGGAGTGGAAACTTATTTCCACTCAGAAAAAAATCTCAGCAGTAGCTTTTAAAATTGAGGCTGACCACTGGACTGGTGAGAAAGTCCTTTTGTCTGGGGGAGAATTAACAACAACCAGGGCACCATTTAGGTGTCTGTCTTTAATTTATTTCCTTATACTCATTCTGCAACCACCTCTCCAATGCCTCTCACTAACAGAAAATAAAATGGAAGACAATTTATTGTTCAGCTGACCATACAATTTAGTGAACATGTCCACTACCAACTCTGTGGACCTTACCCCGGCACCATTAGTAAACCCAGGAGGCACTCACCTTTCCTTTTCCAGAAAGTCATGTTTCTATTAGCATTCCATCCGCATCACCAAAACTGTAACAAAATGAGAGGGTCTGAGACTGTGCCCTACTTGTAAGCTAACAAGTTTCCCTAACATGATTTCATGGATACTGATAGAAGACACAAGATTCCTGGGTCAGAGATGAGGGACCATTGATTACTCACGTCAACAGAAGTAGCCAGAGTATCCGTATTTTTGCACCAGTTCCCTGAACCCCAATTCCTACCACTTGATGTGAAGAGTGACAGAGGACACAAGCACATACAATGAGATATGTTACAGAAGAATCCTGAGCTCAAGAAACTTGAATCTTTCATCCTTACTAGCATGCCTTCCCTTCACTCATGAGGGAAATACTATTTCTATCTTCTAAGGCTATTTGATATACAAATGTAGGGGCCAAGGAAAAACTTCTCTCTTCACCTTCTGAAAGTTTGCTGAAAATGAACTGGCAAAAGGCAGATTAATGGGGAGAAGGGGCATATAAGTTTATTTTAACAAGCATAGTACAGGGGACTCAAAAGAGAATGATTACCCAATAACCCAATGGGGGTACAGATGCTTATATACCGTTTCTTATAGGAAAAAGTGAGATGGGAAAATATGCAGTAAATGATTTTTAGAAGTAATGAATGGTCCTAATGCTCAGGCAATACATAATTCTTTTGGGGAACTGAATGGAACCTTAGAATAGACAATATTTTGAGACAAAGTTTGCCCGGGGCCTAGGTGTGGTACTTGATTTTCAGTCTCCTCCTCTGTGATATGAGTTTTAATCTTCTCTGGCTAATGAAACTTCAGGGAAGATATAGAAGGCAATTGTGTTCCTCTTTGGGGTCCAGTTTCTAGGTAGATAAGGGAACTACAGCCTTATCCTATACTTTGGAAGAGGTGGAGGACTGAGAGACAAGACATGGAATAAGGAGAATTCCCCAGGGAATAGAGGCTGCTTCTTTAGTTCAGCATGTCAAAGTGCCACGTTTGGGGGTATCTATTTCTAAGCCCCAACACAAACAATTTTGAAAAGATAATTTAGCACAATGGGTAGTGAGTGCCTCATTCAGAATATGTGTAGAAACATAACAGACTCATGGAAAATCATCTCCCAACAGAATGTAGATTGAGAAGGATTTACTGCATCCAGCCTTGATGGGGAAAGATGACATAATCAATTAGTGATTTCTGCCACTGACACTGAAGAAATTCTTGCAGCATTTATGCCACATATTGCATATTACATGATTATTGAGCAAAAAAATAAAAATATAATAACTAATAAGAGTTCAGTAGTAATTACAAAATAAATATATAAAAATAGCTTTTAAATATATCAGTAAGAACTAATTAACTAGTTAGAAAATATAATGAAAAAGGATTACTTTCAAAATACCATTGAAAATATGAAATATTCAGAGACAAAGTTAATAAGAAATATGCAGGACTAAATAAAAAGTATCATAAATTTTCACTAAAGGACATAAAAGTAAAAATTGAATCCACTGAGAAACATCATATGTTCCTAGGTAGGAGAATTTGCCACAATAAAGATGTCAACTCTTTCCCAAATTCATCTGTACAGTTAATGTAATGATAGTCTCAAAAATATGAGTGTTTGAGTTTAGGGAAGGGATGGGTGATTATCCAAAAGAAATACTTGTTTTTATTGATTGAGCCTCAGATGGATGGGTTGTTCTAGTCATCATTAGCTGGCCGTCCTAACTAGTTTGCCAAGTTTGCAGAGCAAATTCTTGATCTGCAACTATTTGTGATTTAGGGAGGGCATTAACACAACAGATTCTCTCAAGTTCTGCTTCCCCTCTCACTAAGAACAAGTTCGGTAGCTGCAGTCACTAAATTCTTTGCTAAAAGGCCAAAGCCAAAGCATGAAGATGAAGCCCTCATTTTTAAGGCTTGCTCTATTGGATTTTCCTACTGTACCCAAAATCCCACAATTGGTATCTCTGCAGCAGACCATATGTATAATGAATAAGGCAGCAATAGAAATGGAATTAATCATGACTCCAGCACCAATGAATCTCTTGCAGAGGCTAAATGAGGATATTTTAGTAGCTTTTCGGTGCTCTGTGTTTTGATTTTGTAGAGGCAACTAAAATGCATCAGTAAAATTGTGCTAATGCCCAGCACATGCCCATTCCTCAGCTACTCTAGGGTTTTGCTGACCTGAAAATGATCAGGAAAAAAATCTGAGTCTCCTGGCTCTCTTCCCCCTGGGATGTCATCTAGTCTCCAGATTCCTCTAATTCCAGCACAATAGCCACCCCCACAAGTGATTCCATGCCTGCCTGTGTCTTCTTTGCCTAATAGCTAATGTTGATCCAGCACCTGGGACAAGGAAGAAAAGCCCTGGGAAGGGGTCACATCACAGGAAATGGACCCTTTCCTACTTTCTCCACTCAACACAAAGCAGTGGTGAACATCCCCATCTTTTATAATGGCCAGGAAAACATATTTCCATTCCCTGGCTTCCATGGGCTTTACCTAAGCTCACACAAAAGCACAAACTAATCAAGTTGTAGGAGGTTCTAAAAAAATCCTACTTACATGATTTCATTTCAACTCTGATCACATTGATGCAGGACAATTACATAATTTGTAGAGCCTGGTACAAAATGAGAATACAGACCCCCTCGTTCAAAGATTATTAAGAATTTCAAGACAATAAGAGAGCACATTACACCAAGTATTAGGTACGTGCAGCTGCACGGGTTGCATATCCATGTAGCTGGTCCGTCCTGCATTTACATGTTAGGACTGCCCAAGGTTTCCTGCTTAACATTAACTCCTGTTTTCTGTAGGTTTTACAAGGCCTTGCTTCAGCATCAAGGATGTAAACAAGAGCAACATTAACTCCCCCAATTGCTCAAATGTGAGTTTAGACCTGGGGGCTGAATGATGTTGGGTGGAGGGCAAGAATCTGTGTCCAATCCAATTACTGTTAAAACAGCAGGTAAGCAACAGCAAGTAGCTACAGTTACAGCCCTATTGACCCAGCCCTGCCCCAGATTTACAACTTTGGTGACTTATAATACTGCCAGAAAGGTAAGACTTACAAAGAACAATCAGATCATCCCATGAAGTTTTAGCTGGATGACCCCAGGGTAGGAGGGCCTTCAAGGGCATTCCTGCTTCAGAGAAGAGTGTCACAGACTGACAGCTAACGAGTCCCATTCAGCCTACCCATATGTTTTGTTTGGTCTGTAATATTTTTTAAACTGTAAAATTTTACCTTAAAATCTAGATTTCTATCTTTCTAAAATAATCAGAAGAGCTATAATCCCTGGGCCCCCATCTTCACATGGCAACTATCAGCTAGAGTTGAGGAGCCACTGCCCTTTGATGTGGTATATGCTCTCCAGGTCCCCCCAGCCTCCAACCTTCCCTAATGTTCTACATTATCTTGATTACCATATGCATGATACCTGCCTGGCTCTGATCTTGAGTTTATGATATTTGGTCCTCATGGGCTCTTCCAGCTCTAAGAAGCCACTGAGGGCCCAGGCTCTACCATGGACCAACACTGGACTGAGTTCAATTGTAGTACAATTTACTATCATTTCTATAACCAACTATTAGACTTTCTGAATGTTACATGGACATGGGTATAAAGTATTATGCAAGATGCTGCTGCTGCTGATGATGATGATGATAGTGGTTGTCATTGTTAAGCACTTATCAGATGTAGTATAAAGATTGTATTATATATTATCTCATGTAATTCTGATATATAGCATGGAACCCGTACACAGACACCCTCTGACTTAGGTGTCACCTACTTTACCCCAATTCCAGCCACCAGGTGAGACACTCCCTCCCCTCACTATACCTGTGTTCACCAAACCCTGCTATGCCAGCAGGATACTGTGTAATGTGCTGCCTTAGCAGCCAGGCAATTCAGCTTCTGCTGCTTCCCCATCTGTCTGGATTGCTGAGCCCCAGTAAGTCAGATCCTGGATCTACTTTATGACTTCTGCATGATGGGATCTGAGAGTGTTACAACCGCTAGTTAGGTATCTGCTTCCCCAACCCAACCTATCTCAGGTAACTTCCCATAATGGAGAAGGGACACTACCAAAGCTAAGTGAGTGGACCATGGGAAGGATCTCTGAAGAGAACCCAGGAACCAAATCTGACTGGCATCATCACCAACTACCTTCCCAGCCTCCAAACCAATGAGAACCTCCCTTTCTTCTCCCCCGGGCTCACATCCCCTCCATGTGCCCCAGGACTTGACCAGTTGTTGCCCAAAAGCAAGCTATACCACCAGGTTGCCTCCTGAGATGCTGCTCTACCCCTTCAGACTACCCATGTGAGCCTTCTTCTTCTAAACTTCAAAATAACCTAGGCCCAGAGGACCCTCCAAGGCACCTAACCTCGTAGTAGGCTAGTAGTAACCACACTCCATCTCTATTTGAGGGTACTAACCTGAGTAAGTTTGAGATCCTCACACTGAGGCTACACTTAGGAATGCTTTTGCAAGATTCTTGCTTAAACTTCTGTTCTTTGGAGCTTTAGAACTAGGTGGACATGCTGGGTTTCTGGACAAAACAAGATTATGGTTCCTATTAGCTCCCAAGGCCTTTGAATGAGAAAGGTTCTGTTTTCTTCAAATGAGGGCCTCCTAAGTATAGTTGGACCCAATTGAAAACCCAAAGCCCAAAAGCTGTTTAACATCTGAGCAGGTTCAGGATCTGTATCAGTTCCAGCAGAGATGTTCAGGCAACAAGAGATTAAATTGTGAATCTGAACTCACCAGAGAGTGATTGATAAACCAATATCCCATATTATCTCCCAGCAGGATCATCACTAAAAGAACCCATGCTGGTCAACAGCACTCAGATGGCCAAATTGCAGATTCTCTTCTGGGTAAGCAAAGACCACGAGCCAGGGCAGCCGGATGTTCTTTCAGAGAATTACTTTCTAGCTCTGGTTGCTTGATGAATTGCCTTTCTCTGCTGGAGGGATATTTTAGTCCAAAGAACCAGTACAATTCATCTAAAATCAGATCACACTCTTTTTGGGCAGTGTTAGAGGAAATCTTTCAGATTTTTAGTCTCCTGTGTTCCTTTCTTAATAGTCCTTATCAGTTTCCTTATCATTCAAAAGCCACTGCCATTATGTGATCTTATGTTACAATTTCCCAGATTACTGCTTGTCCTACATTGGCTACATTTGTGAGGGCTGCTTCCCGGAACATGTGCAAGGACAGCCATATCCCAATCACAATGACTTATGACTTACTGCTCTAAGCCATTGTGATTTCACTCTGCAGCCTTAATTTCCCAGAATGGCATTTCTTAACCTTGTTCTGCATGGGATGCAGCTACAAGGTAATGGAAAAAGACCTGGAACCAGAATGGGAAGGCCTGGGAAGACAATTTCCTTGAAAAAGTTTCCGTATCCACAGTTGTAAATGGATATAGAACTGTCTTGCCTGCCTATTTTATTACTGAATGGAAAAACTCTTTGTAAAGCTAAGGTGCTAAATAAAATGCTGGGCTATCTCTTGTCTGCAAAGGCCCAGTGGATTCCAGCCCAAACATACAGACTCAGGGGCCCTTGCTCTCACATTGGCTTTTACTGTTTTTCTTAAATCTAACCGGCAACAAAGCATCCCCTCCACCCTCACCCCATACTGTCCTCTGGCAGCCAAAAGGAACAGAGGTAGACTGGGATGGGTAGAGGAAGAGGGAAAATTTAAACAGCAAGCCCAGGACTATCAAGTTATTCAGTCATGATCTGTTTGGAGCAATCTCAGCCAGCACCCCAGACACAAACAGAAAGTAATAGGAAAACACTGGATGTTGGCATCTCTAAAACCTGGGCCCCACTACTTATTAGCTGTAAGACTGGAA
Source organism: Homo sapiens (assembly GCF_000001405.40). Lineage (NCBI taxonomy): Eukaryota > Metazoa > Chordata > Mammalia > Primates > Hominidae > Homo > Homo sapiens. The sequence goes on from NC_000003.12 coordinate 135,841,295, forward strand.
AAATCACTTTTCTCTCAACCTCTTAATAGAGACAAAATACTTACCTACTTGGATTTCCTGGGGATTAAATTAAGACATGTGAAGCCCCTGGGACAGAGCCTGATCTGCAATAGATGCTCTACAGAAATTGGCTTCCATCTTGTAAGGTGACACAGGAAGCCAAAAATGACAGCCTCCCTGTTTTAGTCAGAACTAAACTCACTACCCCTGGATCATAAGGCAAAGCACTCTAAATCCTATTGTCTTCTTTATCAGGGTTCAATTGTTTATAGCAACTAGGAATACTCTAAAATGGTGTGCAAATTGTTGTGAGAGAATGAGTGTGTTCATTTTTCTGGGGAGAAGATCCACAGATTTTAAAAGTGTCCTTGGCCCATCAAAATGTCAAAGGTCTCCACTGTACCAAATGTACTTTTCCAGAAAGCAAACATGCCTCCAGCCAAGGAAGGGGTAGACCTTTCTCTCCAGACTTGAGGCTGTGCCACAGACCAGCCCATTCAGTGGGTTCTGCTTCATAATCTGACCTCTATGATTTGCAAATGTCCTTGGACAAATATAACCATTATGAGAGTTTTGGGTAATTTTCTGTTGGTTTGCTTTGATTTGGTTTGGTTTGGTTGTTGCTGTTGTTTTCAACTTCATGCAGTGATGGATAGGCTATAAGGGCATGCAGTCATTTATCCAACAGAGAGGAGACAACATGTGTATGTGCACACAAACACACGCACACAAACTTCCTCTGAGAATACCATATACCCTCATTTAGATCAATGTGCTTTGAGCAAATGGGAAACTGAAGTTCAGAGTTCCATAACTTGTCTCTGAAAACTTCTAATATTAATTACCATTTACCTAATGGATCTGTATCCACAGTTGTAAATGGATATAGAAATGTCTTGCCTGCCTATTTTGCCATCCATACATGGATGCCTGCTATATGCCAGGTACTTTCCTACAATATACCCAATTCTCACAACAACACTATGAGGTAGATATAATTCTCCCACCATCATGGCGGCTGAGACTCAATGGGTTAATAAATTTCCAAAGAGGATTCAAGTCCCACTTCCAATTGCTCATGAGGGAAATGTTTTTAAAAACCAACAAACGCAAACAGTGTAGCAGAAGATATTCAAGGATAAAATAGAAACCAAAATAAGCTTGTTAAAGGGGAAAAAATAGGAGATGGATATTGTACAGCACCTTAAAGTGAAAAGAAAAAAAGCCCTTCTTCCAGTTACTATTGCCACAAAACAAAACAAACCAAAGGTAGTGGCATAAAACACTGACCATTTTATTACACTGACAGCTTTTGTGGGTGAGAAATTCAGAAAGAGCACAGGAGAGATGGCTTGTCTCTGCTCCATCATGTCTGATGCCTCAGCTAGGAAGATATGAAGGTTGGCGGTAACTCAACAGCTGGGGTCTGGAACCACTCTCAGGCCTTTCACTCATGTCTTATGTTGATGTTGACTGCTAGCTGGGACCCCAGCTGGGGCTGTCAACAAAAGCACCTATACGTGCCTCTCCACGTGGCCTGTGCTTCCTCACAGCGTGGCGGCCTCAGAAAGCTTCAACATTTCACGTGGCAGGTCTGGGCCTAAAATGCCAGTGTTCCAGTGGACAAGACAGAAGCTGCAATGTCTCTTTTGGCTTAGCCTGAGAAATCATACAGTGCCACTTCTGATACATTCTATTGGTTACAAGCAAGTTACAAGCCTACTCTGGCTCAAGGGTAAAGGACATAGAACCTGTCCTTAATGAGGGGACTGTCAAAGAATTTGCAGCCATTTAAAATAAAACCCCACAATGAATGGACACAGAAATTGTTGTATATATAAACAATGGAATATTATTTGGCCTTAAAAAAATAAGGAAATCTTGTCATTTGCCACAATATAGATGAACCTGGAGGACATTATGCTAAGTGAAATGGGCCACACACAGAAAGACAAATACCATATGATCTTACTAACATGTTGATTGTTTAAAAAAAAAAAAAAGCGAAACTCACAGAAACAGAGTGAAATGGTGATTACCAGAGGCTAGGGGTGGGGGAATTGGGGATATGTTTGTCAAAGGATATAAAATTTCCGTTAAAGGGGAGGAATACATGTAAAAGTTCTATCATACATCATGGTGACCACAGTTAATAAAAATATATGGTAGACTTGAAAATTCCTAAGAGGGTAGACTGTAAATGTTCTTATCACAAAAAAATAAGTATGTAAGGTAATGTAAGTGTTAAGTAGCTTGATTTAGCCATCCTACAATGTATACATATAACAATACATCAGGTTGAACACTGTAAAAATATATCATTTTTCCTTGTCAATTATAAAAATAAATAAAACCCCACAGGTTTCTATTCATATTTCTAGGATATGAGATAGATATGAAAAGAAAAGTGACTGGGGTGGGATATTGACAGCTTCAAGTTTACTGAAGCCCAGTGGCTGGTGGCAGGGGCATAGTAATATGTAAGAGACCCACAAAGTTATATAATTTACACTAAAAAAAAGCGTTGATTTGGGAAAATCAGAGTACAATAAATTCTCCATTACTGATTCCAAATCAGGGATCACTCACCAAGGCTGAGTTAAAATTTCTTCATGTGCTATCTATAAAGAAAGTCTTCCTCAGCAATTTAATCATGTAAACAAGATGCAGGGTCAGGGAGGGTTTGTCTATAACCTACTTAGGAAAAACTGTTCTTAAGAACTTTAGCACTTTAATCACTTTAATTGTTTGCATGCCAATTAATTGGCACTGCTAATTATAAATGAGTTATCTGTTCATTAAAGCGGGCTTAGATGAATGTCAGCTTAAAAGCACTTAGCAGTTAGTGTGGATTGCTGTTATCTGCAAATAAAAACTGCATTCCTTTAAAAATGTCTGCATTATAAGTAAAAAAAGAAGTCTATAATTTATTTTTCATTAATTCTGATTCATTCTACTAGGTTATTATAATAAGATTTTAGTAAATAAAACGTGAACTACCAGTGGCAAGAAAGGCAAATGAAATGAAATAGTCAGCTAACTTTCTAACAGCCTTGAATAAAGGGTCAAAGACTCTCCATGCCCACCAGAATGCCTTCCAGCCTGGAACAGTTCTCTCTTTCCAAGATGTAGGATCACTGGGAAGCCACACAGAAATACCACTCTGTGGTCCAGAACTAAATGCCCTGGAAGGGACAGAGCTCATAGAAATAGGATTTCTCAAGACTTACACATATTTTATCCACAGCATCCTGAAAGGCTACACAGCAGACCTCACTGGTGTTTGAACTCCAGCCTCCTGGCATTCATTCATGTTAGTCATTGGAATTCAGCCTGTTCTCTCCAATGGAGGGAGAAAAACCTGATTTCATGTCTTTGTATCTCTCAGACATTGTCAGGAATGAGAGTAGGGAGTTGGGCTTCCCTTGGCCACACAGCTGGGGTCAGCAGTGGGCAGGCTTATGCAAACCCAGCTTAATTCTTCATGTTGCTGTGCCTCCATAAACGTATGTCAGACAAATGAATGACAGACCAGTAGGAAGGTTATTGTAACAATTCAGGTGGCTTGGACCAGGGTGGCAGCAGTGGAAGTGGTAAGAAGTTGTCAGATACTGGACATATTTTTTAAGTAACAGCATTAGGGTTTGCTGATGCATGGTGTACCAGATTGAATAGTGTCCCCCCAAAATGCATGTCCTTCTTGGAATCATAGAATGTGACCTTATTTGGGCCAGGCATGGTGGCTCACACCTGTAATCCCAGCACTTTGGGAGGCTGAGGCAGGCAGGTCACCTGAGGTCAAGAGTTAGAGACAAGCCTGGCCAACATGGCGAAACCCTGTATCTACTAAAAATACAAAAATCATCCAGGCATGGTGGCCCATGCCTGTAATCCCACTATTCAGGTGGCTGTGGCAGGAGTATCAGGAGAATTGCTTGAACCCAGGAGGTGGAGGTTGCAGTAAGCTGAGATCATGCCACTGCACTCCAGCCTGGGTGACAGAGCACGAGACTCCATCTAAAAAAAAAAGAATGCAACCTGACTCGGAAATAGTGTCATTAGAGATATAGTTAGTTAATATAAGGTCATACTATTCAAATAAGATTGGCGTATTTATAAGAATAGGAGAAGAGACACAGAGACAGACACACAGAGAGGAAAATACCATGTGAAGATATAGACCTACAGAGGGAAGATGCCTACATGACAATGGAGGAAGAGATTGGAGTGATGCAGCTGCAAGCCACCAAACACCAAGGATTGCCAGCAACCACCAGAAGCTAGAAGAGAGGCATGGAGCAGATTCTCCCTCTGTGCCCCCAAGGAGGAACTCACCCTGCCAACACCTTGATTTTCAATTTCCGTCTACCCCAACACCCTGTCAGATTCTTTCATTGTATGTCCTCATGTAACCACGTTCCTATACTTTGTCAACTCATTTCAGCTATAATTGCAATCACTCACATTACTATTTTACAATTGCTACCTCCTCACCACATTATAAGATCAAGAAGAGCAGGAGTCATGTCACTTTGGTTGCCTATTTATCACCAGAACTGAGAAGAGTACCTGGCACAGAGTAAGTGGAAAATGAATGAGTGAGTGAATGAGTGAAGTTTACTCTTTTCATAATTATGGCATTAATAGAAATGAGAAGAATGAAAGACATCCCAGTAGTCTGAGACAAAAGCAAAACTATGGGGGAAATGTTTGGAGCTGTGTTTGTAAACTAAGGATAAAAGTTTGAAGAATGAAGAGGAACGAATAAAAATCTAGAGAAGACAAAGGAAGCTGAGTGGTGGTGGGAAGTCCTAGGAGTGGTGTCTGGAATCCCTGGAGTGATTAGCCTTTGAAAGAAGTAGTCTTGTTCTGATTCACTATTGCCGTAGCAAATTACCTCAAAATTAAGTGACCTAAAAGAACCATTTTTATTTTGTTTTTATGTGGCATTGTGGATGAAAACTACAGGAAGAGCTTAGCTGGGCTATTAATATCCGATCCACATATTTTCAGCTATGAAAGCCAGAGTCACAGGATCCTCTCCCAAGATCATTTCTTCACTCACCTACCTGGTACCTCTGTGCTCCTTGGCCCTTGTTTCTACATACAGCTTCATCCTCTAGGTTCTCTGCATATGGTTTGAGTTTCTTACAGCACAATGATCTTCAGAAAAATTGGTGAATTTTTTGAATGGTGACTCAGGGCTCCAAAAGACCAAGGCAGGAGATGTCAGTCTTCTTAAACTCCAGGCCTAGAACTGGCATAGTCTCTTATGTCCATACTCAGTTGGTAAAGGCTCTCACAAACTATCCCAGATTGAAGAGTAAAGAAAATGGACCTCACCTCCATTAAAGAATTTTCAGCCATTTTAAATCCACCACAAGTCCATCATGAGGCTAGACAAAGTGATATGATGTTTCAAGTACATAAGGAAAATAGTGAAGAAGGTCTTACCTGGTAACCTTTTTTTCTATTTAACAACAGTTCAAAACTCTTTTTTTTACTTATAAAAAAGTTAGAGAAGTATAAGTGGTAACATTCTAAGCAGTCTCACTTTTATCCACCAATAAAAAGTCAAGCTGTGATGTAAACTAAGTCTTTGGAAGTTTGATGTCTTCTCCATCTTAAAGGTTTGCTTTGAATATTATAACCCAAATGCAAATGATTCTCTTTACATAAACCAGAGTGAGTCTCTTTTTTACTTCTCTGTTGTAACTTCTTCCCTATGCTACCTAAATGTGGACACCCATGTTTAGCCCTCTACCCTCTTTTCTGAGTTCTCTATCCTCTTCCTAGATGGATGGTCTGATTCCTCTTCATCTTCCACAGTCATTGCCCTCCTGGGATCCAGTTCAGCTGCCTGGAATTACCACCTAAATGCTGCCTGCAAATGTTTGAAACCTTCATCACCTGCCCACCCAGTCCATCCAGGCTTTTGACTTCCAAACTTCTCACGCTCATTTTCTTTGTCACCCTGACTGAAAATTGTAGGTGCTGTGGTTGGGGTGGGATTGTACTCCCTCTGCCCCTTCTGACTACATTCCTTTAGCAAATTAATTACCAGGTCATATTGGTTGTTAATTTGTAGAATCTCCTGCAACTGTGCTACCCTCTCCTATTTCCACTGCCCCTGTTCTGGTGGACCCCTCATCACCATGTGCCTGGTACATGTAACTAAATTTGTTAAGGCCTCCCTACGTTCTATAACCCCCTTTCACACTTCTGCCAGGTTAACACTTCTTCCAGTTTAGAAATTACATATTACATTCCTACTATTTTAGTATTACCCATAAATTAGAGTATAATTATTTAACAAAGTTAATCAGTTATCTACTCTCCTCCTGAATAATAAAAGGACCTTAAATGCCTTGAACTTTCAGTCACCTCACTGTTTTCTTACATGTTATTTTGGCCTAGTAATCTAGTTCTATAATACCTTTATATTCCCTTTGTCAATATTATTATTATTTCTTCATTCAGTCAGTGAATATTTGTATCTAACCACATGTTTAATGATTTTTTGGGTTGAAACTAAACCCCAGAACCCCTTCTTGGATTCAGTTTCATTCTTCATGAAGTACATCTTTTTTATACCAATGGCTCTCAAACTTGACATCACATTAGAATCACCCTGGGATGTTTTTAAAACCCCAATTTATGCCTCAGAACAATTAAATATATATCTCTGAGACTAGCAATATATGGCAAACATCTACTGGTGATTCCAGTGTACAGTCAGGGTAGAGTACCTATATTTTAGAAAATCTTCCACCAAAGATCTCTTAGCAAGAAATTCTGTTTTTGTCTGAAAGTGTTTATTACAACATTCACCTTTATCACAGAATTTTAATGTAGCTAAATATAAAATTCCATGTTGACAATTATTTTCTTTTAGCACAATAAAGATGTTATTCCACTGTCTTCCGGTTTTTATTTTCCCTGTAGTGAAGTATGCTGTCAGTCTAATTTCCTTCTTCTGTGATCTTCTATTTGCTTTCTATTTGCTTTTACAATTTTCTCCTTGTACTATATTTATGTGTGTACTATACATAAGTTTCATTAAGGTGTGTCTGATGTAAATTTTATCTTACTCAAAAATAAAATGTTTGGAATTCATATTTCCTGAACCTGAGATTTTGCCTCTTAACATTTTGGAAAATTCTCAAGGCATTATCTCTTTTAATATTACTTTTCTCCCATTATGTCTATTATGTCCTCACAAAAATTCTATTTTATTTATCTTACACCTTTTCATTCTACTTTTTATGACTCTAATATTCTTTCATATTTTCATTCTTTGTATCTCTCTTTAAGACCTCTCAATTAATTTGTTTAGTCTTCATCTTTACCTAATCTGCTATGTAATATATAATTTGAATTTTTTTATTTTCAACTATTTTATGTTTTAACCTCTATGAGAAGAAAACAGAGTTTCTATTTTATTCTTTTCCAAAACTGGCTGATAATTTTATAGGCTATATTTCATTATCATGTTTTTCAATCCTTCTTTTGCATCTCTAATCACTTTAAACATACTTCATTTAGAGGATGTATCCAATGATTCTGTTATCTGAAGCTTTAGGGACTTAATTCTTTTGTTGTTTCTGCTAACTCTCAACTGTGGGGAATTAGTTCTTTGAGAATGTTGTAATTTTGAATAGCGATCTTGAGTCTGGCAGTGCTTTAGCTGCAGGAATACTGTGTGATAAGGATTTAAAGCATGTCCTTCCACAGAGGTGACCCCTAGGTTTTACTAGTCTGGTACCAATTCCACATTAATTTCTTTAGTTGGATTTCCCAGATCACACAAGTAAGTATAACAGGAAGGTGCTTATGAATTCTCATTAGACACCAAGTACCCTTATGGGTTTTTGTTTTGGTTTGGTTTGGTTTGGTTTTTTTACCAGTAGGTTGATGTTTTTAGACACCATTTCACTGAGGATACAGCCCATTGAGAGCTTTATGGTCAGGAGAGGATCTCAGTTCTAACATCCTGTTGCAGGAATGCCCAAAATCTCAACTCCTATTCCTTGCGGTTCTTCAACTGAAGTCACCCGCTTAACTAAGACTGGAAACCCTCTCAGGTCTGCAGCAGTGACTGCCTCCTTACTACTCTAGTTTTCAGCTTCCTCTTCATATTTGGATCCCTTGGTCTTTCCTTTTCTAAATTCCTGGAAACTCTGCTATATATTTAAAATGATGTTTAAAATGGGTAACTATGTGAGATCATGGACATATTAACTTGTTCCACTATAGTAACTGCTTTCCTATACGTATGTATCTAATAACATCATTTTTAATACCTTAAATATACACAATAAAATTTATTTTTAAATATAAATAATCAAATATTGTTCATTTCATTTCCTTCAGCATTCTAGGTTTTTATTTTGTTGTTATTTTTGTTATGTCAGAAGAGGCCTTTCAGGGTAATTGTGTTAACTTGCCATGAATAGAAATCTTCATGGCTATTCCTTCTAACATCTCGGAAGAATGGATTTTAATTTGCACTGTGGCTCACATTTTTGCATAAGTAAATTTTTTATTAGTTGACATTTGTTAAATAAATAAGGACTTTTTTATTAACAAGGAATTTTCTTTTTCAAAGTAGTTACAAGGAAGGAAGAGGAGGAAGAGGGGGAGGGGGAGGGGGAGGGAGGGAGGGAGACAGGGAGGGAGGGAGGAAGGGAAAAATTTTAGGTTGGACACCAACAAATTGTTTTCAAACTATATTAAATACTGACATGGCTTTGTTTGACAAGAAAATTGTGAACTTTCCCCTTACACTTTATTCTTTAAGAATCAAATAAACCACTCATTGAGCCAATGCTGGTAAAGTCACTCTCTGAGTTAAGGCAACCAAGGAAATGATCTTTGGGCACATGTTCTATTCCAGTATTGAAGATCATAAAACTGGGGAGGGATTTGTATGTTTTGTTAATAACCCACCATTAATAGCTCTGAGGAAACTTAACTTTATATAAGTCTGGGTAGACTTAATTGGCCTTCCATTTCATAATTCATTTAGTGAAACATCAGAGGTATGGACAGAATTTAACAAGGGAAAAATAGACATGGGGAATAAAATGAGGTTTTGCAATAAAAAGCTGTGGATTTCAGTTATTCAAATTATTTCTAACACAAATAAGCTTGGCTCATTGAAAGAAAAGAAAATATCTCTAGCTAGTCAAAGCTTTCTTTGGATTATTAATAGCTCCCACATTTCCCTTCCATCCTCCTGTACCTCACTATTGCCATCTCCTCCATATGTGTACTATCGCAGTCTCAACTCCAAATTCTATAGGGTCTTCCCCGATTTTCCCTTCTGATACGCAAAAAAAAAAAAGCCAGTTCCACCAACTGAATTAACAGCCAAGATAAATGGCTACAGGAGCTGTGGAATTTTACTTTACGGAACTCACACAGAACATGGTACAATTAATTACCTATTGCTGTTTGTGTCTTGTCCTTCCAACCAAACTGTCAGCTCTGTAAGAGAGGGAGACAAGCTCTCATGCCTTTCAGGCCCCCATGGTTGGCTCAGGGTTTGGTGCAGGCTCAAAACCAGGTGAATACTTGATGATAATGATTGTCCTGGTCAGAATTATCACTATCATCACAACTTCTGCTATCAATTGAGCATATGCTTTTTTGATTCTGAATGCTTTTCAGATTCAGTTGTAAGTTTTCAAAATAATCATAGGAGTTATTATTATTGTTGTGATTATCATCCTTCTTTTTATACACGAGAAAACTGAGTCTCAGAAAGAATAAGCAATTTGACCAAGGTCACACAGACCATAAATAGTGGCCTTTATGACATCTTTCTGCTATATTCTCACCAGATAAATTTTTTAACCATTCCTATAAAGGAGACCATTAGAAAAATTTGCTCTTCCTCAGAGTGAATGCAGCTCCATGAGCACACAGCTAGATCGGGGGCACTGGTAAATGTCAGCCTCCACTTGTCTCCTCAGTGGGGAGGCTTTGTGAAGTGTACAACTTGCACAATTATGTGTTCAAACCCACAGATCTCTGATGCCAAGCCCCACAGTCTTTCTAGCCTCTGTGTCTGGCCAGTGATGATGATTCATGATCCTTCATTGTTTGTTCCTAAAATAGTAGGGATTTTTCTTGTTTCCTCTCAGTCATACTCAAGCAATTTGAATTTTTCTTTGCAGATAGTTTGAATTACCTGAGCTTTGAATAATGATGCCTGACTCTACTCATTCGTCATTGTCCACCACTAAAGAAGACCTACAATGGTCTCTTTCCTTGACTTCAAGAGCCATTTTGGTGATGGGAATGGATAAGGAGGGTATGGATAGGGTAACACCAGCCTTCACTTCCGTAGTGATCAGTTTCACACCATTGTTACAACAAAGCAAACCAAGCCTACCATCCCTGTGGTACAAGCAGTGGTAACGTGACTACACAGCCCCACCCCTAAGCAAGTGCTTGCTATCAGAAACCCTGACAAATCACAAGGCATAAGCAGCAAAAACAAAGCACTGGGGCAATAATTTATTTTTAATGCCATGCTGTCTTTAACAGTGCAATTTCCTCCAGGGTGTTTGCTTTGAGATTGCAAGATAATTACATCTCAGAAACCAGGCTAATTACAGTTAACAGCCTGAAAACCAAAGGAACCCTTCCCTCTACCCCCCACCTATTTTTTCCACTAGAATACTACACAAACTTCAGTTAAAATGTGCAGCATCATTTAGGAAACCAATTTGACTACAACTTAGAGGTTCATTCTTCCCTTCTTGAAGCACATGTATAACTTGCAGTGATGTGTATCTGAGGGACAGAATAACACAGCCTCAGCAATTAAAATAAATAATGGTGCTACAGAAAGGAAACAATGACAGCAATTCTCCAATAGAGATGAAAGTCTGAATGTTTCTGGAGGAAAATCAGAGTGTGAATGTGGATTTGTGCTGCAAAGATGAGATTACCTGTGCCCTCCAGACACACTTTAGACGTCCCTTGGAGTAAATAATGAACCAGTTTGGGTCATTTGTGGAATTCAGGAGCTGGAAGGGATGTAGGAAATCATCTGGTCATTTTAATTATTCCTAAACATCCAAAATGCAAAGCAATGTGTACTGGTCATAAAAATCCTCAAGAACAATTCCATGACCTGATCATTCACTCAGAAAACATTTCTTATCATCTCACAGGCACCATACACTAGGCTATGGATATGCAGATGAATTTCCCAATTTTTTATCCTCCTTCCATCAGAAAGTTCTTCCAATCCGAAATTTATCTTGATGCATCTCTCACACCTACCCTCTACTATTTTAGCTGAGATAAAGTCTTTCGCAAATAGATAGAGCGATCCCACCCTCTCCTTTGGATGGCATAACTTCTACTCCAAGTACTTCCCAACTTTTTAATAATTTGCATATTATTTCCTGATTTGTCTCCAGTTTCTATAAGTTTTCAAATGTGGAAGCCAAACATCACAGCTAGCTCTGGCTCAATTTGGTATCTCACAGGAGCTAGTGCCCATATTTCCTTTTGTCCATTTGTGAGGAATAGGGGACTGGATTGGGGAAGAGAAAAGAAAATTCAATATTCTGAACTTTCACCTGAAATTCATTTCTGTTCCTATAGTGCCTCCAGAACTCATCTACCAGATACCATAGTATGAAACTTAACATAGCTAAAGCCAAGCTTCTCTGTCAGGCTTCTGCAGAATGCCAATGGCTTTCCTCTCCATCCAGATCTCACTCAGAAAAGCAACACACTGACCCTTCCATCAGCCTTCTTGCTAGAGGCTCTTGGTTGCTAATAATGTAAAATCTGCATGCAAATGGTATTTCACATAGTAACAATTCCCTAGCAACACTGCCTCTTTTCATTCATTTTTTTAACAAATGCATATTGAGTGCTCGCCATAGAGGAGGGGACTCCACCATCTTTGTTCCTGTTCAGCTCTTATTAGCCCTCCTGTAAAGGAGGAGGAATTGTTGATCTAGTCTTGGTTGATCAGGACATTCAGTGGGGCCACTTTTTTCCAGTGGGCAGGGTCACCTCGCTCTAAAAGTCAGCACCCAGGTGCAGTGCTCCCTTTCCTGTCTGCCTCAGACCCAGGTAGGTCCTGGTGCTACAGGGACATCAGCCATCCTTATTAGCCTCCCTTTTCTACTCTTCTAGTCTGAGGGCTGGCTAGGAAATGTTCCCAGATCCCTTGATGGGTTGAGCCACTTTCTCTGCTCTTTGTTTCTTCACAGGCATGCCCGAGCATTATGGTCCTAAGATTCAGGTTAGTGGGTACTGAGGAGGTGAGGGCCCCACTTTATACTCAAACCTAAGCCATGTATTCTACCCAGTTTTATCAAAGTCCTAAACAGAAATTAGTTGCTTGCTTTTATAGTACTTTAAATTCCTATTTTGTTACTATCATTATAAATTTAGCTTCCTTAGGAAGATCTTGAGGAGGTAGGGAAGATGGGAATGACATGAATTGAGTATCCAGGCCATGTAATCATCGCATTAACGAAAATCTCATCTCCAGTCCCTAAAATTTACTATGTATCATGCCTGGTGCTAAGCACCAAGGAGACAAAGTCATACAAAGCACACCCATTCCTTCCAGGGGATTACGATCTAGTGGAACAATTTACCTGCCTTGGAAATGAACTTTCCATTGTCATTATCTAAAAGAACTTTTATCCTTTACAAGAGAACATTCAGAATAAATTTTACCTGAGGTTTGAAAGAGATTTCACGACAGAAATGTGAAAATTTGCAACAGTGAGGTCATGGCAACTATGTTACATGTTGTTAGGATTCTTTTGTTTTTTGGCTTTGCCTCAGAAATACTTTACTAACTTGTAACAGGGGAGAAGTTAAGTGGGCAACGAAAAGATGTAATGCAACTACAAGCTCAAAATGTCCAGGCACAGTTCCAGAGAAGTGGAAACTATGAGCTAGGGACTGACTGGTTTTTCTTTTTCTTTTTCCTTTTTTTTCCCAAAAGTTATTAAGATACAGGTGGTATTTGGTTACCTGAGTAAATTCTTTAGTGGTGATTTGTGAGATTCTGGTGCACCCCTCACCCAAGCAGTATACATTGCACCATATTTGTAGTCTTTTATCCCTTGTCCCCTCCCACTCTTCCCCCCAAGTCCCCAAAGTCCATTGTATCATCCTTATGCCTTTGCATTCTCATGGCTTAGCTCCCACATATCAGTGAGAACATACAATGTTTGCTTTTCCATCCCTGAGTTATTTCACTTAGAATAATAGTCTCCAATCTCATCTCTAATCTCATCACTGCAAATGCTGTTAATTCATTCCTTTTTATGACTGAGTAGTATTCTATCATATATATATATATAACTTTTTGATGGGATTTTTTTTCTTACTGATTTGTTTGAGTTCTTTGTAGATTCTGGATATTAGTCCTTTGTCAGATGTATAGAACTGATAAAAGAATTCAGCAAAGTTTCTGGATACAAGATTAATGTACACAAATCAGTAGCTCTTCTATACACAAACAGCGACCAAGCTGAGAATCAAATCAAGAACTCAACCACTTTTACAATAGCTGCAAAAAATAAAATAAAATACTTAGGAATATACCTAACCAAGGACTCGAAAGACCTCTACAAGGAAAACTACAAAACACTGCTGAAATAAATCATAGACAACACAAACAAATGGAAGCACATCCCATTCTCATGGATGGGTGGAATCAATATTGTGAAAATGACCATACTGCCAAAAGCAATCTACAAATTCAATGCAAAATACACTCATCAAAATACCACCATCAATCTACACAGAATTAGAAAAAACAATTCTAAAATTCATATGGAACAAAAAAAAAAAGAGCCCACATAGCCAAAGCAAGACTAAGCAAAAAGAACAAATCTGGAGGCATCACACTACCTGATTTAAAACTATACTAAAAAGCCATGGTCGCCAAAACAGCATAGTACTGGTATAAAAATAGGCACATAGACCAGTGAAACAGAATAGAGAACCCAGAAATAAACTCAAATACTTACAGCCAACTGATCTTTTTTTTTTTATACTTTAAGTTTTAGGGTACATGTGCACAATGTGCAGATTAGTTACATATGTATATATGTGACATGCTGGTGCACTGCACCCACTAACTCGTCATCTAGCATTGGATATATCTCCCAATGCTATCCCTCTCCCCTCTCCCCACCCCACAACAGTCCCCAGAGTGTGATGTTCCCCTTCCTGTGTCCATGTGTTCTCATTGTTCAATTCCCACCTATGAGTGAGAATATGCGGTGTTTGGTTTTTTGTTCTTGCGATAGTTTACTGAGAATGATGATTTCCAATTTCATCCATGTCCCTACAAAGGACATGAACTCATCATTATTTATGGCTGCATAGTATTCCATGGTCAGAAAATGTGGCAGCCAATTGATCTTTGACAAAGCAAACAAAAACATAAAGTGAGGAAAGGACACTCTTTTCAACAAATGGTGCTGGGATAATTGGCTAGCCACATATGGGAGAATAAAATTGGATCCTCATCTCTCACCTTACACAAAAAGCAACTCAAGATGGATTAAGGACTTAAACCTAAGACCTGAAACTATAAAAATTCCAGAAGATAGCATCGAAAAACCCTTCTAGACATTGTCTTAGGCAAGGATTTCATGACCAAAAACCCAAAAGCAAATGTAATAAAAACAAAGATAAATAGTTGGGACTTAATTAAACTAAAGAGCTTTTACAGAGCAAAAGTAAACACAGCAGAGTAAAGAACACAGCAGAGTATAGAGACAACAGAGTAAAGAGACAACCCACAGAGTGGAAGAAAATCTTCACAATCTATACATCTGGTTTTTCTTTTAATGAGAGAAAGGAAGAACTCAGTCAAGCTCTATGAGAAAGCTTATACCCAGAAGAGTGTTCTGGCCCCCACCACACACACATAGTGTGGGTCTCACTCCCAAACACACTTTTTCCTCAAAATAGGGAAGTGAGGCTCATTAGAGTTCATTATGGTCATAAAGAGAAAGTTACTATGTAGAAGGAAATGATGGAAGCAAATGACATGATGTGTTAGGTTGCTGGAAAAGTAAATGCAGTTTTTGCCATTAAAAGTAATGGCAAAGGCTGCTTGCTTCAAAAGAGTTTTCATTTCTTGTCCCTCATTCTTTGGAACACATCTTTAGAGCAGGTAAAGGGCAGATGTTGC
Organism: Homo sapiens; assembly: GCF_000001405.40. Lineage (NCBI taxonomy): Eukaryota > Metazoa > Chordata > Mammalia > Primates > Hominidae > Homo > Homo sapiens. The sequence goes on from NC_000003.12 coordinate 135,856,497, forward strand.
TGCATAACAAGTAAACTATTTCCAAATTGCTCTCAAAAAGTTGGGTCAATAGTCATCCACAGTTAGCGGGCACTTCCATGAGCTGAGAAAATTCCATTACTGGGGTTTCTGCTGGTCACATGAAGTGGTCAGGCTACAGTGGGTGGTTCAAACTAAGCAGTCCAACTGCAATATTATAAGATTCAGAATGAGAGAGAGAGGAAGAGTCTAATGAAACTCTGGGGATAGAATCTGAGTTGGTTTAAATTTTAGTTGATGGCAATGGTAAGAAAGAAAATAACTGTATACAATTTAAAATATACTGAAAGTACTGTATCATATTAGAAAATTGGAGTTTTGTTAAGTCTCTGAGTGCTTTAGTTATTTAAAACGATTTAAAATAGAAAGATTATGTTTTCAATATGTCTCCTTTGTCCCACATGACTTAGATCATGTAACTCAATTGCAGATCATCCAATAGCACCTCGCTTTAATTGCAGGGCAAAGATGCAAGAGGAAAGCATAAAAGAACTGCACCCCTAAAGCTATAGAGAGATGGCAACTGATATAGTTTTTAGGAATGCCCCAGGAATATTTTAGGTAAAGCATAACCTACCCTACTAATTTGTTTTTCCAGAATTTCCTTGAGTTTACTTATAATCTTTTAAAGAGATGCCCTGGCAACTACATTCTGCTATGTAATTCAGTAGTTTTCACAAAGCTCTGCCTATATAAGGCTTCTCTGTGACCAGTGTCACTGATTTTCAATTCATTCATTCATGAAAATTATTTTTCTCTAATTAAACCTGATACACATAATTGGCTTCATAACAGTTCTTTATTAACGATATTCTTACTATTGGTCAGTGCCTGAACTACTTTTATTTAGTTATTTTTAATAATGTACTAAGTGCCAGGCGTGGTGGCTCATGCCTGTAGTCCCAGCACTTTGGGAGGCTGAGACAGGTGGACTGCTTGAGCTCAGGAGTTCAAGACCAACATGGAGAATATACCCCATCTCTACAAAAAGTAAAAAAAAATAGCCAGGCATGGTGGCACGTGCCTACAGTCCCAGCTGTACTCAGGAGGCTGAGGCGGGAGGATTGGTTGAGCTTAGGAGGCAAAGATTGCAGTGAGCCAAGATTGTGCCACTGCACTCCAACCTGGGCAACATAATGAGACCCTGTCTCAAAAAAAAAAAAAAAAAGTACTAAGTGTTCATGAATGCATTATCCAAGAAATAAAACCAGAACCTCGACAGAGATCTACATCTAACCATACACTCCCCCCACCCCATTCCGTCTACCTGCCTCCTGCCTCCTTTCCCTCTTTTTCCACCCAAGATAACCGTCTTTTTGAATCTCAGGTTAATTCCCTTGCTTTCCTTTGTATATAGTTTGATTGCATTTATATATATGTTACATATAAAAATTATGTGCAGCATGATGCCAAAATAAAGTGTTTTTTTGTTTTGTTTGTTTATTTTTGAGATGGAGTCTCGCCCTGTCACCCAGCAGTGGCGTGATCACAGCTCACTGCAACCTCTGCCTCCCGGGTTCAAACGATTCTCCTGCCTCAGCCTCCTATGTAGCTGGGATTATGGGTGCCCAACACCACGCCCAGCTATTTTTTGTATTTTTAGTAGAGACGGGGTTTCATCATGTTGGCCAGGCTGGTCTCGAACTCCTGACCTCGTGATCTGCCCACCTCGCCCTCCCAAAGTGCTGGGATTACAGGCATGAGCCACTGTGCCCGGCCAATTTTTAAAGCACTAATATACACACACATACACACACACACATAATGTATATACATTATATTTATATAATGTATAATGTAACTTTTGGAGAATTACCTTTCTCCCATTAACATGATGGTGTTTAGATTCATCCATATAGTTTCAAGCTACTGTGGTTCAGATTTATTTTTAAAATCTTTATAATAATTTCTTCCATTAATATGCTACCATTTATTTTCCTATTCCCCTAGTTTGGGTCATTTAGGTTGTTTCCAGGTTTTTGCTGTTATAGACAATGCTGCTATGATCATTCATGTGTATGTATCCTGTTGTTCATGTGCAAGAGTTTCTCTTTGGTATATACCCAGGAATTGAATTGCTGGGTATAAGGAATATGAATCTTCAACTTTAGAAGACAATGCTAAATTCTTTTCCAGACTGATTTCATGTTCTGCTTTAGGAGATAATGTCAAACTTTTTTCCAAAGATATTGCACTCCTACTTGGCATTGTCAGACATTTTCATTTTTACTTAATTAAATAAGTATAACATGATATCTCATTGTGGTTCTGATTTGCATTTCTCTGATGACTAACGATGTAGAGCATCCCTTTACATGTTTTCTGATTTTTTTGTTCATGTGTTTTTCTCATACTTCTGCAGGTGTGTGTGCGTGTGTGTGTGTGTGTTCTTACAGATTTGTAGGAGTTCTTTACATATTTTTATGTTAATACTCTGCAGTTGTGTATATTATAAATATTTTGCTAAAGTTTGCAACTTGTTTTTCAACTTTCTTTAAGGTGTCTTTAAATCTCAAATCCATTTGGAGTTGATATGAGGCAAGTGTCCAATTTCACCTTTTCCCACGTGGATAGTGTATAACCTTTTTTTCATCTCCACTTGTTGATCACTCTTTCTTCCTTATTGAGCTGACCTGTCACCTCTGTCATATGCCACAGTTTCATAGACAGCTCTCCATTCTATTCTTCTAGTCTATTTGTCTATCCCTGTACCAATCCACACTGGCATTCCTCCCTGCTCTGACTTTTCAGAAATATACTGATTATTTTTGATCCTCTACTCCTTCATGTAAATTTGGAAATCATTTTATCGAGTATCATTTTTAAGACCCTGGGATCTTGATTGGAAATATATTGAAGCTACAGATAATTAAAATCTTTAATATACCATAATAAGATTTTATAATTTCCCCTGTAGAGGTCTTTTACACCTTTTATTAGGTTAATCCTAGATGCTTGATATTCTATGATAATTTTGTTGATTTGTTTTCTCTTTAATTTTGTTTTATGCTTCTTACTGGTATAGAGAAGTGCAACTGATTTTTACATTAATCTCACACCCACCTTACCAAGCTCTCCTATCATTTCTAACAATTTGTCTGTAGACTAATTTGAGTTTTCTATGTAAATTATCGTATATCTGCAAATCATGACTGTTTTATTTTCTCCTTTCCAATCCTTATACCTCTAATATGCTTTTCTTACTTTACTAAACTGTCTAGAATCATCAATATAGTGCTGAAGTTAAGTAGTAATAGAGAGCATCCTTTCCTGATTTCTTCTCTTTCTCACTCATCCTGGGTGATCTCTTCCAGTTCCATGGCTTGAGTTACTGTCTAGACTATCCTAATTAATGTATCCAACTGTCTCCTGTACCTCTTGATCTGAATATTACACAAGTACCTAACACTCAACATGTCCAAAACCCATCATCTTGTCTTACCTCTCATCTCATACCTGATCCTCCATCATTTTCTAACTCTGTGAATGGCACCACTATGCATGTGGCTAAACCCAAAAAAATGGAATCATTTTTGACCCTCTCTCCTACCACAACTCTCTTGGCCATCAAGTCCTACTGATTCATTAATAACACTTTAGCCCAACTCTTTTTCTCACCAGTTCTACCAACCCTCATCATCTCTCACCTGTCTTACTGCTGTAAGTTCCTAAACTATTACCTGTATCCGGTCTTGCTTTCTCCTAATCCCTCTTTCATGCCACAGCCAGAAGAGCCTCTCTAAACTCTAAAGTTCTCACATAGTACCCATGGAAAATTCCCTTAGCGGTTCTCCATGATTTCTAGAAAAAGCCTACATTGGTTGCATGGGGCAATGTCTAAGAGTTGGGCCCTTTTGGATCTGGTCCCCATGATGCCTCAGCTTCATCTCCTGTTCTCCCTGCTCCAACACTCGGTTCTCTGGCCCTCCTGGGTCCTTGCAGTTCCACAAATACCTGATGCTCTCTCTTTCAAAGGTTTTTGTGCATGCTATTTCCCCTCTCATTGGTGTGATTTCCTTCCCCATTCCCTCCCATCCTTGTCTGGATAACCCCCACCAGTTCTTTAGGACTCAGCTTAGAAATTACTTCCTCCAGGAAGACTTCACCATGCTCTAATTGGCCTTGCCTGTTTTCCCCGCTCCCTGAGAGCAGGAAAATTTCATATCATGTTTATATCCCCAGAACCCAGTGTAGTGGCTGACATAAGGTAAAGCCACAATGAATGGTTTGGAAATGTAGAGTGAATCAGTACTGCTCCCTTTACCCATAGCTCTGATTTATTAATAATCCTGTCTTTCAAAACACCTTTCAATGCCTTCCTAATCTCTCCCCACTATGATATGCCCCATCCCTTTGTTTACATCTTTCCCTGGCACATGTCCCACAGGATTTGGGCTTTTGTCTAATCCTGTCTACCAGCTGCTTGAAAACCAGGGTTTGGCCTCATCAATCTTGGTGTTCTTACCACTGGTGGCCCAGGGCCAAGCACATAACCAGCGTCAAATAGATATCCAAAATAATACCATTGAATTCTCTCCTGGAGCCACAAACCAAGCAGAGAACATACTTTAGATTCTTCTGGAACTGCATTAGCATTCAAAGTAGAAAGACTTCTTCCGCCAGCATCTCCACCTGCACAGGCTTCAGCCTCCATCTCCCAAATGCTTCTTCAGTTTTATAGTGGAAGTCTCTGGAACAATGTTATTCATCTTACATAACTCTCTTCACAGAAAAAGTCTCTTCATCTTTCTATTCTGTACTGCAAGGTGCACCTGCACATTTTCTTGGCTTTGTTTTGGGTGTTTTTTAAAAAAGAAGCCTTGGTATGGCATTTAGTCTAGGTTTTCCTTCCTAGAAATATCACCCTTCTCCTCCACAGCTGTTTATGAGTTTCACACTCTGCCATTTAAATATTAATGTTATGGAAACAGAGGAGAAAAATCGGTCTCTCATCTGATATGCAATGTTGAGGGAAATTAAGATTAATAAATGGTGACAAGCACTATGGAGGACATAAAAGTTAAATTGCCTTGGACTATTTTCAGAAGTTGTTTGAGCAATGAGTATTTTATTGGATGCCCCATAACTATGATCATTCTAAAAGCCTAATTTCTGACTACAGATCTCAAATGATAATTCAAACCTTAGCTTTCCCCTCAGAGCACTTGCATTCTGCAAGTCATATGTAGGGAAATCCTTGATGGGGTGAAACTGAGAAATGCCTGGAAATTAGGTTTCCTTAATGAAATCTCAAGCAGCCACTGTCCTGGGGAAAGGCAAATTTTAAGCCTAAACATTTAAGTAATAAATTTATGTGTAACAGGTGAAAATATCTAAATGATTAACTAGAATTTTTCACTTATTCAGCCAGATAAATCACATCATAGACACACTGGCACACCCTGGTCATAGCTGGGCTTACCCCAGTAAACTGCAGAGGAAGGGGGCCCTCAAGCTCCTGTCCTGTGTTTTGTCCTCACAACCTCCATTCTGCGTAACTTCCTAGGGCTATTGATGAAAATATAAGGCAGTAATTCCCAAAGTGTGGTCCCTGGACCAACAGCATCAACATCACCTGGGAACTTGTTAGAAATGCAGATTTTCAGGCTCTGGCCCAGACCTACCAAATCAGAAACTCTGGAGATGAGGCTCAGTAGCTTCTGTTTAGCAAGCCCTCCAGAAGATTCTGACATGTCTTCAAGTTTGAAAACTACTGATTCTTAACCCTGGCTTCACGTTCATATCACCTGGTGAAGTGTTTTTTCCAAAAAATGGATGCCAAGGTGCTATCGCTCAGAGATTCTGATTTAATAGGTTTGGGGTGAGGCCAACTCATTGGTATGTTTTAAAAGGTCCCCCAGATGATTCTAACATGCAGCCTAGGTTGAGAATCTGATTTCAGCCTCCAATTTCTTATTCTAGTGATGGCAACAATCTCAGAAATGGGCTCTTGGCTTCTAGTTGTTTCCCTGCTTCTGTTCTCCACCCTCCCCAACTCCAAAGTTTCTGTAGGTCTGGTGCGGGGCCAAAGAATTTGCCTTTCTAACAAGTTCCCAGGGGATGATGATGCTGTTGGTTAGGCTTCTAGCCCATGCATTCTCTAGTCACTCTGCCTAGGTTGGAATGGAATTACAGTAATAAACTTACCTTGCAGGACCACTAGCTTCCTGCAGATCCCCCTACCTGTTTTGCAGAGTCCCCTGCTCCTGACCAGAAGGCAGTGTAAGGTTACAGTCAATAGTGCAGCCTCAGGGTCCTGACCATAGAGTTTAATCCCATAAATTATTCGTGCCCTAGTACCCCATTCATTAAAAAGCGATGCTATACTTTGAAAGTGTCCCCGTAAGTTCATGTGTTGGAAACTTAATCCCCAATCCAACAGTGTTGAAAGGTGGGAACTTTAAAAGATGATTAGGTCATGAGTGCTTGGCCCTCATGAATGGATTAATGTCATTATTTCAGGAGTGGGTTAGTTATAGGGGGAGTGGGTGCCTGATAAAAGAATGGGCTCAGCCCCCTTTTGCTCTTTCTCTCTGGTGCTTGTTCTCTTGCCCTTCCACCTTCCGCCAGTGGGATGATGCAGCAAGAAGCCCCTTGCCAGATGCCAGCCCCTTGAGCTTAGACTTCCCAGCCTTCAGATCCATACAAAATAAATGTATTTTAATTATAAATTTCCCAGCCTGTGGTATTCTGTTATAGCAACACACGACAGACTAAAACAGGATGATAATATAGGACCAACCAGATGGGGTAGCTGTGAGAATTAAAGATATTAATATATACAGCACACATTTAAAAAGTACCTAGCACATACTGAGTGCTCAAAATATTTACACTACTTACAAACTTATAGAGTTATAATTGTAACTTATAAATAGTTATAATTAGAGGAAAAAAACAGCTCTAATTATTTTATAGTCCCTCCCTTCCCGGAGTCCAGACACTAACGCCCAGAGGTCCATGCTGATAGGTAAATCCAAAGGGTGTATACTGGCCAGGCACGGTGGCTCATGCCTGTAATCCCAGCACTTTGGCGACTGAGGTGGGTGGATCACTTGAGGTCAAAGTTCGAGACCAGCCTGGCCAACATAGTGAAACCCCATCGCTACTAAAAATACAAAAATTAGCCGGGTGTGGTGGCGGGTGCCTGTAGTCCCAGCTACTTGGGAAGCTGAGACAGAAGAGGCAGCAGAATTGCTTGAGCCTGGGAGGCAGAGGTTGCAGCGAGCTGAGATCAGGCCACTGCGCTCTAGCCTGGGTAACAAAATGAGACTTGGTCTCAAAAAAAAAAAAAAAAGGCTTATATTTTGCTATCCATACTCAGAATCACTCATCCCCTTTCTCTCCCCCAAAAAAATTTATGGAGGGTCTATTAATGGACATCTGTGAGTTTGATAAATGTTCTCAGAGAGGCCCGACCCATTAGTCATGCCTAAGCATAACAGCACTTCTTGGAAGCAAGTGAGGAGCACAACCACTAAGCAAGTGGGAGAAACTTTGAGACTATTATAAAATCACATTATGATCATATCACACTGCTTAAAATTATTCCATGATTCCCTTCTGCTTTAGGAATAAACCCAAATTGTTTATCATGACTTAATGGGTCCCGCCCCCTTTTCAGCTTCTCACCCCATAATGAACCACTTAGACTTTTTTTTTCCCAAAAACACTCTGCCCTGTGAAGCCAGAGTGTCTTGCCCCTCTTCCTTCTGCTACCAAGGGTCCTTCCCCCATCTTGCACAGTCAGCAAATTTACATTTATTGTACAATTTACTCAAAGTTACCTCTGCCTTAGAACCTTCCTGATGCACTGTCCCCTCTTCCCCCTAGAAGAATTGATTGACAGAGTTGATCATCCCCTCCTCTGTCATTTCCATGCCCCATGCAATCCAGTGTGGTGCTGATGAGCCCCTGGGCTGCCACTATCTATTCACAGCCTCTCTCCACTGCTGGACTGTGAGCTAAGTCAAAGCTGGAACCATGTTCTGGTCATCCTTGATACCCACACCAAGCACAGTCCCTAGCCCACATTAGAGGCTTCATTGTTAGGAGAATTGGTGAATCAATGAAGGATGGGGGAGGGAAGAAATATGCAGTAGATTCTAGGTAAGTAAACTGAAGTCAGTTCCTAGAGGATCAGGGAAAACCAGGAAAGAAGAAATCAGGTGTAGGGTGCAGAAGGGGGAAGGAGTGGCCAGCACAGCTGACCCTGAAACCAGCAAGTGCATGGGCCCTAGAGGGAAAGTCTAGATGCCTGTGTTAGTATAGCAGCAGTTCTCAAACACTTTTGTATCTTTTTTATATTCTCAAAAATTATTGACAACCCCAAAGTGCTTTTAGATACATGGATTACATCTTTCCATAATTACTATATTTGAAATCAAAATGGGGAAATTTTTCAACAATTTTTTTATTAATTCATTTAAAAGTAACAATACGCTGGGTGTGGTGGCTCCTGCCTATAGTCCTAGCAACTCAGGAAGCTGAGGCAAGAGGACCATTTGAGCCCAGGAGTTGGAGGCTGTTGTGAACTATGATCGCATCACTGCATTGCAGCCTGGGTGACAGCAAGATCCTGTTTCTAGAATAGAAATAATAATAATAAACATGCAAACATAAATGTTTTTATTTTAAGAATAACTATTTTCAAAAACTTTTTATTGGGAAGAGTAGCATTGTTTTGCACTTTTGTGAACCCCTTTAATATCTGGTTTAATAGAAGACAGCTGTATTTGGTATCTGCTTCTGCATTCAATCTGTTGTGATATGACTCATCATGTAGCCTAAAGAAAACCCAGCTATGCACTTATGAATGAATGAGAGTGGAAAAGGCAAATAAAGTTTAGGGCAGTTATGAAAATAGTCTTGATCTCATGGGCCCTCTGAAAGAGTCTCAGACCCCCAGTAGCCCCTAGATCACACTTTGAGATCTGCTGAATTAGGATATAGGTCATCTGTGATCACAGAGACTGAGATAACAGTGACTTGAATAAGATAAAAGTATATTTCTCTCTCACCTAATTTCTTGAAGTAAGTAGCACCCATCAGTCATGGTACTTTTTCTGTTTTTTCTACCATCTTGGGGAAACATGGCCCAAAATGTCTCTCCAGTACTATTTCTACACTCCAGCCAGCAGGAAAGGGAGGACACACCCTGACCCTTCAAGTGCATGTTCCAGAAGTTGTACTTATCACTCCTTCTCACATTCCATGGCCCAACCTTGGAAAAAAGCCATTATTGCACTACAAAGGAGTCTGGGAAATATCTTTTTTTAATTTTTTATTTTTAGAGACAGCATCTCACTCTGTCACCCGGGTTAGGGTGCAGTGGTACAATCACTATAATTAAACTCCTGGGGTCACGCAATCTTCCTGTTTCAGCCTATTAAGTAGATGAGACTGCAGATGTGTGCCACCATGCCTGGGTAATTGTTTTACTTTTTTATACAGATGGGCATCTTACTGTGTTGCACAGGCTGGTCTTGAACTCCCAGCCTCAATCAATCCTCTCACCTTGGCCTCCAAAAGTGCCAGGATTACAGGCATAAGCCACTGTGCCTGGCCAAGGAAGTATCTTTAATCTGGTTGACCATATGCTCTGTCACTATAGAAGGTGAGAACAGACATGGGGATAATTCCCATTCACTTCTACATTGCCCTTTCCTCATAGGCCCTGCTAGGCACAGGGCCTGGGAGGAGATTGAGCAAGCCAGGGCTTACCTTACTACTGCCCAGAAGGTCAGGAGAGCTGGTCCTTGCAAGGATCAAGACTCACATGGTAAGATGTCTTGGCCTGTGCACCTCACAAAAACAATGCTAACAGAAAACAAGGTCTCAAAGCAAGCTGGCCCTCAGATAGGAGGCAGAAGCTCACATAAGGAGCAAGAGACAGGAGCTAGGGAGCAATCACAGTGGAAATGCCCTGGTTAAGAGGAAAACTGCCATGCTGTAGCCACAAATGAGGCGCTGGTTAGGATAAAGGCCAAAATTACCAACACAGTTCTCAAGCCCCTGCATGATACCAAACTCACTCCTATCCCCAACCCCCATCCCCAGCTACATCTCATGCCAGTCTCCCCCTCACTCCCTACATTTCCGTCACATTGAACTTTTCATAGCTTGCAAGGTGTAATTTAGTCTTTCTTGTCTCAGGGCCTTTGCATGTGCTGTTCAATCTCCTGAAACACTCTCTTTCCCATCACTGTGTGGCCTACACTGACTCATTCTTCAGGTCTGTGGAATTAAAAAAAAAAAATTAAAAAAAAAAATGAGAACAAGCAAAGGCCATTTATCCAGAGCTTGTTTTAGCAAGGGAGTCAGCCATTACCACCTGTGTTTTGGCAGATACTCAGAGGCAGGCAGGGGAGTGGGAAAGCTTTATAGTGGAAAAAGGAAAGACCTCAAGTGTGCCCTGATTAGAGACTGTTGGCATGGGGAAGCTGTAGGTGGGACTGCTAGAAGGTGTCCTATGTGATTGGTTGGGGTGCATACTTGGCTTTCTCCAGTTGCTCCTAAGTTGAAAGTAGGGACAAAAAATTAGGGAGGTTGTCAGTTATCGATGAAGTTCTGGCCATTTGGGGCCAATTATAAGGGTTATTATTTGGCTTCCTGGGCTGGTTAATAGAGATAGTGGTCCAACTTCCTACAAGTCTGCTTTATGGACGGTAGGCTGGCTTCCTAGGCTGGTTACTGCAGATAATTGGTTAGTTTCCAGAGCTGGTTGCTGCAGATTGTGGGTGAGTGTTCTATTTTATATATGGTCTTATTACTGTCCATTTGTATATTCAATCTCTCAGCCTTCCGTTCATAGCATTTCCTGCTGGAAGCCTTCCCCAACTCCCAGACCAGGGTAGCTTCACCTGTAATATGATCCTGGAGCTCCATGAACTTCTCTTTCCTGAGAGCAAACTTGTAATTATTTGCCCAATAGACTGCAAGCTCTACAAGGATAGGAACTATATTTGTATTATTCATTTTACTATGCCCGGCACCAGGCAAAGTGCTTAGCATATATTAATAGTAGAGACTCAGTAATAAGTTATGTAGGCCAGGCACAGTGGCTCATGCCTATATCCCAGCACTCTGGGAGGCCAAAGCAGGTAGATCACAAGCTCAGGAGTTCAAGACCAGCCTGGGCAACATGGTGAAACCCCCTCTGTATAAAAAAATACAAAAGTTAGCCAGGTGTGATGACATGCACCTGTAGTCCCAGCTACTTGGGAGGCTGAGGTGGGAGGATCACTTGATCCCAGGAGGTCGAGGCTGCAGTGAGCCATGATCACACCACTGCACCCTAGCCTGGATGACACAATGAGACTCTATCTCAAAAAAAAAAAAGTATTATGTGGATGGATAGATGAATTAATGGTTGGATTGATGTCAGTCTTTTTCAGAGCTGAGAACAGTGTTCTGTTGCTTCTCAACTGACAAATTTCCAGGACCCTCTATGAAGAGTAGATGAAGGCATGAATGAGTCCTTTCTTAGTTCTACACTCTGAGCATTTCAACAGAACTCTTCACCAGTCAAAATCAGATCCCATTCTGGCTTGAGCCAGCAAAGGTGTGAGCTGTTTCAAGTTTAGTCAATTCTCCACCCAGATGTCTGAGACCTGACATCAGCCTCAGGGTTGCTATCCTGGGTTACACTTCCTTGTAAGCATGGATCACTGACAATATTCGATAAAATATTCCAATGGGTCCTGGTGCTACCCATTTAGCAAGAAGATTACTTGTGTTGAAGTTCTGGCATAAAACTGCCAGCTGTAACATATCTTGCTGTTCTGACCCACTGATGACCGACAGTGCTCTATGTATGGGCTGTTTTCTTTTATTTTCCATCCTCCAAAGATTGTCAGAATTCTGCCTGGCTAAGCAATAAATCCATCTTTTCAGGAATCAATTGCAGTGACTGGCTGCAAAACCTGGAAATCTAATTAACTGCAAAATAAATAAAAAATACACTGAAGCTGTGGCATAAATCAGCTAGAAAATATTCTGGATATTAAAATAAACAAGGAAATTTTTCAACTTCATTTGTCTTCTTTTCCATTTTTAAACCCTGTTATTGATAAATTTAGCCTTGGTTCCAATTTTGTCTTAGCCATGATTTGTTCAAGTATAGATCTGTTGGGATGGCTATCTCTGTTCTAATTATACCCTGCAGGCACTCTCTAGAGAAGCCAACTCGGCTAGGATTACCTTGCTACCATATGTAAAACTTTAGGCCCTCCTTGCCTTCATCTTTTTACACCACATGTGTTCTTAAAGGGGCATAAATCTGCTCTAACATTGTGTGGGAAATATGAGTTATTTTGGCTTTCTGGAACATTTTGAAAAGGACAGAGTTTCTATCAGTTGCATCAATGGGCTGAGCAAAGGGCCTTATGCCTCATTGCTGCTCAGGTCTGCTGGGCTGGAGCCATCACAAATGGAGCCCATGGGCACTAGACAATCTTCATAGTGTGGAAAGTGGGTCAAGTACCTGATGGCAATGAGCCTCACTCCCTGTGGCATCACCTGGTCTCTGTCAAGGCACCAAGTAACCTGAGGAGACCACTCGAGAGAGCACAGACCAGCAAAGACACTGAGGGAAATGGCTCCTTGAGCTCCCATCAAGAATGGGAACATATGTCCATTTCCTGCGGGTGCACTATTAGCATAGCGGGGTTGTAATCCCTATTCATAACCTGAAACAGCTGGGGGCAACACAGCAACACAGAGATCTCATGGCTAGGGTCCAGATTAGGGGTGTATTAGTCCATTTTCATGCTGTTGATAAAGACATACCTGAGACTGGGTAATTTATAAAGAAAAATAGGTTTAATGGACTCATAGTTCCACATGGCTGGGGAGGCCTCACAATCATGGTGAAAGGTGAAAGGCACGTCTTAGTGAAAGGCACGTCTTACAGGGTGGCAGACAAGAGAGAATGAGAGCCAAGCAAAAGAGGAAACCCCTCATAAAATCATTATATCTTCTGAGACTTATTCTCTACCACGAGAACAGTATGGGAGAAACTGCCCCATGATTCAATTATCTCCCACCTGGTCTCTCCCATGACATGTGGGAATGATAGGAGCACATTTCAAGATGAGATTTGGATGGGAACACAGCCAAACCATATCAGGCAGGCTCTGCTGCTGACTCATTATGTGACTTCAGTCTGTCTTGAGCTGCTCTGGATCTCAGTTTCCTTGTGTGTGAAAAGGGAAGACTAATAGAGCTGCCCAAGGCCCCTTCCACGTCCCAATGCCTGTGACTCCACAGTGGTGAATAAAAGCATGTTTTTATTTAAATATTTATGAAAAGCATATTCTTACTTTAAAGACTATAAACTAGGTCTTCTAGCCTTCCTTTTTTCCTGATGCCCTACCCACATTGTCACTGAATGTGTCATCTGTGGGTCATGAGCATCACACAGACAACAGGTGTTGGTCAGTTGATATCACCATGGAAAACAGGAAAACCAAAAGTCTGCTGTTTCTTGACATTTCTTATCAGGAAAGCAAAAATGATACAATGCTGCTAAAAAAAAAAAAAAAAGATGCTTCCACTTCATCCTACCTTCAATTGCTCCTTGGATAAAACAAATGATATCAACGAATGTGATAAACCTCTCCCAGGCTTCAAAGTGCGCCCATGTGGACAGTTTTCAATTCAAATCACAAATTATCTGCTATCCTTAGCTGGTTATTGATTTGGATTTACTTTATTTTCTAAACTTATTTTTTAAATTCAATTCGCAAACAAATCCAAAAGAAAACATAGAATAGTGGGAAGCTGTAACCACTGGAAACAGTCATTACTAATTAGAGGTATTTCCATGGTCATAAGCTAAATATGCTACCACAGGGAATAGAAAACACATAGGGCCTAGGGTCTCTCCTTAAGTCTAGCTGGAGAGCTCAGACTTATGCATGGAAATCACTAGAAAACCCCTGTAATATATGAACAAATATAATGAATTTATTCATTAATTCATTGTAATATATGAACAAATTCAGCCTCTTAGTCTCAAGGCTGGTAGCTATATTATTTATTCAATCATTTATTCTACAGATATTCCTTGGATATTAACTCTGCCATGCACTGTGCTTAGCACTAGGGAAAAAAAACAGTGAACACAACAGCCAAAGCCTGACCTCTGAAGTTTGCAGAGAGTGATGCATATATCCATGGGTCATAGAAACAATGGGTTAATTTCATAGGAAAAAATAGTTATTTAGCATAGCGTAGACAAATGTTGTTTTGTTAACCTATGGCCGCATTTTTCTACTTTCATCCAGTGGTGTTAGCATCAAGAAGGCAGCAGACGCCTGAGGCTCTTATCTTTCCAATGCCTCTTTCTTCTCCAAGGCAGGTAGTTACAAGTACCAAATAAGTTTCTATTCTCACTGTGGGGTTTTTTGGTTTAAAACTGTTTATTGATCAATAAAAAAAAAAAGTTGAAAATCACAAAGTCATTGCCTGGGGAAACTGTACTAGTAATTTTACAGCAGGCTGGATAGTAAGGGAAGATTACAAATGTTAGTGGGCGGGAGATCAGCCCTGCTGAAAACAAGTCAATTCTGACAAAAACTCAACCACCACTATTGACCTTGGAGCGTATTGACAAGGTCAATGGCAGAGTGAATATGATCACGTTGGTCCTGTTCCCAGTTTGTTTACTTGCTCTAGAAAAAAGTGGACAGACATCATATGTACTCCCATATGTTTAAAAGTAATAAACACTGTAAATAACAGACTTGAGCAAAGGAATGCAAAAAAGAACATGCATAGGATTTAGAATAAAATTCTAAAATAGATTTTAAAGTTATTTTTTAAAATAGGACTGTCACTAGGACATATTGTTGCCACTGTAACTATTTATATTAATAACTCTGACTCACCCAACAAGTCTTTGTAAGCTCAGAGACATATGAGTATACTGGCAATATTCATTCATTCTTTCAATCATCCTTTCTTCCATCTGCTCAACAAGGACTGCTGTGGGTGTGAGCATCCAAAGCACCCTGAGAAGTACCATTAATCCTTGTCCTTACTTAAACAATGATCTTAACCTCATCCAAAAAGAATGTTCATTCCAACCTAATTAGTACCTTTCTCTCCACCCACTTGCCTTATTTAAAGATAACCGTTCTATATCCATCATCCAGATTTCCCTAAAATAACTGGAGTAGAATATTTCCAATGCCCTCTTTTGTCTGCTTGTACCCTCACCTACTCTTTCCTCCATGACTTCTATCCATCACCATTTTAACTCTGTTATATCCACCTTCAACTCCTCTGTAGCCTACTGAATAAAGCCCCAGACTTGGTCTTATCTGTCAGCCTTCTTTACTCTAGCAGAAAAGACAATACTATATTATTATCTTAAATATTATCAGGCCAAAGTGCCTTTTCAGAGAAGCAGCATGCTCTGGATCTGAACAGTCGTCCAACCCTAAGTTTTGTTTATAAGGATCCCTGGAGGAAGGTGAAGAAGTAAGTGAAGGACTACATGTATGGATTGTCTCCATAGGCAGGAGCTGTACTCATTTCCAGGTAAGCTGTCATTTTCATGTTCATGGCAAGCCTCTTAGTCTTTATTTCTGCAACCCAAAAGGTGGTATCACCTCACAGTTCTGATCACATCCATCAGGAACAACTAGCTTAAGAGATTATCATTATTCAACATATCAGTTTAAAGTAGTTTATCATTTTCCAGAAGAGATCAGCTCTTGATAGAATGGCTCCCTGAACAGGTAAGCTTTGATGGGAAGAAAGGAAGAGGAAAGGCTCACAGCACAGGTGAGGCCAGGTCAGGCAGCACCACAGAGAGTCCTAGCAAGCATGTAGAACTTAAAAACACACCACACCTCCAGCAACAAACATTAAAGGGTTGCAGAGGTAGAGAGAGATAAGAGGCTCATAACAAAGGCAAGTTCTCCACTTTCCACTTTGGTCAGTGGGAGCCTTGGTTGTGTTATTGTAGAGCATCGGGGCCATAGAAATATGGTTCCACTGCCCTGTGATGGGAGATCTCACACTGTGAGAACAGTGAACCAAACGAAGGTTCCCCCTTCAGGCTTTTGGCATTATGGACCCCTATATTAGGAGCTTCAAGGCCAGCTTTGACCCACATCTAAAATCTACAGGAGTAAAAACTTCAGCTTGAGCCTGAAGACACTTAAACATAAGGAGTCAATTCATATGAGGTACTAAGGACCCTTTAGAGTAAGTCCTATCCTGAGAAAAGAAAGAAGGGAGGTACAGCAGTTTGGTTCAAGAGTAATGGGTCACAGGACTTCAACAAGATGGCAGAGTAGGAAGCCCTAGATACTTCTTTTTCCCAAAGACACACCACTTCAGCAACAACTGACAGAAAAATTTGCTTTGTAAGATATCCAGACACAAATTGAATGGCTCCCGCATCCTCAAAAACTGACTCACCAAAGCTGATAGGGAGCTTCAAAACACCTTGCCAGAATTTCTATGTCAGGCACAGCACCATATAATCAGGAAAAGATCCACCACCACCTCCCAGCTTCTCCCACAATAGGGAAGGAGTTGATTTGTGTATCCAGTACCCCAACTTTTCTGAGGGGCCTCCCCAGAGAACTGGCTTGTCTTTCCTGTCTTGGAGCTCTGACAGGATGAATGGCAGTCTAGACACCTGGGAGAGAACAGAGATAGCATTTGAACTGGAAGAGGCCAAAACTCCCCTGTTGCCCCCGACCCCAGCTCAGCACAGAGTGAGCAGATGAAAACTATAACTACCTTCTCACCGTAGAGGGAAAGGTTGGGAGAGGAACCAGAATCTCTGGCTGGGCTGATTGGTGAGGGTCTTTTTCTATACAACGAAAGTTAGTGAAGACTGGGAAAGGTGACTGTTTCGTCTAATGCACAGACATAAAAATAGAAAGTCAAGGAAAATTTAAAAATCAGGAAATGATATTCCAAACAAAGGGACAAGATAAAACTCCAGAAATAAACCCTAATAAAACAGAATATATGACTCATCTGACAGATAATTCAAATAACAGTCATAAAGATGCTCACCAAAGTCAAGAGAACTACAAAGAGATATTTCTTTGTTTGTATTTCGACAAAGGGATAGAAAATATTTTAAATTACCACACAAAAGTCATGGAGCTGAAGAACACAATAACTGAACTAAAAAAATTCGCTAGTGGGGTCCAATAGCAGACTGAGTCAGGTAGAAGAAAGGAACCATGAACCTGAAGATAGATCATTGAAAATAATGCCATTAAAGAAGCAAATATTTTAAGAGTGAAGAAAGCTTAAGGGACTTATGGAAACCCATCAAGCAGACTAAAATATACATTATGTAGAATCAAAGAAGGAGAAGAGAGAAAGGACTACAAAGCTTATTCAAAGAAATAATGGCTGAAAACTTTCCAAACCTAGGGAAAGAAAAGATTCGTCTGTATCTAAGAAACCCAAAGACATCAAATAAAATGAATGCAAGAAATTCACACTGATTAAAGGATCTCTGGTTTAGCTTTTAAAAAAAGAAAGAAATCCACACTGACGTACATTATAATCAAATTATCAAAAGTCAAAGAGAGAATTTCACAAGCAGCAAGAGAGAAGCAACTTGTCACATTCAAGGGAACTCCCATAAGATTATAACACATTTTTCAGCAGAAACTTTGCAGGCCAGACGGGAGTGGGATAATATATTCAAAATACTGAAAGTAAAGAACTGCCAACCAAGAATACTATACCCCAAAAAAACTATGCTTTGAAAATGAAAAGAGATAAAGACTTTCCCAGACAAACAAAAGCTGAGAGTGTTCATCACCACTATATATGTCTTATAAGAAATGCTAAAGGAAGTTTTTCAAGGGAAAATTAAAGTACACTATATAGCAATACAAAAGCATAAGAAAGTATGAAACTCACTAGTAAAGGTAAATATAGACATATCCAGAATACTGTATTACTGTATTACTGTAATGGTGATGAGTAAATCACTTTTAATTCTAGTATAAAAGTTAAAAGACAAAAGTTTTTAAAATAAGTGGCTAAAATATGTTTAAAGATACATAATATGAATACATGTACATTGTGGCAACAACAATAACAAAATGTGGGGGGTAAAGTGTAGAGTTTTTGCATGCAATTGAACTTAACATGGACTGCTATAACTACAAGATATTTTATGTAAGCTCTAAGATACAAAAAATACCTATAGAAGTTAAATAAAAGTAAAATAGAAAGAAATAAAAGCATATCAATATTTTTAAAAATCAAGAAAACACAAAAAAGACTGTAAGAGAAAAAAAGACCGAAAAACTACAACATCAACAAATAATTAGCAAAATGGCAATAGTAAATCCTTCTCTATCTATAATTAATTTCAATGTAAATGAATTAAATTCCCCCAAGCAAAAGACAAGAGTGCTTGATAAATTTTTTAAAGGCCCAGCTTTATGTTGTCTATAAGAAATTTACTTTAGATTTAAGGACACACATAGGCTGAAAGTGAAGGGATAGAGAAAGATATTCCATGCAAATGGTAACCAAAACAGAGCAGGGGTAGCTGTACTTGTATCAAACAAAATAGACTTTAAGTCAAAAACCATCACAAGACAAGAAAAGGCACTATATAATGATAAAAGGGTCAATCTACCAGGAAGATATGACAATTATAAACATATATGTACCTAACATAAGAGCACATAAATATATAAAGCAAACATTGACAGAGCTAAAGGCAGAAATAGATAGCAATACAATAATAGTAGAAGACTTCAATACCTCACTTTCTATACTGGATAAAACATCCAGAGAGAGATCAATAAGGAAACAGAGGACTTGAACAACATAGACCAAATGGATGTAAGAAACATATACAGAACATTCCACCCCGCAGCAGTAGAATACATATCCTCAAAAGCACACTGAAGATTCTCCAGAATAGGTCACGTATTAAGTCACAAAACAAGTCTGAAAATTTTAAGAAGACTGAAATCATTCCAAACATCTTTATTGACCATAATAGACTGAAACTATAAATCAATCGCAGAATGAAAACTGGGAAATTCACAAAAATATGTAAATTAAATAACAAACTCTTAAACAATTATTAAGTCAAAGAAGAAATTGAAAAGGAAATTTAAAAATATCTTGAGACCAGGCATAGTGGCTCACACCTGTAATCCCAGCACTTTGGGAGGCTGAGGCAGCAGGATCACTTGAGCCCAGGTGTTCAAGACCAGCCTGGGCAACATAGTAAGAACTTATCCCTACAAAAAAATAAGAATAAAAAAAATTAACCAGGCATGTTGTTATGTGCCTATAGTCCCAGCTACTCAGGAGGCTGAGGTGGGAGGATCACTTGAGCCAGAGAGGCCGAAGCTGCAGTGAGCCAAGATCATGCCACTGCACTGCAGCCTGGATGAGAGTGAGACCCTGTCTCATGAAAAAATATTAATATTTTTAAATAAAATAAAAATAAAAATATCTCAAGATAAAAGTGAAGACACACATACCAAACTTATGGGTTACAGCAAAAACACTACAGAGAAGTTTATTGCAATAAATGCCTACATTAAAAAAGAAGAAAGATCTCAAATAAACAACTTAACTTTACACCTCAAGGAGCTAGAAGAAGAATAAACTAAGCCCAAAGTTAGCAGAAGGAAGGAAATAACGAAGAGTAGGGCAGAAATAAATGTAATAGAAAATAGAAAAATCAATAAAACTAAGAGTCGGTGTTTTGAAAAGATAAAATTCACAAACCCTTAGCTAAACTAATTAAGAAGAGAAAATATTCAAATAAATAAAATCAGAACGAAAGAGGACATATTATAACTGATGCCACAGAAGTAAAATGAATCATGAGACTACTATGAACAATTATATGCCAATAAACAGGATAACCTAAAAGAAATGGATAAATTACTAGAAACATACAACCTACTAAGATTAAATCAAGAAGAAATAGAAAGCCTGAACAGACCTATAACTAGTATGAAGATTGAATCAGTAATCAAGAACCTCCCAATAAAGAAAAGTCCAGGATCAGATTGTTTCACTGGTGAATTCTACTAAACTTTTAAAAAGGAATTAATGCCAATTAATGCCAATTTTTCTCAAACTCTTACAAAACATCCAAGAGGAAGAAATACTTCTAAATTCATTTTATGAGGCCAGCATTACCCTGATACAAAAGGCAGTCAAAGACACTATAAGAAAGCCACAGGTTAATATTTCTGATGAATATAGATGCAAAAGCCCTCAACAAAACACTAGCAAACCAAATCCAACATCACAATAAAGGGATCGTACACCATGATTAAATTGGATTTATCCCTAGCATGAAAAGATGGGTTATCACACAAAGATCAATTGATAAGATAATCCTATTGTATTAGCCTGTTTTGGCATTTCTATAAAGAAACACCTGAGACTGGGAACTTTTAAGGAAAAAAGGTTTAATTTGCTCACGGTTATGCAGGCTGTACAGGAAGTAGAGCACTGACATCTGCTTCTGGGGTGGTCTCTGCAAGCTTACAATCATGACAGAAGGTGAAGCAGGAGCTTACACGTCACATGGCAAGAGCAGGAGCAGGAGAGACAGGGGGAGGTGCCACCCACTGCCACCCACCTTTAAACAACCAAGTCTCATGAGAAATCACCATCACGAGAACAGTACCAAGGAGACGGTGCTAAACCATGCATGAGAAATTCAGCCCCATGATCCAATCACTCCCACCAGGCCCCACCTCCAACACTGAGGATTACAATTCAACATGAAATTGGGCAGGGACACATATCCAAACTTATCACCTATTAACAAAATAAAGAATTAAAAACACATGATCATCTCAATAGATGCAGAAAAGGCATTAGCAAAATTCAACACCCTTTTTCATAAAAATGCTCAACAAACCTAAAATAGAAAGTACCTCAACATAATAAAGGCCAACTATGAAAAGCCCACAGCCAATATCATGCTCAATCATGAAAAACTGAAAGCTTTTCCTCTAAGATCAGAAACAAGGTAAGGATGCCCACTCTTGTGACTTCTATTCAACATAGTACCAGTAGTCCCAGCTACAGCAATTACGTAAGAAAAAGAAATAAAAGACATCCAAATTAGAAAGGAATAAGTAAAATTGTCCCTGTTTGCAGACGACATGATCTTATATATAGAAAACCCTTAAAATTCCATTTAAAAAACTGTTAGAGGCCGGGCACAGTGGCGCATGCCTGTAATCCCAGCACTTTGGGAGGCCAAGGCGGACAGATCATCTGAGGTCAGGAGTTCAAGACCAGCCTGACCAACACATAAAAACCCCATCTCTACTAAAAATACAAAAATTATCCGGGTGTGGTGGCACATGCCTGTAATCCCAGCTACTAGGGAGGCTGAGGCATGAGAATCATTTGAACCCAGGAGGCAGAGGTTGCAGTGAGCTGAGATCATGCCACTGCACTCCAGCCTGGGCAACAGAGCAAGACTCTGTCTCAAAAATAAAAATAAAAATAAAAACTCTTAGAACTAATCAATTAATTCTGTAAATTTGCAGGATACAAAATCATTATACAAAAATAAGTTGCATTTCTGTACACCAACCATGAACTATCTGAGAAGGAATCCAAGAAAACAATCCTATTTACAATAACATCAAAAAAATACTTAGGAAAAAACTAAGTAGGTGAAAGACTGTGTATTGAAAACTACTAAATATTAATGAAAGAAAATTTAAGGAACACAAAAACAAATAGAAAGACATCCTGTGTTCATGAATTAGAAGATGTAATATTGTTAAAATGTTCATATTACCCAATGCAATCTACAGATTCAGTGTAATTCCTATCAAAATCCCAATGGCATTTTTTCCAGAAACTGAAAACAGAATTCAAAAATTCATATGGAAGCACAACAAACCATGAATGGCCAGATCAATCTTGAGAAAGAAGAACAAAGTTGTAGATATCACATTTTCTGTTTCAAAACATATTACAAAGCTACAGTAATCAAAATATTATGATATTGGCATAAAGAGAGTCATAAACAGCAGTCCCCCCGCTATCCACAAGGGATATGTTCCAAGACTCTAAATGGATGCCTGAAACCACAGACAATACCAAACTCTATATATGCTATGTTTTTTCAGTCTGATAACCAAGAAAACTACAAAGCGACTCACAGGTGGGTAGCATATATAGCATGCGTACACTGAACAAACAGATGATTCATACCCTGGATAGGATGGAGCAGGACAGCACAATATTTCATCACACTACTCAAAACAGCATGTAGTTTAAAATTTATGAATTATTTATTTCTGGAATTTTCCATTTTATATTTTCAGACCATGGTTGACCATGGGTAACTGAAACCACAGAAAGTGAAACAGAGGACAAGTGGAGGACTACTGTAGACCAATGCAATGGAATGCAGAGCCCAGAAATAAATCCATGCATATACAATTAACTGATCTTCCACAAGGGTGCCAAGAATACAAAACAGGGAAAGGATAGTCTCTTCAACAAATGATGATGGGAAAACTGGCTACCCACATGCAGAACAATGAAATTGGATCCTTATCTTACACCATATACAAAAATCAACTCAAAATTGATTCATAATTGTTCAAAATCAATTCAAAATTGTTTAACTTAAAACATAAGACCTAAAACTCTAAAAACTTCTAGAACAAAAACAGGAAAATCTTTATGACTTTAGTCTTGACAATGACTTTTCATAGATATGACACCAAAAGCACAGGCAACAAAAACAAAGGTGGGACCACATCAAACTAAAAAGCTTCTGCATAGCAAAGAAAGCAATCAATAGAGTGAAGAGATAAACTATAGAATGAGAAAGAATATTCTCAAACAATATATCTGATAAGGAGTTAATCTCTAAACTATATAAGGAATTTTATACAACTCAATAGCAAAAAAAAATGACCTAATTTAAAATGAACTAAAGATTTGAATAGAAATTTCTCCAAAGAAGATATATACATGGTTACCAAGCTATGAAAAAAAGTACGATGTCACTACTTATCAGGGAAATACAAATCAAAGCACAATGATTTGTTAATCCTCACACTATCAGGAAGGCTATTATCAAAAAAAAAGACAAAAATTTGAAACTTAGACCTCTTTACTGCAAAGGTTCTCAAAATGTGGTCTGGCTATCCACAAGATTAAAACAATTTTCATAATAATACTAACATATTATTTGCCTTTTTCATTCTCATTCTCTCATAAGTTCACAATGGCTACCTTAAATGTGATATCACAACAGACTGAAGGCAAAAGAGGTAAGAGAATCTACCTGTCTTCTATTCAGTAAGAAATTAAAGAAATTTGGAAAAATTTAAAGCAATGCCACTCGGCCGGGCACGGTGGCTCACGCCTATAATCCCAGCACTTTGGGTGGCCAAGGTGGGAGGATCACGAGGTCAGGAGTTCGAGACCAGTCTGGCCAACATGGTGAAAGGTTGTCTCTACTAAAGACACACACACAAAAAAAAAAAATTAGCTGGGCATGGTAACGCATGCCTGTAATCCCAGCTACTCAGGATGCTGAGGCAGGAGAATTGCTTGAACCCAGGAGGCGGAGGCTGCAGTGAGCTGAGATCACACCATTGAACTCCAGCCTGGGCGACAGGGCAAAACTCCATCTCAAAAAAAAAAAATGCCACTCACTGTATATATGTACTTTTTGTTGTTTTTGAAAATATAATCTTTCAAAAAATAAAGATATTGACTATAGGTACAACACTGTACCTATAGTCAATAATAATGGATTGTATACTTTTTTTAAAAAGACAATTATTGATGAGAATGTTGAGAAATTGAAACCCTTGCACACTGTTAGTGGGAATACAAAATGGTGTGGCATTCTGGAAAATAGTAGAGAGGTTCATTGAAAAATACAAAATATAACTACCATGTCATCCAGCAATTCTACTCCTGATTATTTATCCAAAAGAATTGAAATTAGGATCCTGAAGAAATATTAGCACTTCCATGTTTATTGCAACACTATTCACAACAACCAACTTATGGAAACAAGCTAAGTGTTTATCAACACATGTATGGATACAGAAAACATCTGAATGGTATATATCTACAATGAAATATTTTTCAGCCTTTACAAAGGAGATTCTGCCATGTGCAACAACATGGATGAACCTTGAGAACACTATGCTGAGTGAAATAAGCCAATCACAGAAAGACAAATACTGAATGATTTCTCTTATATTAGATACCTCACTAAGTCAAATTCATAGAATCAAAGAGTAGAATGGTGGTTGCCAGAGGCTGGAGGGAGGGGAAAATGGAGAGTTACTCATCAATGAGCATGAAGTATCCATTAAGCAAGATGAATAAGCTGTAGGAATCTCCTGTACAACACTGTACCTATAGTTAATAATAATGTATTGTATACTTAAAAATTTGTTGAGGGTGGCCAGGCACAGAGGCTCACGCTCGTAATCCCAGAACTTTGGGAGGTAAAGGCAGGAGGATCTCCTGAGGTCTGGAGTTCAAGACCAGCCTGACCAACATGGAAAACCCCCGTCTCTACTAAAAATACAAAAAAATTAGCCAGGCATGGTGACGCATGCCTATAATCCCAGCTACTCGGGAGGCTGAGGTAGGAGAATCTCTTGAACCCATGAGGCAGATGTTGCAGTGAGCCGAGATCATGCCAATGCACTCCAGCCTGGGCAATAAGTGCAAAACTCCATCTCAAAAAAAAGAAAAAAAAATTGTTGAGGGTAGATCTCATATTGTGTTCTTACCACAATAAAATAAAGTTAAGGAAAAAAAGTAATGGGCCACCATCAGAGGTGACACACTCAATCATCCTTAATTCCAGGCCTAAGGACTCACACCATGACTTAGAGCAGCAGTGACAAGAGTCCGTATCCTATAAGTCAGACCTGGGAAGCAGAAGGTGGTGAAATTGTCAACTGCCAATGTGCTAACCACACCTGAGATAACCCCAGGAACTCCCAGAGCCATTTGTGAGGATATGAGGAGGTCCGAGGGCCCCATATTGGAACAAGGACAGAGAGCTGGAGCAGAGAATGTTGCTCACCACTGGTGGGGCCGAGAAACATGAGTGAGAGCCACCAGCCAAAAAAGCATGGTTGCAAAAGGCCCCAATTTTTCAGCTCAGTGTATCTCCTCACACAGATGTTGGAGACAACCCTGGCTTGGAATGTGGAGAATGGGTGTCAAGAGATCTTCCTGGGAATGAAGTCTGTGACCACATGAGTTCTCCTCACATATTCAGGCCCTCACCTCATATGCCCCATCCCACCAGTCCTGCAAAAAATGATATAAAAAGATGACATCAGAAAACTTCGTCCTTCAACCAAGATGACTTTCATAAGTGAATAAACTATGGTACATCCAACAATGGACTATTATTCTGTACTTAAAAATAAATGATCTATCAAATCATGAAAAGATATGGAGGTCATGTGTGTAATCCCAGCACTGTGGGAGGCCGAAGCAGGCAGATTGTTTGAGCTCAGGAGTTCGAGACCAGCCTGGGCAACGTGGCAAAACCCTGTCTCTACGAAAAATACAAAATCAGCCAGGCATGGTGGTGCACAACTGTGGTCATAGCTACTCAAGAGGCTGAGGTGGGAGAATCGCTTGAACCCAGGAGGTCGAGGCTGCAGTGAGCTGAAATTGCACCACTATACTCCAGCCTGGGTGACAAAGCAAGACCCTGTCTCAAAAAAAAAAAAGAAAAGAAAAAAGACATGGAGGAAACTTAAATACATATTACTGAGAGAAAGAAGCCAATCTGAAAGCCTACATACTTTACGATTCCAACTACATGACATTCTAGAAAAGGCAAAACCATGGAGACAGTAAAAAGATCAGTGGCTGCCAGGGGGTAGGGGTGAGAGAGGGATGAATAGGCAGAGCATAGAGGATTTTTAGCTCAGTGAAACCACTCTGCATGACACTATAATCATGGATACATGTAATAACTTTCTTGTATATGGAATGTACAACACCAAGAGTGAACCCTAATGTAAACTATGGACTTTGGGTGATAATGTGTCAATGTAGGTTCATCAGTTCTAACAAATGTACCACTCTGTGGGAGATGCAGAAAACGCAGAAGGCTATGCATGTGTGTGGGCAGGCGGTATATGGAATATCTCTGTACCTTCTTCTCAATTTTGCTGTGAAACTAAAATTGCTCAAAAAATAAAGTCTTTTTTTAAAGCCGATTTTTTTAAATGAAATCACTCCCGTTCTGGTATCTTTGGCTACAACTACTGTTGATGAACTCCAGTCAAAAAACAAAAAGGCAGACAGGACTGGTAAGAAAATTGAAACACCCATACAACTGAGGAAAACACCAAACACCAAATTACATCAGGCTCTCTTCCATTTTCCATACAATTCTAGCCAGATGGCTTAAGCTCTGGAGTCAGGAGTACCGTTCTCCATCCTCCTCTGAAAAGTGAGACGGTCACTTTTCACCCACCACTTAATTTCACTGACTCTCCATAACTCCAACTGCAATAATCCCCGTGAATTACAGAGGAGTTTTAAGAACCAATACCAGCCGGGCACGCTGGCTCACGCCTTTAATCCCAGCACTTTGGGAGGCCAAGCCGGCTGGATCACGAGGTCAGGAGTTCAAGACCACCCTGGCTAACATGATGAAACCCCGTCTCTACTAAAAATACAAAAAATTAGCCGGGCGTGGTAGCAGGCGCCTGTAGTCCCAGCTACTCGGGAGGCTGAGGCAGGAGAATGGCGTGAACCCAGGAGGCGGAGCTTGCAGTGAGCCGAGATCGCGCCACTGCACTCCAGCCTGGGCAACAGAGCAAGACTCCGTCCCAAAAAAAAAAAAAAAAAAAAGAACCAACACCTTTTTCCAAATTATTTGGGAGTTAGGAGGAAAGGTATTTTCTCAATACGAGGTATAATTACAGCAGTATTGACCCTTCTTTGAATCAGAAGTGTTCCTTTCCCTTTACAGATCCTAGAAAGTGATGCTCAGAGCAGGACAGTGACTCTCTGAGGTCACACATCCTGTCAGTGGCAGTCTCAGAAGGAGCGGGTGGATCTCTTGTATATCTCTTCTGGAATTCTGCTGGGAAACCCAGCTAGACCTGGTGGGCTTTTGGCAAACAGCAAATACACACAAAGAGCAAACATGACCCATTCATTATGCCTGAAAAATGCAGCTCTCCAAAAAAGAGTGTCTTCTCAGCGCCCTCTCAGCACCGATTTTCCTAGCCGTTCTGCTACTAAATGTCTTCAAGCAGGCCCACACATTTCTGTGATCTTCTTTCCAGAGGAATAATCAGTTATTTCTTGTAATTTCTACTTAATAATATTACAATAGTGAACTTTTTCTTTCCCTCATTAAAGTAGTGGTAGGTTGGATCAGAGGAAAGTTGATTTGTGGTCTCCACCTTTGTAACCAAGCCCTGGTCTTTAATTGGGATCTCCTTCTGGCAGCATCCCTCATGCCCGTGACAGGAAAACATCTTTGGTTGGATCATGAATTCTGATTTTTTTACCTGAAGTTTTCAGTACTCCCTACAAATAAAATTTTAATATAAC
The DNA here is from genome assembly GCF_000001405.40 of Homo sapiens. Classification (NCBI taxonomy): domain Eukaryota; kingdom Metazoa; phylum Chordata; class Mammalia; order Primates; family Hominidae; genus Homo; species Homo sapiens. Next base: position 135,884,103 of record NC_000003.12, read on the forward strand.
TGGTTTCAGTACATCTAGGAGCCTTTTAATTACCCTCCAAAAGATGCTTAGGCAACAGCTTGCTATTAGGTTAAACAGTGTCAGCATCTGTACTGTAAACACTAACAGGTTTATTACACATTGCAAACCAACATTTGTCTTCTACTATTTTTTCTCTGAAGAGTCTTCTCTGGAAGTATATCTCCCATCCAATGGACAAAATGGACATGGGGACACCATCTTTTCATCTCCTTACTCCCCTCCACATTGCAACCTGAACATTTCTGACAATAAAACGGTGGGACACCTTGTGATAATTCAGGAGCCGATTACACAGCCACAGGCTCCACAGGCAGGTCCTCACCCTCCTCGCATCTCACGCCTGACCATTTCACTGTTCATTACCCCCTTTTCCAGAGAGTGAGCAGGGAAAACAAAAGGAGATGAAATTCAAACCCATCCATTTTGCTCCCTATTAGCTGTTCTAGTTAAAATTTTAATAGGGAGCAGCTGAAATGATTAATTAATATGAAGTTTGAGGACTGTCTCTGCAGCTCATTTGTCTACTCTTCCTTCCTCCTGAAATCATCTATAGTACAAAATGTACTGGCCTTGGGACTAGGCTAAGGCAGTTACTATGACCCTGGTGGCCAGAGGAAAGATAATCACGGCAAGTAACTGAGGAAACAAAACTGACATTAGGCTTTTTTGTAAAGAATTCCAAGCTTTATATTATCTCCCATAACATTTTAGACTCTTTATTAAATTATAAAATATAATATCCTATGGCTATTAAAAATAGCTGCTGCTTTGTTTATTTATTCCACTTACAAAAACCCCACAACAGAGAAAGTCATACTTACAGAAATAATAAACCTTAATAATACTATAGGAAAGCTGACTGGTAATGATAACGAATTTATACGAGATACTAAACAAACATTCAGCAAGCTAATCTAGGCTGTTAAACAATTAATAGTGATTGTGCAAGATAAACCCTTCAGAGAGGAGAAATAAAACTTTGAGCTTTTCAAAGTGATCGTGCAAGATAAACCCTTCAGAGAGGAGAAGTAAAACTTTGAGCTTTTCAAAAGGAATATTTACCTGCAGATAGAGAAAAATGTGTATTAAAGAAATAGGCTATATTTTCCTCTAGATAAAAAGATTTTTGTCTGCCACTTTAATATTTGTTGGCTAATTCAGAACATTATTTTAATATTTCATCAGAAAATTCTTTTCACTCTAGGCATTTGGTTTTTCTATTATATCCAAGTGTATACTCAAGGCTAAAAGCTTTTACAGAAGGATTGCATCTTTAGTCTTTAAGAAACATGGTAAGATATATAATTTGCTGAAATTCACTTTATTACCAAATTTGCAAGAATATATATCCAAAACATGAAATGAGGTATTCATGCATATGAATACACATATGATACAGGCTCAACTTCCCAAGTCATCTTATCCAAACCTCAAGGACAAATTACCCATAGAGCGTAGAGAAATGGAAACACTGAACTGGACTAGAAGCCAGCTGGGTTCTAGCCCTGCCTTGTCATCCACCAGCTGTGAGACCTTGAACCAGCCACCTCCTTCCCTGGGCCTCTGCAAAAAATAGTCTCAACATTTCCTCCAATTCTTAACTTGTGATCTATGGGATGAAGGATCAGGTCAGATCAGAAGAAAACTCAGCTGAGTTAAAGAATGCAAATTCAAAGTTCAATTGAGGATATTAGTACATGAGAGATCCACGACTGGACACCTGTAACTAACAAGAGATGGTAAAGCTGGGGGATTGGGGCCACTCTCAGTCCGGAGTCTGGAGCTCAGTGCTGCTATTTTATGAATTTTATGATTGTAGCTATATATAACCAATTTCTAATATCTCTTTTGCAAGGAGGAAAATATTTTTAAGCCAGAATGCCAACCTATTAACCTACCCATTGGGGATAGCTATTTATAATGACTGAAATACTCCTCACAGCTATTTACAGTGACTGTTCTGTTATTAAGGTAACTAGAGCCCTGAACCAGTCATCAAAATGTTACCCAATGAGTACAGAATAAGTTAGATCTGAGCTGATGCTGAGCAAGGAAAGAATAGCATGCAAAACTTCTAAGGTCAGATTAAAAAGGTGTTCTTTATATATGCATATATATATAAAGTATATATATATACACTTTAAGTTCTGGGATACATGTGCAGAACGTGCAGGTTTGTTACATAGGTATACACGTGCCATGGTGGTTTGCTGCACCCATAAACCCGTCATCTACATTAGGTATTTCTCCTAATGCTATCCCTCCCCTAGACTCCCACCCCCTGACAGGTCCCAGTGTGTGATGTTCTCCTCCCTGTGTCCATGTGTTCTCATTGTTCAACTCCTAGTTATGAGTGAGAACATGCGATGTTTGATCTTCTGTTCCTGTGATAGTTTTCTGAGAATGATGGTTTCCAGCTTCATCCATGTCCCTGCAAAGGATATGAACTCATCCTTTTTTATGGCTGCATAGTATTCCATGGTGTATATGTGCCACATTTTCTTTATCCAGTCTATCACTGATGGGCATTTGGGTTGGTTCCAAGTCTTTGCTATTGTAAATAGTGCAGCAATAAACATACATGTGCATGTGTCTTTATAGTAGAATGATTTATAATCCTTTGGGTATATACCCAGTAATGGGACTGCTGGGTCAAATGGTATTTCTGGTTCTAGATCCTTGAGGATTCGCCACACTGTCTTCCACAATGGTTGAACTAATTTACACTCCCACCAACAGTGTAGTGTTTCTATTTCTCCATATCCTCTCCAGCATCTGTTTGTTCCTAACTTTTTAATGATCGCCATCTAACTGGCATGAGATGGTATCTCATTGGGGTTTTGATTTGAATTTCTCTAAAGACCAGTGATGATGAGCTTTTTTCCATATGTTTATCGGCTGCATAAATGTAAAAGAAGGTGGTCTTAACCAAGGGTCTCAGACCTAGGCCTGAGTTTCAAGAGATCTGTGTCCCTGATGAAATTATATGCAAAATTGCATATGGATGTGACCATGTGCATTTTTCTAAGAAAAGTGTTCATAGCATGTATTTCCTCTCAAAGGAGTCTGTGATCTCCAAATGTTCATGAACCCCTGGGAAACACAGAATGGACTCAACACAGAAAGGGAGGATTTCAAGGCAGCTCTGAAGAGTTTGTAATCAGGAACCAGAGCTGAGTCACAGGGTGAAAATTCTCTAATAAGAGGAAGAAAGATCAAGCAATAGCCTGATCCAGGCCAGGTGGGATGCCACAAAGGTCAGTTCCATGGATCAGCCACAGTGACTCAGGGGCCCTCAAAGGAGGCCTTACTCACATGTAGAACGGCAAGGCCTGCCAGCTCACCAGAGCAGGGTTCCTGTAAATCCTGCCAACCAGTAGATCTAATTCTGCAGGATTACTCACAAACAGATGGGACTAGGTCCTATTCACCCCAACTTCAGTCTAGCTCACAACCAACCCCATCGTGTTGAGCACTGGACCTCTATTTCTCTTTCCCCACATCCATTCCATGATATCTCTATGGGCAGACAGGACACCATGGGAAAAGAGGATAGGTGTTGGCCCCAGGAGGCCAGCAAAAACACATGAGTGTTACGTCTCACAAGATCTTTTGTCAGAGTAGATAGTTGACACATTAGGCCAAGACAGTCGTTCAGATTTAAAGTTTAATTGATTAAAACCAAACAAAGTTTAAAATGCACTTCTTCAATTATACTAGCCATTAGTTATAAGTAAGCAATAGCCATAAATAGTTAGTGGCTATTGTACTAGATAATAGAGCTATAGATCATTTCCATCATCACAGAAAGTTCTTCTCTATGTAATCTAGCACTTAAGCCTATGACACAAACAATAATTACAATACAGAGAAAGGAAGAGTCTAAAGTGAACAGAAATTGCTCTAAATAGCTTCTGAAGGAACTAATATTCAAGTTGAATTTCCGGGAATGAGATGGAAGCCTGGGAAGGAGAATTTCATTCAGAGTCCGTAAGAGAAACAAAAGTGATAATAAGGAGAAGAAAATGGGCCCAGGCCTGGATGGAGCCTGGTACATGTTCATGATGAACATATATTACAGGGATGGAAGGATGAGTGAATGGTAGGAAATGAGATAAGTAGGCAAGGTATAGGGAGATTGCACAGGAATTTCAATGTCTGGCACAGTAATGTAGGCATGACAACAATAGCTAGTAACACTGGCTATCACTTATTTAATGCTTATTGTGTTTCAAGTTTTGTAACAAGAGATTTATACAAATTATTAAATACAAATTATTACATTTACTCCTCACAGCACCAGGAGGTTAAGTATTTTTAACTCTATGATAAGAATGACAAAAACTGATTTTTGGAGAATTTAGATATAACATGCCCAGGGTCATGCAGTGAGGAAATGGTAGGCTGTGATTCAAACGAATACCATTGTCACCAATGCCTTCACCTTATACTTTCATTCTCCCTGCTCATCCTCCAAAAATCTTTCTTTTTAATTGGGAAGGGCTTTGCCTCCACTCTTTACAGTATAAATCCACAGTTTCCAAGGTGTCTCTTCTGAAAATCCCTTTACCTTTTTCTGATCCTCGAGAAAATACTCTCTTAACAGGGAGTCCTTAGCAGTTTAGAATGTATAGCATTAGCAAGAGCAGGAATATGGCAGGAAGGGCTTGGAAAATGGCAGCGATCGACCCTGCAGTGTGAATAAGAGGTGTGTAGAAAAAGAGGCCCTTGTACTCAAGGATTCACCAACTTTTCAACTGATATCATGCAGAAAGTTACCCCCTGACTTCAGAGCCCTTCTACCAGGTGTGCAAGACAGGGTTCCTGGCCCCATGAACTCCTGTCACCGTTGTGGCTCCTCTCATTGTTTCTTATTCTTCTAAGAAAATTGCTTGCTGTATTCTTCTGTAGGTTTGAGTTTTGGAGTTTATACATATGGACGCTTCCCTCCTTTACAATCCTGACTACAATTTGACCTGGCTGCTCCTGGGCAGACCCGTGACTATAGATTGGAACAAAAGGCTTCCCAGAGGAGAGAGAGACGTTAACATGCTTTTCTATGCCTCTGTGCTTTTTCTATAAAAATAGAATATTAAGTTAACAAAGCATAACAATTCATCTCAAAGTATTATAGATAAAAATTGATTACAGCATTTAGAGCAAGATTTGAAGAAATACATATACCTTGTTACTACCTTTAACAGTAATCATTCACTGTTTAATCTAACTTTGGCACTTGCTCAACACGTAAACTGGAATGTGCCTTGTGTCTTTCCTTTTAGTTAAAATCCTGTGTAGGGTTGATACTTGGCTCTTTTTCTTTGGGGCATTAGAGATTTTGGCACCAACAAGTATTCCACACAGATTCTCTCCAGCTTTTTACAGTTTGAGCTGCCTTCACACAGCTGATCAGTGAGAAGGTGCCCTGCTGCGGTCTTAGCATTCTAATTAACAGTCTTTCTATCTAATCACTCTGCTCTTCTACATGACAGAGACTGACCTTCTACTCCACAGCATTGCCAACAGCCAAGAAGAGAAAATGATTAGAGCCCAGCCACATAATATCCATGGCATGGAACATACACACTCACACACATACACGTGCTCAGGAAAAGCTTATTATGGAAAACCCCAGGGGGAAGGGAGGACCAATCAACCCCTCCCAGTGTTTACCCCTGCTTCATTTGCTGCAGTCCCCTCACTCTTCTAAGAGAAATGATCATGACCGCCACTATAACTGCTTCAGGCAGCAATTTGCTCTTCATATCTATCTTGGCTTAGATTTTAATAGGTATCTTTTTGATAAGTATCTTCAATATGTATCTAAGACGAAAGTGGAATTTTTTTGAATTTTTGTCTTTAAAAAACTATAGCAAGAATAAAAGAATAGAAAGCACAGGTAAAATCACAAGTGAGGTTACAGGCAGATTTCGCATCTTTAAATTACCAAAGGCTTGACAAAATTATTTGGCCAACACCATTTACTGAAATCACCCAAATTCATCTAAATTCACCTCACCTCTGACTTGTTTAATTTTCCCAAAGTTAATATACCTCTATTTTTCTCGGCACAGTTTGGGCCCAGATTTGCTAGTGACCTGTATGACCTGTATGGCTGGTGCCATCAGTCCCAAATTCTCTCTGTCTCATACAAATGAAATATCTTTCTACTAGAAGTTTATGTGCTTACCAGTGATCATAAATGAAGTATAGTTCCTTATTTCCTGCCCACAAGAGCTAGGTAGGTTTCTTAATGTCTTAATGTAAGTTGATGACACGTTTGCCCTAACTCATAGATTGTGCAAGAATGAACTGCCATTGAGTTTGATTGCTTATAGATGGATTTTGATGAAGTTAATTTGAAGATATTGAAGGCTGCTTACTGTGCTTAATAAAAATCTTTATTCTTTTAGTTTACAAAAAGTTAGATGTTATTGAGCCAATTAGATCCTGTGTGTGGTCTGTGGAGGTGCCTGCAGTCTTCAGTTCATTGACGGAACAAAGTGATAGACACACCCAAGGCCCAGTGAACTGACAAATCCTCCCTTGGTCAGAAGCTATCTTTGCTCATGTGTGCAGGTACTCCTAACACATTCAAGGGCTCATCCCCTGCCCCTCTAGCCACTCACATTCCCACTACCATCCACACCCACCCCTTCATTTCCACTGCCAAGGTTATTATAAAAATGAGAAGCCCTTTATGCAATAAAAATGCATATGGCCACAGAGGGGAAGCCATTCAATTCCAAACCTCCTCAATCCCAATCTAGCACTGTGTTCAATCCTACTTCCCTTCAGTATAGCTTTCCAAGTAGTTTATTTTTTTTCATTCAGTCTAAATTGAACTTGTATTGGTTACAGTAGGCTAAATTTATGTAACAAAACATCCACGGATGTAATAGCTCAAACACAAAAGCAGTACTCAACACAAAAGCAGTATAAACTTGCTCATGTAATATTCCAAGGCAAGTGTTTCTGAGTCAGCAAGAAGCTCTTCTTTACATGCATTCCGGGATCCAGGCTTCTTCCAAAGCTAAACCAATCCCTAGAGCCCCATCATCCTCTGCATTCATTTGGCAGAAAGGGAAAGACCACTGGGAAGACCCATCTGCCTCGTAAAGGCCAGAGCTCAGAAGTGTTACACAGCACTTCCGCTCACATGCCAATGGTGAGAACTGGTCACGTGGCCCCAGCTACTGCAAGAGAGTAGAGGAAGTGTTGTCCAACTGGGCAGCAGCTTCCTATGACTAAGTAGAAGGGAAGAAGAGGTTTTGGTGGGCAGCCAGTAGACCTGGCCACCAACCTTAAACAAATAAAGGGGAGAAGATTTGGTTAATGAAAATCACATAGGCAAAAAAAAAGAAGGACTCTGACTTTAGTCCTTTCTTTGAATTACTTTTTTTTTTTAATTATTTGGGTGGGGTTTTTTCAAAGCAATTTATGCCTTGCAATTTTGTTCATATGCTTATTTGTATTCTTTTCTCTTAACCTGTCTACTAAAAGATTTGAGACTGGTACTAAAGTCAAAGAGGAAGAAACAATATTAACTTTTGTTCAAGACCAATGCAAATATTGTAAGCCAAAATGTGTTGCCAGGCAAAAGGTCAGGGAACTAGTCTAGTTTTCCCATAAGTATGGTTCCTGACTACCTCCTCAAAGTCATTTTCCACCCATCTTCCCCTCATGCACCACATTCTAGCTTCACTGCCTTGCCTACTCTTCCCAGAAGAATCCAACCACACTTCTACATCATGATATTTGCATCTGTTCTCTCTGTCTGGAAAACTCTTCCTCCAGATACTAACATGGCTTGCCCTTTTATTTAATTCAGGTACCAAACAAATGCAGCCACTTTAGAGAGACACTTCCTAACTTTCTTATCCAATGTAAAATAGTATCCTGTTCCTAGCCCCCACATCACCTTTACCCTTTTACTCTGCTTTTTCTTCATAATACTTATCACTACTATTGTACATTACACTTTTGTTCATTTATTTTCTTATGCCCATTTTTCTCACTAGCTTGTAACCTACATGTAGGCAAGGACTTAATTGCTGTTATCGCCATCAACTTAGACATATGTGGCACAAGTTAGATGCGCTATATTTCCTGGATGAATGAGTGTATTTTATTGGGTATAAACAAAGCCACAAAAATAAATACTGTTCAAACCACACTAATATTCAAAAAGTTCTCACCAAAAAAGGAAACTGTTTTGTTGCTCTAGTTTTTTCTTCCCTTTTTAAGGGGTAATGAGTGACAACTGGATATCCATATGCGAAAGAATAAAGCTAGACCTCTTCCTTACACTATACACAAAAATTAACTCCAAATTGCTTCTAGAAATCAATGTAAAAGCTAAAACTACAAAATTCTTAAAATAAATAAATCTCTGTTGTCCAAGCATGGTGGCTTATGCCTGTAATGCCAGCACTTTGGGAGGCTGAGGCGGGCAGATTGCTTGAGTCCAAGAGTTCAAGACCAGCCTGGTAAACATGACATGATGAAACACTGTTTCTACTGAAAATACAAAAAAAAAGCTGGGCGTGGTGGCACGTGCCTGTAGTCTCAGCTATCTGGGAGGCTGAGGTGGGAGGATCACTTGAGCCAAGGAGGTCAAAGCTGCAGTGAGCCATGATTGTACCACTGCACTACGGCCTGTGGGAGACCAGAGTAAGACAAGAAAGAAAAGAAAAGAGAGAATGGGAAAGAAAGGGAAATAAAAGGAAGGAAGGAGAGAAAGAAAGAAAGAAAGAGAGACAGAGAGAGAGAAAGAAGGAAAGAAAGAAAGAAAGAAAGAAAGAAAGAAAGAAAGAAAGAAAGAAAAGAAAAGAAGGGAGGGAGGCAAGAGGGAAGGGAGGGAGGGAGGAAGGGAGGGAGGGAGAAAGTAAGGAAGGAAGGGGAAGAGAGAAAGAAAGAGAAAGAAGGAAAGAAAGGAAAGAAGGAAGGAAGGAAGGAAAGAAAGAGGAAGGAAGGAAGAAAGAGAGAAAGAAAAAGGAAGAAAGAAAGAAAAAGAAGGAAAGAAAGGGAAATCTTTGTGACATAGGTGACATTGGGTTGGGCAATGCTTTCTTAGATGCAATACCAAAGGCATAAGTGATAAAAGAAGAAATAAACTAGACTTCACCAAAATTTTAACCTTAGCTCTTCAAGAAACACCATCAAGAAAGCGAGAAGATAACCCACACATAATGGCAGAAATATTTGCAAATCTTTTCTTTGATAAGGGACTTATACCTAGAATAAAGAGCACTTAAAACTCAACAATAAAAAGGATAATAACCCAATTTTTAAATAGGCAAAGGATTTGAATAAACACTTCTCCAAAGAAGATATACAAATGGTGTGTGAATTACCTCCCAATTTTTTAAAAAAGAGTAATGAGCCCTTTGTTGGGTTTGTTTCAGGGACAGACTCTAAATCCGTATCACGCCTACATTGTTGATACTTTACTTAAACCACTTACAATGTTCTAGAGCTGTGGTGGTCCCAAAGTATGGTCCCCGAATCAAGGGCATCAGCATCCTCAGGAACTTGTTAGCAAACTCTCTGGCCCCTCTCCAGACCTACTGTATCAGAAACTCTGGGGTGGGACCCAGCAGCATGTGTCTCATTAAGCCCTCCAGGAGATTCTGATGCTCACTAAGGTATTAGATCCACTTCTCTGGGCAAGGAGGAGCATAAGGTCTCTTTCCTTAGAATAGGTCTGACTGTACTAAATTCCTACCCATCTCCACCCTCAGGACATTGGATGAGCCCTGTTCTTTCTTTTTCAATAAAAGGCAGGGCTACTTTGCTCTTTTCCATTCTTCTTACTCCATGTATTCTGTGCATATGGCTACCCACTCCCACCCCTCTGATTGTCTTTCTCCATATGGCCACCCTGGTAGAGATGATATTCCAATATTTAGGTTTGGGGAAGCTAGGAAATCCCATTTCCTATTCATGAGATCTTAGGCACATGGACAACTCAGTCTCTGACCAGAGGACACTGCATTGACATGTTGTGTATATGATTCCCAATTTGTTATTGTCCCTTGGGTATACAGCTCCCTTGAAAACTCCATGGGGAAAAGAGGTACTGTCAGGCCAGGATGGAGGCATTTTGGGTCCCTGTCTGAATGACTTTATAATAGCATCAAAACCACCCTCAACCTCTAACACCCACCAGCATGACATTTATCATAACTCCCAGGTTTATACCATGTTTACTTTGCTTACCAAACACCTACCCCTCTTAAATAAACCTAATTAATTCATTTACCCACATCTCCACCTACATGGTCAGTATGATCAGGGAGCAGTCGTGTACACAATCCTTATATGCTTATTAGGGGGGTTCTGGGAAGCTTGCAGGCATAGGCAGTTGGTCTATGGTTTCCGAGGGTCAGCAACAGAACCCTGTCACCTTAGGCAGCAAAGCTCCAGGCCTATTCCCCACAAGAAAGCAAGCCTCTTATTTAAGTCTTGATTATAGGTTACCTGCCCTCACAAGGATCATTCCTGGGGCAAACAAGTGACTTCTATCAGCCATGCTCAAGGTGTATGCATATGTGTGGATATAATACATCCAGAGACATGAAAATAAATCCCTCACTGGCTCCCTTTCTGCAACAGAAAACAGAAATAGAGAAAAACTTAACAACTGCAAGCTCAGAGCCAAGTTATCAGAAACCAAATTAAAGCTGTTGGGTATTTTTGTTGAAACATCTCTACCTCTGAAATCTAATTTCTTGCAACTTTCCATATAGGATCCTGTGTTGTATTATTTATAAGAAAATAATATTCTGGCCTCCCTTGACAGCATTTCCAGGCTGCAGAAACCACTGTAGCCATGAAGTAACAGAATAATTTTGGTAATGTTTCCATAGCTACCTTGCTTCAAAGTGAGGTTTATTCTGTTTTAAAGTCTGCTGACCTATTCACAACCTTATTTGAAGTATTTTCAATCTAATCCCTCGTCTGCCTATTATTGTCTTAATGTTCTTGTGATTTCTATATTTAAGGAGGCCTTGGATGCATAAATATATGGTAATCAGGACTTACAGTTAGATATAACAATATGATGATTTTTTTTTCTATTCTTTTCCGATGTGTATTCATCATGTCCCTCCCTTGCAACACAGGGAAACCTTCCTGAGGATTTTGGAGGTAAAGGCTGTTTAAGGTACACTGGTGCCCTCTCGTGGCCACTCTGGCCTTGGGCTTTCCTTCCCAGAAACCTCTTAGACAATTGATTTTGCAAGAGGTTAATGAGAAAGTATACCTCAAAATGCCATTGCTAATTGTCATGAGTGTCCTTGTGTCTGTGTCTTTTGCCCCCTGCAGGCATGAGGGTCTGTCTGAGTAGCAATGTAACCCTGAGGGACCCAGGCCTCTGCTCTTTCCTTCCAAGGCATGCTTCATTAATAAGAAATGCTGTTCAGGGGTTAGGCCTTAGGAAGTGACCTGGGACACACGTAAGGAGGAAGATGACAGACCAAACAACTTTCAGAAAGACTCTGAAATGAAGAAAATCCACAGAAAGAAAAGGTGGGGCTTCACCTCAAGAGAGCACAGCTTATCAAGAAAGAGAGCAAGGAACAGGTAGTACCATATGCCTTTTTAACAACTGAAAATATAAACCCCGTGCTGGCTCAGAAAGCATGACAAAGCAATCAGTAAAATCCTAATTAATTCACTGTGACTCATTTTTATTCAATAGACATAAGAGTGGGTGAATAATACATGGGCCCAGTATTGTCCAATAGAACTTTCTATGATGATGGAAATGTTCTATATCGGTGTTGTGCAATACAGTAACCACCAGCTCCTTGGCCTATTGAGCACTTGGAATGTGAATAGTGAAACCAAGGAACTGGATTTTTAATTTTATTTCATTTTGGTTACTTTAAATAGCCACATGCGATTAGTGGCTACCATATTGGAAAGCCCAGGTCTAGGGGGACAGATAACTACAATATAAGCAGAATTCATAGTATAAGCAAGTACAAATAAAGTTCCATGGTGGAAGGGGGAAATAGGGATGATCAGAAAAGTTTCAAAAAACAGGAGGCATTTGAACTAGACCTTGACGAATGGGTTGATCTTATTAGCAGAGATGATAAGGAGAGCATTCCAGACATCAGAAATAGTATGCACAAAGGTGTGAGGTGGGAAAACTTTACGTAAGTGTTGTAGAAACAGGTGTGGAGTGTCTCCAATATGTGGCTGGATGTAACATGGGAAACATTGATTGAAAGCAAGGAATGTGAAGCCTTTGATGCCTTGAAGGGTATTTTGGCTAAAATCAATAAACAGTAAAACCTGCAACAATCCCTCCACTGAAAAAGACTTGGAGGGGAAATGAAAGCCTGTTCTAATGTGGGAGAGACTGGGTTCCCAGGGGGCTAGGAACTCTGTAGTAGAAGCCACTGAAGCCATTGTGTGGAGAAACTGGAGGGAGGAGGGCCTCAAGGCAGGGTATGGAGGAAACCATTCCAACAGTTGACCCAATGAGAGATAGGGAGGGCCTTAACAAGGATAAGGACTGAGAGACTCCCATTTGGTTCCCCTTACCTCCTACACACGATGCATCAGAACTGCCATGCTGTTGTGATCCTAGTGGAACCAAATACCAGAGTCAGAGTAGTGTCATACTGTATGACATGCCATTCAGCAATCAAAAAGTAATTTCAAAATAACTTGCATTCTTTCTTGAATTTCTCAAATACCTTTGGGCTGCCTCAGGTCATCCCCCCAGCATCCTGAGGGCTGTGGCCCTCAAAGAAATTCTTTGTTCTCCCATCTACTCCCTCCATGCACCAGAGCCACTCTCGCACATTTCCCCAAAGCTGCCCAGAAAACCTTCCTGCATCACTAGGCCCTGAGCCCCCTATCCTTCCTCCCTCTCCCTTTCCTCTCACCTTCCCAGCTCTCTCTCCATCCCCCAGTCTCCATTTTCTGTCCCTCCAAATTCTAAGGAACAGTTCCCCTCGTTGTATAGGGGAGAGCAGGAAACAGAGCCCACAAACCAAAAAGAATCTTTAGGTGGCAGGGAAGGGTGAAAGCTGGGAATTTTTATAGAATCACCTGCCTCCCACCCCCCAAAAAGTGGATCTCCTACTTCAGTGTCTCCCCTCTCCTCCTCCTGCTTCTCTTTCATCTCTTTCTACAGTAATATCAAAGTAGAGTCCTTAGACCAGCAGCATTGCATCTGCTGGGAGCTCATCAGAAATGCAAATTCTTGAGCTGCACTTCAACTTACTGAATTACAAGCTCTGGGAAAAGGGCCCAGGAGCCCAGGAGACATGGATTACATTAAACTTCAGAAATCAGTGGTCTAACAGGCCGGGCATGGTGGCTCATGCCTGTAATCTCAGCACTTTTGGAGGCCGAGGCAGGCAGATCACCTGAGGTCAGGAGTTCGAGACCAGCCTGGCCAACATGGTGAAACCCCATCTCTACTAAAAATACAAAAACTAGCCAGGCATTTTACTGGCAGGCACCTGTAATCCCAGCTACTTGGGAGGCCAAGACAGGAGAATAGCTTAAACCCAGGGGGCGGAGGTCGCAGTGAGCCGAGATCGCGCCACTGCACTCCAGCCTGTGCGACAAGAGTGAAACTCCGTCTCAAAAAAAAAAGAAAGAAAGAAAGAAAGGAATCACTGGTATAACAGATTTGAGAGCCATCACTATCTCTTTTGCTTCTGGGGGTGCTGTCATGTGAACTTGGCTGGGTCCATCTGCCCTTCTAATGTATCTTAGAACTAGGCAATGGGGAGTTTCCCAGGCAGAGACATGCCAACATTCACACCTAATCCTCCTCCCCACAAGAGTCCTGGCTACACATCATGGCTCACAAGGAAAATGAGAGAATCTAGAGGAACACTGAGGGAGGCACACTGCTGTAAACACAAGTGATGGCCTCCAGAGGCATCAGGCAGCTCTGGACTATGAGCAGGAAAGCATGCCTGAGGACAAGATTTATGTTTTCCATAAAGGAAGCAAATGTGAAGACCATCTCCTAACACCCCAATGCTGGGTTCTATCTCACCCTCACTGCAGCCTTGAAATGCCAGGAGTGAGAGGCTAAACTGCTGCCATAGTCCCACTGGTAGCCCATTCTGTCACACAGAAAGCATATTAGAGGAGTGCACTTTCTAGTTCAGACTCTAAGCTGCCTCTGAGGTGGAAGAGAATGGGTCTGTATACATGGATATTATAATCTGCTTCTTCCTCCAAATTGTTTTTGTTTTTGTTTTCAGATGGAGTCTGGCTCTGTTGCCCAGGCTGGAGTGCAGTGGTACAATCTTGGCTCACTGCAACATTAGCCTCCTGAGTTCAAGCAATTCTCCTGCCTCAGCCTCCCAAGTAGCTAGGATTACAGGCGTGTGCCACCACTCCTGGCTAATTTTTGTATTTTTAATAGAGACAAGGTTTCGCCATGTTGGCCAGGCTGGTCTCAAACTCCTGACCTCAGGTGATCCGCCCACCTCAGCCTTCCAAAGTGCTGGGATTACAGGTGTGAGCCACCTTGCCCGGTCCTTTCTCCAAATACTAAACTCAGTTAAGGATTTCTTCTAGGATAAAAGTGAAGCCATACCTAATATCACTTTCTGCTTCTATATCCAGCCCCAGGGTCTCAGATGTATAATTCAATTTATAAATTCTCCTCCAGATTAACTGCTAGTCTGGCCTCCCTTTCTCTTAGCAGAAATACTACCAGCCAGCAGGAAGAATTGGAGGGGTAAGCTTTCAAGATAGTATGAAGTCCCATATTGTTATCCCGACTGAATCCTGCCCCCCTTGGTTCTCCTGCCCCCCAGCAGGCTGCCTGCTGCAGGACTTATCGAGTAAGCACACAAGGCAGAGCATACCTCTTGATTACTGTTGCATGTTTACAAACCCAGCCTGGAAACAGTAGTTGTGGTCCTCCTCACCACACATCCATTCCAGGCAGCAGGGTGTCCTGCCCAGAAAAGTCCATCTTTAATCACTGTGGGTCTTGAAAACCCTCACATAGAAGATGGCGTCTCTCTGTCTTCTAGCCAGCCCATCTTTAAATCATTTTTGACACATTATATTTACATTATAAATCAGTTCTAGTATTTTCTACCTTTCTTATGATTTCTTCTGCCATTCACAAGTTACTTTAGAAGTGTGCTTTTTAAATTCCAAAATGTATGAAAGCTGTCAGTCACATTGTTACAGATTTCTAAGTCAATTGTATTCCGATCAGAAAATACAGTCTGCCTGACAGTGAAGTTATTTGAGTTGCTATTTGAGAGTTGCGAGCCACATGAGGTCAATTTTTGTATATACTAGATTAAGTTTATTAATTCTGTTGTTCAAATCTTCTATATCTTTTGTATTTTAGCTATAAGATACTATTAAACTCTCCATTGTAGCTTTATCATGTTCTTATAATTCTGAAAATATGTGATTTATATAATTTGAGCCTATGTTATTAGGTATACATAAGTTTAGAATTATTTATTCTTAATTTTTTATCATTATATAGTGGCCCTGTAATATGTATTACATACATACATACAAGTATGTTTTTCTTAAAATCTATTTTGGCTAGTTATTTGCCTATTATGGTTTTTTAATTACTTTAATTCTTTCACCATCCTTATGTTTTAGGTATGTCTCTTGTAAACAGATAAAGCTGAACTTTGACAATTGACAATGTCTTAAACAAGTTTGGTCCATTTACATGTATGGTGATTACTGATAGAGCTGAATTTATTTTTGTCATCTCATTTTGTACTTCTACTTAGCCTACATTTTCTATACAAAATTTTCTCCTCTCCTGCCTTTTATTGGATTGACTTTTATTTATTCTCTATTTCCCCTCTACTACTTCATAATTATTTTGTTCTTGCTATTTCTTTTTTAAATTTTAAAAAGGATACTTAAAGTCTAAAACTAATCAATCTCTAGCCTCATCCCAAACAATAAAAAGATCTAAAAATTCTCTAATTATGATTGCCTCTAGTATTTTACATGTTAAAGCTGGCCAGTGTTTTAGATCCCTCTCAGTTTTATCCTCAAATGCAGTGAGTATTATTATTGTTCTATACAGCTGTTGCCTGTTTAGATTTAGTCACATGCTTACCTACCATTCCTTCTTATTTTTTATACCTCCCTTTTGGAATTTTCTTCCTTAAGTTCTTCTACTTATAGTTCTCTCATCAAAGATCTATTAATGGTAATTAGTTTAACATTTTTTGTCTGTAAGTATCTATTTTGCCCTCATTGATGTATTATAATTATCTGGGCAAAGAATTCTAAATAAACATTTAGTATCTTTTAGCATTTTTATTATGGTAAAATATACATAATATTTAACATTTTAACCATTTTAAGTGCACAATTCAGTGGCATGAAGTACATTTGCAAAGTTGTATAACTGCTACCATATCTATTTCCAGAATTTTTCATCATTCCAAACAGAAACTCTGTGCTCATTAAAAAGTAACTTCCCACTTCTTTCTTTCTCCCAATCCCTGATAACCTCTATATCACTGTCTGTCTCTATGAATTTGCCTGTTGTATTTCATTTCATGTAAGTGGAATAATATAATATTTCTCCTTTTGTGTCTGGTTTATTTAACTTAGAATAATTTTTCAAGGTTCATTCATGTTATAGCATGTATTAGAATTTCATTTCTTTTTATTGCTGAATATTTCAATTTAAATATAGCGAGAGAGGCATATGCATACAAATATAAATATATATAACATTTTATTTATCCATTTATATGTTGATGGACACTTGGATTGTTTCCCAGCATTGTTAAACTCTTATCCCGCATTGTTTTCTGGCTTCTATTGTAATGGTTGAGAAGTCTGTTGTCACTCTAATTATTCTTCTTATGTAGATAAAGTCTATTGTCTGTGGTTGCTTTCATGGTACTTTCCTTTCTTTGATGTTCTGCAATTTCATGTGCCTAAGTGTGAATTTTCCATTTTGTTTATTTTTCTCAAGACTCAAGTTTCCAGAATCAGAAGAGTCTGGTCTTTCATCAACACTAGAAAAAATTTCACCATTACCTCTTCAAATATTATTTTTCTATAATTCCTTTTATTTTAGTCTCTCTCTCTCTCTCTCTCTCTCTCTCTCTCTCTCTCTGTTTCTGGAGATGTGTGTGTCTTAGGTTCTCTTTCATGTTTTCTATGTCTTAATTTCTCTGTACTGCAATTCAGTTCATCAATATTCTCTTCAGTCCTAATTTGCTGTTTAACCCATTCATTAAGTTTTTAATTTCAATAACTGTAGTGTTATCATTTCCAGAAAGTGTGTTTAGTTCTGTATTTGTGTTCTGTGTTTTTAATAGTGTTTTATAAATTTCTTATGTTTTATGACCTTTTTTACATCTTTAATCATAATTGTCTAGGAATTCGTTCAACAAACACTTATTGGGAACCTGGAATATACCAGTTACTATGGGCATTGAAAAGTGTATAAGATATTATTTCAAGGAGGTATGAGTTTAGTGAGGGAAAAAACACAGTACATAAATTATAACAAAATGTGTAAGGACTAGATAGGTATTTGGCTAGGGTACTACGGGAAAATAGAGAATCTCACTAAACACAGAAAGATCAGAAAAACCTTCCAAAAGTATATGAGTCCTGGACTAATTCCCAAAGCTTAGGAAAGATTAGTTAGGTGAGCAAATGATGTGAGTAGAAACAGCATGAGCAAAGATAAGAAGGTGAATATATGCATCAAGAGTGCCAAGAACCACTCTGGATCATGTGTCTGGATCTTAAAGTTCTGCGGTTGGATGGGGGGATGGGGCTTGAGGGGTGGGCAGAGGTAAGAAATGGAAAATAGAAGTATGATCATGGGCCAGGTCATGGAAACCCTGGTAAACCCTGGTGAGGAGCTCAGATAGTATCAGATACACAATAGAGAACAAGAGTAAGCAAAAAGTTGCAGAGGAGCATGTGGCCCACTATAACTGAAAAATCCACCAATGGCAAAGAAATGCCAGTATTAGATGAAGTTGCTGTTGAGTTAGATCATACAGAATGGTCCTGTCTGCTCCAGTAAGTAACATAAATGTGTCAATAGATTAGGGAGCACATACCCTGATTAAAGACAAATTAATTATCAAAGATAGATAGATAAATAGATGATAGACAGATACCATCAAGTGGACACCATGCTGGCCAAACAAACCACTCACTGGCTCTGGCCTAGACCATTCCCAATTAGTGTGTGTTCAGCAGCGACTGAACTCCAACTGCTGAATTTTCCAGAACTTAACTTCTGTAGTGTCTGTGGTAGTTCTCTGGATACCCAAATTCAGCCTTGTGTCTAGTGCCATCCTAAAGTGAATATCAAGGGAAAGTTGAGGGAAGAGAATGCCATGTGACCTCAGAAACCCAGCTGAAGTTGGGGTATAGGGTGAAGAACCCTGCAAGGTTGGCTGTCAGTGGTTCCTGAAGAGTCCGCGCACTCTCCCAAAAGCTTTGGCCAAGAACAGGACACCCTGAGGTATGGCCTTGTGTGTGCCCTTCAGGGGCCTAGGAATTCTTGGAAGATCTTAGGCACTGGAAATGGCACCATGTCCACTGCTTACTAGACAAAACTGCAGACGCAGTCTCCCATGTCTGGAGCTTGAAGGAAATCTTAACAAAAGTAGCCAACACTTACTGGTGCTTTCCATGGGCCAGACTCTGTTCTATAAACTTTACATGCATTATCTCATTATTTTTTCACAATATTCCAATGGGTTAGGTACTTTTATTATTCCCACTTAACACACAAGAGAACTAGATCACACAAAGGTTAAGTAACTTACCCAAGATCACACAAGGAAGTGACTGAACCAAGATTCTAGCCTAAGCAGTCTGGCTCCACAGCCTGTGCTTGTAACCTCTATGCTATACTGACTCCCGAGAGTTTAAAATTGTTACCATGGACACTGCTACAAAGGAAAAGTGGTAACATCTGTCACAGTATTCATTGGTCTTCATCTGTACCATACCAGAAGGTACATCTCCCTGTCTACAGAAAAGTTACACCTAAACCCTCTATATTCTGTTGTATGAAACCAAGAGAAGCCAGGCTTATCCTGGCCATGGATTCTCTGGAGAACACCCCCAGGGATGTTCATCAGTGGGGATGTCTCCAGACATGGGAGACTGTGTCTGCAGTTTTGTCTAGTAAGCAATGGACATGGTGCCATTTCCAGTGCCTAAGATCTTCCAAGAATTCCTAGACCCCCGAAGGGCACTCACAAAGCCATACCTTAGGGTGTCCTGTTCTTGGCCAAAGCTTTTGGGAGAGTGGGTGGACTCTTCAGGAACCATTGACAGCCAACCCTGCAGGGTTCTTCACCCTATACCCCAACTTCAGCTGGGTTTCTGAGGTCACATGGCATTCTCTTCCCTCACCTTTCCCTCATCAGTTCATCAGTGGGGCTGAACATCCTGGGGAGGTTCTCCAGAGAATCTATGGCCAGGATCACCTTTTCTCCCGCTGCCACTAAGTATGTTCTCAAAGCTATGGCAATGTCATCATTGATTGGCCTGTGAATATGGAGAGCTATGATGGGCAAAGTACTGTTGAATTCTTATGTTTGACTGATTTTAAAACTACAGCACTTCTGATTGAAATCTTGGTTTACTAAGCTTGATGGAGTGACAAAACACCATATCGTATATGAAATTAGAGCTTTCTATTTGTCCTCCCTTCATCATCAAGGTGTCCACTTCAAATCACTTCTCTCCACTCTCTTCATTTCTATGACTTCCTCCTTTTTCCCAGCCTCCCTCTTTTCCTTCCATTATTCTCCTCTTCCATTTTTCCCCCCTTGTCTTAGTCAATCGTATTGCTATAAAGGAATACCTGAGCTGGATAATTTATAAAGAAAAGAGTTTCATCTGGCTCACAGTTCTGCAGGTTGTACAAGAAGCATGGTACCAGCTCTTGCATCTGGTGAGGGCCTCAGGCTGCTTCCACTCATGGCAGAAGGTGAAGGGGAACTGGCCTGTGCAGATCACATGGCAAGAGAGGAAGCAAGAGAGAGAGAGGGAAGGTGCCAGTTTCTTTTTAACAACCAGCTATCTTAGGGAAAATATACAACAAGAACTCATTCACTTTCCACCAGGGAGGGCATTAATCTACTCATGAGGGCTCCCCACCATGACCCAAACATTAGCCGCACCTCCCACATTGGGGATCAAATGTCAGCATGAGGTTTGGAGGAATCAAATATCCAAACCATAGCACCCACTTTCATATTTTTCCCATGGGGGAGAAAGCCCGCAACATTAGCTGACATGTAGTGAAAAGAGAATCAAACTTGGAGTAGAACTCCTTAGATTGAAATGTCAACTCTCTAGGCTTCATTTCTTTGTTTATAAGATGACTATAAGAATGTTTTTTCTCAGAATTCATAAATACTTACTTAATAGCTACAGTGCATTGAGCACTGCACTAGGCATCGGGGATACATCAGCGACCGGTAATACAGATGGTCCCAAACTTATGATGGTTCCATTTAAGATTTTTTGACTTTAGAATGGTTTATTAGGATAGTCCCATCATAAGTAGAGGAGCGTCTGTAATTATATGCCAACAACTGTGAGAGGTGCTAAGGAAGATCATACACAGTGCGATAACAGCATATAGCACGAGGGTCTGTCCTTCCAAGAGAGGGCTTAGAACTACCACAGTAAAATAAACTGAAGTGTATGACAGAACTTTGTAAACTGTAATATAATATAGAAATGTAAAGTATCGTAATTTATATTCTGATCTATTTCTCCTCTCTCTCTTTTCCTCATTTCTTTACCTTTCCTTCTTTCATTTTTTGGAACCCCAGGGTCAACTCTAGATTCTCAAACAAGGATTCATAATTACAAGATAATTATATAATCAGAAAAACTCCCAGTAAATATTCAGGGGGAATGGGATGGAATGTAGGGTATGGAAATAGAGATGAACCTTCAAGGATTCTTTAAATAAAGTTAACCTTTATTCTTTAAATAAAGTTAGCATCTATTGAGTATCCATGTCTGCCAAATGCAGTGTTAGGCACTGAAGGTACAATGAAGCTTGCATCTGGAAACAGCTGAGCACACGGTACAGTGTGTAAGTGCTTTGACTGGCGGAGAAGGAAGAGGGCGTGCAGAGCACAGAGGAGGCTTCAAAACCAGCCTGCAGTGTCAGAAGCAGCTTTACAGAGGGCACAAGGTCCAAGCTGACTCCAGAGAATAAGTAGGTAGGAGTTACCCAGTTGGTCAAACTGAGGGAAATCCATATCACCTCAAAGCAGCAACATAAAAATAGCCATGGAGCAGTAAGGACTTTAGAGGAATACAAGGAGAGCATTTCAAATAGTCTAAGGACGAGAGCTTCCTCTCTCTCCTAGAAAAGCCACAGAGGAAGAACACAAGATGGCAGTGGTGTTATGGGATTGCATGAAGCAGGGAGGCCTTGATGCATCAGACAAAAACTACAACTCACAATAGAAGTTTGCAAGAAATGGGTACTCCCTTGTCCACGGGGGGCTTGTGAAATAGAGGACAAAGCAGCAATATGTATCAAAAGCCTAAAAAATGTTCCTGGTCCTTGGCCTAGTAATTCAGTCTCTAGAAATGTAGCCTAGGTAAAGATTTTCATACAAGGATGTCTAAAATGGCATTATTTTCCAATGGTAAGGGGCTGGAAACAAGTCAAAGTCTAACACTGAAGTCATAGCTAAATGAACTATGGTACAGTAAAATAGCAGATGGCCAATTGCAATCATGCTCTTGAATAGCATTTAATGATGAAGAAAATACTTGTAATATTAAGTACAAAAAATAGGATCTGAAACTACATAGACAGTATAGTTCATATTTTATTTAAAACTTATCTATAGATGTATGTACATGTGTATGTGTATGTAAAGAAAAAAGACTGGAAGGAAAAATAAAATGTTGGCAGTGGTGGAATTACATGCAGTTTTTATGTTATTCTTTAAGCTTTTTCTAATTTCCAAATTTATAATATTCTAGCCTGAATTTATAATAAACATTATAGAAGAAAATATTAACAGTCTGTCTCTAAGAAATTAGATGAAAGTTGATTTGTTAAATTCTTTATGCTTTCCAAAATATTTTCCCAAATTTCATGCTATTGCTCTTTCTTCTTTTTTTCTTTTTTTTTTTTTTTAGAGACAGGGTCTCACTCTATTGCCCAGGCTGGAGTACAGTGGGGCGATCTCAGCTCACTGCAGCCTCCACCTCCTGGGCTCAAGCAACCCTCCCACCTCAGCCTCTGGAGTAGCTGGGACCACAGGCAAGTACCACCACGCCTGGCTAATTTTTTGTATTTTTGTTAGAGTAGGGTTTCACTGTGTTACCCAGGCTGGCTATTGCTTTTTAAAAGAAACCAATGAAGAAACTTTTTTACTAGGAACCCAGAATGCTTAGAGAACAAGCTGCTATTTTAGGGATTAGTGATTAAGACACCTGCTGGGGACAGATGTCAGCTTAGCAGAGAATGATATGGGGGCTCCCTCCATGTCCCCAGAACAAGAGAACCTCCTATTGCCTTTCTACCTTTTCTGCTCCATGCATATACATTTGAGAATGAGAACTAGCCAAGGCTTTTGACCTTGATCTTTAACCTGAAGTTTTAACTCTGTTATGCCATTTCTCTGTAACCTAACATTAAGAGGTTTTACAAGTGGGTGGGCAAAGCCAGCCCATTAAGCTTGGAAGACACTTCCTAGAGAGCTGGGAGAGGATACTTCACATGAAGGAGAACTTTCCAAAATAAGTACTCAAATCCTTTTGTAAAAGTATCTCCTCACCATTCATTTTTTTACACCAAATTAATTAACAATTTTTCAGCAAGCACAACCCTGACAGGTAGGTATTTGGAGCCTAGGTCACTTCCCCTGTCTTTCCTTCTCCTTGGTGTATTTGTTGTGCTGTATGGAGCTTGAAAGGCATTCCCTTGTTAGAAGAGACAGAAGTGGCCAGGAGTGGTGGCTCATGTCTGTAATCCCAGCACTTTGGGAGGCTGAGGCAGGTGGATCACTTGAGGTCAGGAGTTTGAGACCAGCCTGGCCAACATGGTGAAACCCCGTCTCTACAAGAATATAATAATTAGCTGGGTGTGGTGGCACATGCCTGTACTCGGGAGCTACCGTACTCGGGCGCCTGTACTCAGGCCAGCTACTCCCTCGGGGGACTGAGTGAGGAGAATCACTTGAACCCAAGAGGTGGAGGTTGCAGAAACTCGAGATGGTGCCACTGCACTCTCTAGGCGAGAGAAAAAAGAAGAGACAGAAGTAACACCAGGAGAGTGTAATTCTCTGTTGGTCTTTATCATTTGCAAATATTGCACTAAATTTCCCTAACAGCAAGCCTACAACTTCCATGTTCTTCTTGCTCCATCAGGGCTTTTTAAAATCCCTTTTGCTTGTCTTTAGCCTTTCTGTTTCCTCCACAAGCTTTGGCTTGTTCTGATTGTTAGCCTTCCTGACACTCTTCTCATGGTATGACAGGCCTGGGCCAGCCATCGATTTCCATTGCACCCCATTCCTACAGGATTCTGTTTACCTCACTGTGTAAAAATATAAATACATTTTGTTCCCCAGATTTTGCACCTTTGTACATAGATCTCAAAGCTTTTTGCACACTGTGACCCATTTACTGGATGCTTACACCTGAAAATATCTTTGTTTTCATATTTATTTTATGCTATAGTGGTTATCCTCCCTGATACTTGGGTTCCTGGTTTTACTAGACCAATTTCTCCCTGCCCCTTCACATTTGGGGTGGAAGCTCTCAATTAGGTAGGTGTTTCCTGTCAAACAGGTCTTCCCAGATTTAGTGCAAAGCACTCAGTAATCTCTGCCAGAAGTGCTGGTATCAAAAGCCACAATCTAGAAAAACCAAAGCCTGCTGACACCAGGTGTAGCCAATACTTCAATTTTCGTTCCTCATTATTCTTCACAAGCGGCAACCTTTAAAATGGAGCATGACATATTTATGACCTCTGTCCACCTCTACCCTTAGCTTTCTGTGTTTTTTATAAGAGCCTCCAAAGACAAGAGATACGGCAGCGTTCTTCTGCCTCCAGGACTCACTGCTTCGTATGTAAATCTATAGGTGTGAGTGTTGATCAATACCACTGATATCTCCTGGTAGGTGTTGGCCACATTCTGCTTGCCTGCAGAATGCCTGCTTGCCTCCCGCAAGACAACTCACCCCACTCCCCGCTTCAGGCCACTTGGCTCCCCAGAAGGGAATTGGTCACCAACTTCCATGACTCACCTCTCCCTCACTGGGTGGGAACAGCCTTGCTCATTCCTGCCAGTGCCCGCCACTGAGCATGCTCCCTGACTGTTGAGTGTGGAGCGCTGCTGGGCAGGCGCACAAAGACACTGTCCTCGGCCCAGGCAGAGATGCTTCTCCTCCACCAGCTGCTCTTAATCACTGTTTTACTCGCAAGCTTCTTGAAATTGCCTTAAGCCCCCCTCCCCTCTTAGAAAGGCTTTCTTTCTGCCTTCCTGCCTGGCATGCATCTCCCCGCTGGCTAGGCACCCCTTCTCCTCTGCAGTGTTGGGGGAGCCCCCATCAAGGCTTGCACCCTCTCTACAAGCAGGGGGAACCAATTGCACTCAAAGCACCCAGTGTTCGCTTAGGCAAGAAGCTGAACATGGTGCAGTTTGCAACAATTCTCTAGGCATTTGGTTCTCCTGGCCCTAGAGTCCTTTGTGGCTCTCCCTGCAAAGAAGCACTTGTTCACCAGTTGGTTCTCTAGAAAGCCTGTTCACAGTTCTTCTAAGAGTATAGCTCTTAAATCAGCTGAATCAGCATAAATCAGCAACCTCTTACTGTTAATAATAATTCATAAACTCTACTGAGCTCTCAGCTTTAACTGTTTAAGAAGCAACAAACATAAAACACACAGGAACACCTTACACTTACAATGGTCATGATTTTCCCCTCACCACTTCCCACCCATGCCCCTTTGCTGGGTCTTTAGAACAGAGACTCAGTTGGGCTTTTTCAAGTGCTTCCACCCTCACCTAACCCATGCCTTACTTTTCCTTCCAAGGCCTCAAGTCTGACCTCTATAGCCATGGAATTGTAGATACAAAATGAACCTTGGAGACAATCTCATCACTCCCATTTTTTATCTATAGCAGGTACAAATTTTCACAGGCTCAGAGGTGAAAAATGTAACTTTATTATAATTGAACTTAGTTTTGTTTTTTGAGATGGAGTCTCGCTCTGTCGCCCAGGTTGGAGTGCAGTGGCGTGATGTTGGCTCACTGCAACTTCCACCTCTCCGGTTCAGGCAATTCTCCTGCCTCAGCCTCCCGAGTAGCTAGGATTACAGGTGTGTACCACCATACCCGGCTAATTTTTGTATTTTTTTAGTAGAGGCGGGGTTTCGTCATGTTGGCCAGGCTGGTCTCAAACTCCTGACCTCACGATCCACCCACCTCAGCCTCCCAAAGTGCTGGATTATAGGCGTGAGCCACCGCGCCCAGCCAGAACTTAGTTCTTAAGTTCTCATTTCTGTTCAATCTTGCCAATGCAGAGTAATTCAGTCCCTTTCAGGTTTTTTCTCTCAGGTCCTTTTGGGTTAATACTCAACCAGGTCAGGATTCTCCCCCTGTTCTCCTCCTTTTACCCAGAATCTAAGTTCAGGTGGGGGATGTGTGAAGTGCAGCTTATGTTTCATTCTGGTATTTGACAAAATGGGTGTCATTTGGGCCTACAGCCATTCTCTCACTGTAAGTTTCTGGCAGGACAGCCAGCTTCTCGCTTGGTCCCCAGCACCCGGCACCTGTGTTCACAGCTGCTGTCAGCAGGCCTTCAAGGCCTCTACTCACCAAGTTGAATGGGTTGTGTTCTCCTCACCTAGGTATGCCAGATTTAGTAAATAAAAATGTAGAATGGTCAGGCACGGTGGCTCACGCCTGTAATCCCAGCAGTTTGGGAGGCCAAGGTGGGCAGATCACACGGGGCCAGGAGTTTGAGACCAGCCTGGACAACATGACAAACCTTGTCTCTACTGAAAATACAAAAATTGGCTGGGCACGGTGGCTCACACCTGTAATCCCAGCACTTTGGGAGGCTGAGGTGGGTGGATCACGAGGTCAGGAGATCGAGACCATCCTGGCTAACATGGTGAAACCCCGTCTCTACTGAAAATACAAAAAATTAGCCAGGCGTGGTGGCTGGTGCCTGTAGTCCCAGCTACTTGGGAGCTTGAGGCAGGAGAATGGCGTGAATCCAGGAGGTGGAGCTTGCAGTGAGCCGAGATCACGCCCCTGCACTCCAGCCCGGGTGATAGAGCGAGACTCCGTCTCAAAAAATAAAAAATAAAAATAAAAATAAAAATACAAAAATTAGCCAAGCGTGGTGGCGGATGCCTGTAATCCCAGCTACTCAGGAGGCTGAAGCAGGAGAATCACTTGAACCCGGGAAGCAGAGGTTGCAGTGAGCCGAGATCGCACCACTGCACTCCAGCCTGGGTAACAGAGCAAGACTCTGTCTCAAAAAAAAAAAAAAAAAAAAAAAAAAAAAGTAGGATGCCCAGTTTAATTTACATTTTAGGTAAACAATGAATAATGGGTTTTTTGGGTCTACCTGCTAGCCACCTTTCAGTACTTTCTCACAGAAGTAGAGGAATCCAGACATCCCTGTCTCCCCCAGGGAGGCAGGCCCTGACACAGATCACCCTTCTTGTCCTGTAGGTGAAAGACAAAGCCAGAAAGAAAGCCACCCCATGTATGTGACATCCAAATACACTGTGCCCTCTTCCTCCAGGAAGCAGGGGCCGAGCCTACACCCCGGAATCCAGTCCTATGAAAAGTCCCTCTTCACGTTTAACAGGTATAGTGTTTCAGTTTGGAATAATGAAAAAGTTCTGGAGATGGATAGTGGTGATGGTTGCAAAACAATGTAAATGTACTTAAAGCCATTAAATTATACACTTAGAGCAGTAAATTTTATGTTGTGTACATTTTACCACAGTTTTTGTTTTAAAGATCTGTCTTCATGGAGGGAAAGGAAGTAGGGAGAAGACAAGGACTGCCTTCTTCAATTATGGATTAAAAAGGCAGGATGTTTAAAGCTTGCACTTTGGGAGTCTGTAGTCATTCTTAGGATACATTCATTTCCTCTGCCCTCCGCAGTGCTTTGGCTTCCTCAGTGCTTGGCTGGAGGCAAGAGGGCTGCAGCTGGTCTGGCCTCACAACTGTGTGCAACAACAGCTGTAAAAGGAGAAAGTCCCGCTGCTGCTAGGAGGACTCCTAGAAATTGATGTCCCTCCCCAGAAGTCCCAGTAAACCTCTTCTCACACCTCATTGGCTCAAACTGGCTCAAATGCCCATTTATTACTCAATCCTTGACAAAGGGAATGAGCATCCCATAGGACCAATCAGGCCCAGCTCTGCAAATGAGGGAGGGTCGTCTTCCCTTGAAGCAGTCAGCTGTCAGGGAAAGGTGGAGGAGTGTTGGATGCCTGAATAAAAGTGGGTCTGTTGGGAAGCAGGGAATGGGGAGATGGATGCACTAGGTAGAAAAGCCAGCATCCAGTGCATAGGGGCTGGGTAGAGCAAAATTGCACTTGCATTTTATGGTGCTTATTTGGGTGTTTCCAAGGCCCTCAGAAGGAGAGAAGAGAAAAGGGATGGAGGGAAACTGAGAGAGCCAATTACTCCATAATGTGACACCTCCTGTGACCACAGAAAAATCAAAGCCTTGAATAAATTCTACTCCACCAATTGGTGTAAGCTCTGCACAGCTGAATCCTCAGATGCTCTAGGCCTTATTCACTATACCCCACCCCTACCCCAGCCACCATGGAGCCTGTTTTTCTCAAGGATCCCTGATGGTCCCTGAGGATACTTCCTGCAGGTGGGATGCTTTCTATGTCCTCAAATAAGAACACCTGTTAGGCCAGTGTGATTAGTAAAGGAAGTCCTTTTTAACTCTAATGACATAAACATGCAATTGGATTGATGGGATATTTTTTTAAAAATTTAGAGTGAGGCATGAGGCAAAATTACATGGATTTGGGAGAGACTTAAAGTGAATGTAGGAGACCAAGATGTTATGAGGCACTTAGAAGCAGTAAAATAAACGGCATAATGAAAGTAGAATTTGGTATATAGTATTCTTTCAGGTCTGGGAGCCCACAAGGAAAGAAGCTTTTATAAGAAGTTTTGAAAAGCCAGATAAAATTGTACAAGTGTATCTAATCCAACAGAGATTCTTTCTAAAATAAGAAGTGAAAAATGAGGCTTCCCTAGGGGAAGGATTGAACCTTTCTAATAATATTTGCGTTTTAGTTCACAGGTGCAGAAATTGAAGAGGATCTGGAAAAGGTAGTTAAAATCGCCATGCTGTGCAACAAACAAAACAGATGTGAGGTGACATTTGTCTGAGGAACTTTGTGCCCTACTTCCTCCAGCAAATATGCCACACATCATTTAAATAAACTTTTTTAATGTTTAAAATTCTTTAAGTTTTAGATAGCGTGTCTATGACATGGTGATGTGCACTTATCTGTGTTTGGCAAAGTATGTTAGTCATTTATTCAACAAACATTTCCTAAGCATCTACTTTGTATAACTGCCTTTATATGTGTGTAAGTTTCATGTATAAATATGGTATTATAAATATTTAAAAACCATCTGAATCAAGAACATGTTTTTTCCACCTACACATACCCTTTAAAGTATGTTCACACCAATGCATTGTGATTAGTTTTACCTGCTTGTTTCTTGAATTGTTCACCGAAAAATGGGACATCAAATTGTTTCTAAATTAATTTCAAGGTTTGCAGCAAAATTATAGCTTTTACAGACATCAAAGCAATAGCTCAGAGCAATTGTAAAATAATAAGCAAATAAACTAAACTAGGAAATTAATATGGCTATTTTAATTGAGTGTTCTTGTTCATTATTAAAGAGGATAAATAACATAAATTCTCATGTCAGTCATTTTAACTTATAAAAAAGACTGTGATAATCTTTAGTTTTATTGATCACTTTGATAAACCGGTGTTTCATTATATTACTTGTATTAAAATTTTCTCTACAAAAATTGTAAACCTATTTCCATGTGCTATCTGATCTGTATTTATAAATAGAAATTTGCTAAATTTATGGTACTTTGTAATCTTTCATAAATTGAATTGTTCAAGTTTAATCAACTTAAATTATTTATGGCTATAATTGTATTGAGCAAAAAGTGACTGAAGTTAAGATTTTGAAAAGCTGACCATAAATTAAGCAACATTAGTTTTAAATGGAACTCTTCCATCATGGATTTCATTGTTCAGCCATATAAATAGTACTGATAGAAATTATCCATGGTGAGTATAATCATTTTTATTTAATTATGTTTTACCTTTGTCAATTCACAATGGCCATTCCGCTTTAAATATAATGCATCTGTCTAAAAAAAAATTCTCTGGACAGCTGTGGGTTCAATCATGCAATCTTTATGCTATGTCAACCAGGAGTATTTAATTCATGGAGTTTGGGTGGATACTTGCAACCAAAATAAAATTCTGCTTATTGGGTGCTTGTTGCCAACAAACAAATTTTGCTGCCACACCAACATCTTTAAATGTAGCTCTGGGACTGTGCCATTGGTTTCTGGGAGTGCAATCTGGCAGCAATCAGAACACCTGGAGGAAGAGCACCAGCCAGGGTACCTTAAGAGAATTGAACATTGCAATATGATGGTGGCTGTGGTTGGATTACTTAAGGATTCTGTTTCATTCTCATTTTGACATGTGGTTAGTAAGTGATGAAAGGGGATCAAGGAAGATCTGTTGGATAGAAGAGGTCTGTGCGCTTTCTACTATACACTCCCTTGGTGATGTGTGTGCATGAATTCAGTCCAGGCCATAGGCAACATTAATTGGAGGTCCATCCTTCCTGCCTGTTCATTCCCAATGATCCTAGACCCAGTAGTGGTCTATGTATTGTAGATAACTTTCACTTCCATCTTTCCCCCTTAATTTACACCTTCCCACCTCCCATGACATCTCTTAAATTACCCTCTTCTGTCCCACTCCTCTGATTATTTCTAATTCAGTTGGAAAGTTAAACTTTCTCAGAATTTGGTTGGCAGTGAGGTGTAATGGACAGAGTACAGACTTTGGCTTACTATCAAAAACACCTGGATTTTGACCCCAGGTTATCTAATCTTGGGCAAATTATCTCACTTCTTAATTTCCTCACTGACAAAATGGGGATAATAATAATATGTGGGGATAATAATATACCACCAGACTGTATAAAGGAGACTCCATGCTTCAGTCACACTGGCTCTCACTCCCGCCCCCTGACATCTTGCTCCTCTGTCACCTTGCTGAAACAGGGAGACTTTTCCCAGTTTGTTGCTTGTCTCTTAAGGTTGCATATGGTGACTTTTTGACACTTGGATTTTTTTACAGTAAAAAATGAAACCAGAAAAAAATAATAAGATAAATATGTAATGGATTTCAGAATGTGGAAGTCTTTTTAAAGCATAAAAGCATTGGAAATTACTTTTATATAATCCCTGCCCTAATGAAGCTTATATTCTAGCTATTCTCACTTGTCTATTTTTCCAAATAAACTTTAGAATAATTTTGCTGTCGTCACCCTTTAAAATCCTATTAGTACCTTTGACTAGGATCATATTAAATTTAAGTGGCAAAGTGATGCATGCTGGCATTAAGGCCTTTATCAGAAAAGTAAAAGCTTTTCTAGAAACCCCTAGCAAATTTCTGCTTATCTAGCATTGCCCAAAACAGTCACACACATGACTCCCCTTCCCTGAAAAGGAGGCTGCAGGATGATGTTTAACTTCTAAATGGCAGAATGGAGGTGGGAGAAGGGAGATAAAGATGGCTGCTGAGTGAGCCCACCTGCAGAGTTTATATGAAAGACGGCACCAGAGGCAGGAGCAATTTCCATGAGCACCTTTGCAAGATGGGTCACAAGGAGCATTGCTGTTTGCCGAGAAGGTCACTCTTTGTCCCTCTTTACTGCAGGCAGCTAAGCAACTTTGACATGCTAAGGACTTGGAAAAACTACCAGGGGTAGTGTCTGTGCCTTGCAGATCAAAAAAGTCTGGAGCAGCCATCAGAGCAGTGGTCTTATGGAGGCCTCTCTCAAATGCCCATAGGTGTTGCATCTTTTGGCAAATGCTATAGGTTGCCTATCCAACCAGCCATGTCCCATTCTTCATAGCTAACAGAATCACAGTTTTGTTCTGGTAGCAACAGTCACAGCAGCCACGGATGAATCATGTTTGATCATTCGTGGCAGTTGCAACTCCCTTTGGCCAGTGATTGGTCTAGAGATGGGCAACATGGCCCAGCTTTGGCCAATGAGATGGAAGGGGAAGTCTGCTGGGGGTGGGAGGGGTTCTAGAAAAATATTGTTTTGCCTAATACAAAGACACATCCTTGTGAGAAAACCTGTTTCTCCCTGCCCACTTTTCCTGCTTTGAGCATGGTAATATGTAGACATTATGCTTGGAGCTGTAGTTCTTCCAACTTGCATCTACAAGGCTAAGGACAAAAAGCAATTTTTCCAGGTTAGCAGAATGGAAACATAGAAAGAGCCTAGGTCCTTGATGATTTTGTTGATTGAGCCAATGTATCACACCTGGAACTGCCTACCTCTGGACTAAATATAAGAGACAATTAAATGTCTTTATTATTTAAATCACTTTTGGTGGAGTTGTTTATTACTTGCAACTAAAAGCATTTCTAACTGATATAGCCCTTAAAAAGGAGAGCAGAGGAGAGCCACGTGAGTCGGCTGATTCTTGAGTAAAGACCTGGGAGGGAGAAGATGTCAATAGAAGCTAATGAACAAGAAAAATCTAGGTATTCATATGAACATGACCCTTCCATACCCAAAGGCAGTAAGGCCTAGAGACAATCAAGTTATATCTATAGAGTAATTTGAGAAGAAATGACGTGTTTATACAATACATGCTTCCCTTTTAGGAAGACAGTGTAATTTCTGCATTATTTAAATCTCTTCTATCCCCTCATTCTCTGACATTTTTTGTCATATGTGCCTAACCTATTTCTTGTTAGGTTTATTCCTAGAGATTTTATGTTTGGGGCTGTTGCCTCTCTCAAGATGTCAGGGTTCCCTGGGGATCTGTCTTCTGCCCTTTTTGCACCCTATAATTGCCCTAAATGACAGCACCTCTTCCTCCCACCCCACCCGAAACCCTACTTCAAACTGCTACTTCTCCATTCTGGGCAAATACACTTAACGTCCTACGAACGTAGTCTTTTCTTGGACTGTTTTTTTGGAGGTCACCCAACCCTGATTGACAGAAAAAGGTAACATTTGGAATCCAGTGAGCTTGAGGTTAAAATATGTCATGTCAGCAATTGCTAAACAACAGTACATCAGATTAGGTCAAGAATTTGTGAAATGTTTGTGCCAAGTGAAATGTCAAAGCACAAAGTGTGTGAAGGGAAAAAAATCCCTGTGCCACTCAAAATGTCATTCTGTCCTGCAGCAAGTAATTTATTCCTTTCTGTCATTGCTGTTCTTGTTTTACATGTATTAATGCTGCCTCTAAATAATTGAAATTAATAGTGGCATTATCAATGGTTTGGAGTAAAAAACTAAAGAGCTAATTTAGAATCACTCAGTCAATTTGGGCTCATTTTGAAGATGGAAATTATTGACCCAAACTTAAAAATAAACCCTTACCTGATTGTCCAAAGCATTTATACTGCAGCCATTATTTATTCTGTTAATTTTTGTAATGTATATAAAGAAGGCACAGAAGAAGATAGTAGAGAATGAACTTTTTTTCTTTAATGCTGTATCTGAGGAATTACAAACAAGATAGAAATGCTATAAATAGGATTAGTAGATCCAGGTAGGCTTCAACAAATGGAATGCCAGTGGCTTGTTGAGTCAATTATGAAGCAAAACCTCATAATGTTTGTCCCCATTTTCCCACTGGTTTTAATTTCTAAATTGGCAGAGCTTTCCAGAACATGGCTCTTCTCCATGCCATTTGCTTTCTCTGAGAGCAGCTTTCTGCTGCACAGTCATGGCCAAACAGTAGGGAACTGGTCCTGCTCTTCATGCTAGAGCTGCCTGGTTAATAAACCAAAATGCTTCTCTGTAGGCATCAGGGCCAGGACTACGGTGAGGCGAGCAAATGCCTGGAGCAAAACATTTAAGGAGGCACTCACTCTCAGGTGCTTCCTTAAATGCTGCACCCTGTGCAGCTCACGTGGCTCACCATAGTCCTGGCCCTGGCAGGCATTACTGCTGTCCTTGGAATTGAAGAAAGGAACTTGGAAGTAAAGAAAGACTCTATAAATCTTCTGACAATAAAAGCTGTGTTCCTACCCAATTATTAGAAATTTTACATTCCAAATTCAAAGAGTAATAGAACCACATATTGCTAAAAATCGAAGAAACTTCCCCAAAAGGAGCCCAATTAATGACTCAGAATGGGCTCAACAGCTTGAAAGAACTATGTGGGACCACCAGGTTCTAGAGTTTAGGATCCAATTTTCAGGTTTGGATCTCAACTTTATCAGAGACTTGGTCAAACTGAGCAAAACTGGACAAGGAAATTAAAAATCACTCATAAACCCAATTTACTAAATTAGAATTGTAGATATTTTCCAGTGGCAATACCCTCTTGTTTAATCTTGAGCCACCCCTCCTCAGAGTTAGGGCACCTGGAACAAAGTATTGTCATCAAATGTCTGCAGGTGAACAACAAAAGAACAGTGGGGGGTGTATGGCAGGGTATTCCATCCAGGCCCGAAAAGTCCTGCCTCACCCCAGAATACTCACCTCTGTGTATCCATTCATCCAACAAGTATGAATTGTGCAGGTACCATGTATTCAGCAAACTCCGTCAGGTCGACCTTCAAAAGAAATCTCAGTCCAGTACTTCACGCCACCTGCACAGTAATCATCTAATTCAGGCACCATCTTCTCATGCCTAGAGAAATGGAACAGGCCCCTAACTGGTCTCCCTGTTTCCACCTACTGTTCATTCTTCAGCCAGCAGTCAGTCTGATCCTTCTAAAATGTAAGTCAGATTACGATGCACCTCTGCTCAAAACCCTCTACTGGCTCTCTTCCTGTCGGAAAAAAATTTCCAAATTCCGTTTTTTGGCTGCAAGGCCTATGAATCTCACCCCAGCTCCCTCCGTGATTTCATTTCCCACCACTTATGCACCTCACTCATTGCACTCTGGCTACAGAGGTTCATCCTGCTCCTGGGACATGCCCCAAGCATGCTTCTGCCTCAAAATCTCTGCACATATTCCTTCTGCTTGAATAATTTATTCCCAGATCTCTGCATGGCTCCCTCTCCTTAATGCTTAAGTATCTATGCTTAAATGTCAGCTTAGAAGTTTCCATAACCACACTATCTAAAACAGCAGCCTTTTAACACTTTCTGTTATTTTCTGATGTATTTTTCTTTAGCCGTCTAACAAGTTTTCTGTCTCCTCCCAATGGAAGGTAAGCTTCACAAAATGTTACTTGTTTTTTGTTTTATTTGTTTTTTGTTTTTGTTTGTTTGTTTTGTTTTATTTTCATTGCTATATCCCCAGCACCTAGAACACTGCCTGGAACATGGTAAATGCTCCAAATCTATTTTAAAATATTTGTTGAAATAAGAATGAATACATGCAGGTTATGTATAATTCTGGTCACTAGAGGGTAGTATTCTTTGGTGACTCAGGACTTATCCTTGGCCTGGACAAAATAGCCTTTCAAGACTCTCTCCCTTTGCTTTCTGAAGGACTCAATGAAGTACGTGAGAGAAACAGAAGGATAAAGGTAAAACCAAGCTTTTTAGCATGAGCAAATGGAAGAATAGAGTTCTATTTACTGAACCAGGGACAACTATGGGAGGAGCAGATTTAGGGGCTGAAAATCAACAGTTCATTTTGGATATAATAAGTTCAAGATGCCTCATATATATGCAGGTGGAGATGTATAGTAGGCAATGGGACATGAGTCTGTGGTTCAGAGGAGAGGCCCAGGTAGAGTATATAAATTTGGCAGCATGTGGGAAATATTCAAATTCATGGATTGTATGCAATCCCCTGGGGGTAAGTGTAGACAGAGTAGAATTCTGAGGTCTAAACCCTGGGGCACTCCAGCATTTAGAATTGAGGGGATGAGAAAACACCAGTGAAGGGCACTATAAAGGGGAGGAGAGGGAAAAGTGGTAGTTGAAGGAGGATAGGAGTCTAGGAGAAATCTTCTAAATATGAGAAATGTTAGTATATTCAATGCAGTGGAAATGATCTGGCGAAGCGGGGGAAATTAATGATGCAGGAGAGAAGGACAACTCCAAGAGCAAGTTTCTAGAGTGGGAGAGAGGGGCTGGATGCAGAGTAGAGTCTTGGATAGAAGCACAGACAGTTTGCCCATCATCGCATGAGGAAAGGCAGAATCTCTGAGCACAAATGCCAGAAGGTAGGTAGATGTGGTGGTAGGAGCTTGTGGAAGTTCTTTTCTGGTTGCTTGTGTTTTCCTCAGTGAAATAATGGATTGGAGGTTTCAGTGAGATGGGAGAATCGCAGGGAATCAGATGTTCAGAGGAATGTATTGGGTAGAGGTGAGGAAGTAGGATGTTGAAAAGTGATGTAGAATGTTTGGGGGGATAGTGTAATTATCGAAGTGACTGGGCTGAGGGTATGGCCATAGAAGTGGTGATTGAGGTGGGAATGAGACAACACTACAGAGGTGACTGGCCAGGATATTGATGGATGGTTCTTTCTGATATAACCTTGGGCTGATACATGTGTGAGTAACATTAGCTACTGTTCCCTGAGAGCCTCCTAGGTGCCAGAAAATTCATGCAATTCTCTCCTTCAATCCTTACAACTCTACCACAACCCCAAAAATTGGAGATTATTATCCTCTGTTTCACCAAATATGAAAAAACATTCATTAAGTAGCTCAGGGTAGTACAGCAACATGGATGCAGCATTCACACTCAGGTCTTCTGACCCCTAAGCCGTGTCCTTGCCCTTGGCCTGCACCATACATCTCCAAGTGCACCACCTGCAAGCTTTAGTTCATGGCCACAAGTTACATGTGAATTTCGCCAGGGCCACGAAGTCTTAAGTCTCAACTTTTGTTGTTTGAGCCTCAGCCAAAAGACAGATCCAGAGACTGCCTGCTTCAGTCTCCTGAGAGAATAAGCCTTTTTTAACTCATCTAGGTTAGTGTCACCTTGAGCACTGGAAACTAATATAAGAAGGCAAGTCTAACCATCATAGTTTTTTTGGATTTGTTTGCCTCAGGCCAGGCCAATAAAGTCACCCACGGAGGCAAACAAACCCAAACAGACTGTGGTGGTTAGACAAAGACCTTTGTCTTACTATATAACAGGAGACGCTTAGAAAATTCTGTAGCCCAGAGCAAGGGACTTCTTGGTCATTCACAATGTGGTAACCCCTCTTCCATCTGGAAAAATAGCAAGGCCTGATACCCAGTCACTGATATTTCTAAAATGTTCTACTGCAAGGCCAGGGCTTCCTATTCCCAGGAGATAATTTATACAAGTGATATGTAAAGATATTAGAGATGGCTGGGCACAGTAGCTCACACCTGTAATCCCAGCACTTTGAGAGGCCAAGGCAGGAGGATCACTTGAGGCCAGGACTTCAAGGTCAGCCTGGGCAATATAGCGAGACCCCCATCCCTACAAATAATTTAAAAATTAGCCCAGGAGTTCAACACCTGAAGTGATCTATGATCCAGCTTAGGCAACAGAGCAAGACCTGGTCTCTAAGGGGGAAAAAAAAATACAGACATGAAAGTTTCCACAAAATTCACATATTTCTTGCTGCAGTTGGGAGAAATTTGCATGTTTTTTGCTTTGTAATAATTCTACTAGAGAGTGGAGAAATCCTACCTCTCAGTGCTGCAAATGAGAAAAAAAGAACAGTGTAATTGGAGGCCATCATTGCTAATCATCTAGACCAGAACCAGTCTGGTTCTATTGGACTGGCTCTAGTCCGATAGAACTTTCTGCATTAAAAGAAATGTTCTATACCTGTGCCTTCCAATTCAGCAGCCGTTAGCCACACATGGATACTGAACACTTAAAATGTAGCTAATGCAAATAAGAAACTAAAATTTCAATTTTATTTAATTTAAATTTAAGTCATATGTGGCCAGTGGCTGCCATATTGGACTAGGTAGCTCTAGATTATAAAACAGAAGGCCAGCCCTTTGAAC
This sequence comes from Homo sapiens, assembly GCF_000001405.40. Taxonomy (NCBI): domain Eukaryota; kingdom Metazoa; phylum Chordata; class Mammalia; order Primates; family Hominidae; genus Homo; species Homo sapiens. The sequence goes on from NC_000003.12 coordinate 135,921,359, forward strand.
ACAGTGACCAAGTTTTTCCACAGAACCTTGCCGTAAAGACCCTTACTTGGTCAGCTCCTCCTAAGAAAAGACATCTCCACTGCTCACTCCTTTTCAAATAAAAGATAGAAAGCCCATGTGATCATTTTCTATTACTGCAACCAAGTACCACAAACCTTGAAGGTTAAACCAACACATATTTATTATCTCACAGTTTCTATAGGCCAGAGGTCCATGTACAGTGTAGCTCAATTGGGTTCTCTGCTTAGGGTCTCACAAAGTCCAAGACAAGGTGCCAGCAGGGCTGTGTTCCTTTCTGGATCTCCAGGGAGGAATCCACTTCCAAGCTCATGCAGGTTGTTGGCAGAATTCTGTTCCTTGTGGGTTGTGGGACTGAGGCCTGTGTTTCTTTGCTGACTGTCAGCTGGGGGCTGCCCTTAGTTCCCAGACGCCTGTCTCTGGTCCTTGCACATGGCCCCTGTTTCTCAGATGCAACAGCACATCAACTCCTTCTCATGCTTGGAATCTCTCTGATGTCCTACTCTGGCCTTAGCTAGGAGAAAGCTCTGCTGTTAAGGGTTCACATAATTCCCTGGGACCCACTCAAATAATATCTCTATTTTGAGATCAGTTGATTAGTAACCTTAATTACATATGTAAAGTCTCATTTGCCAATTAACATAACATAACCACAGGAGTAACACCAGGGGGCAAAAGTTTTGGGGCCAAAATTCTGCCTATCACAACCTAATAGCACAGAATGGAGAAACTAGTGAGGTTACAGTTGGTCATTACTTAGTGCCTTCTTGAGTAGAAAATAAAGTGAGCTTGTTGGAAAACAAAATAATTTTTTTTTTTTTTTTTTTTGGACAGTGGCTCACGCCTGTAATCCCAGCACTTTGGGAGGCCAAGGCAGGTGAATTGCTTGAGCCCAGGAGCTCGACACCAGCTTGGGCAATGTGATGAAACCCTGTCTCTACAAAAAATGAAATAAAAATTAACTGGGCATGGTGTTGCATGCCTATAGTCCCAGCTACCTGGGAAGCTGAGGTGGGAGGATCAACTGAGCCAGGGAGGTTGAGGCCACAGTGAGTCATGATTATGCCACTGAACTCCAGCCTGGGCAACAGAGTGAGACTGTCTCAAAAAAATAAAAAATATTTTGACTATTTTCTTTTAGAGTCCCAAGCCATTTGTCTCGCTTCATTATTAAAACAAACTGGCAAAGTGGTGCCCATCCCCAATCTCTGTCAAGGATCCCCAAATATTTCAGGTTACACTCCTTGGAGGGTCTTAATCTTCGGGATAACTTCCAGCAAAGGCACAAGAGCTGTTACATCACTTTGGAGATCTTTCTCATCACAGGAAAATCTACCAGCAAGCACTCTTTCCCGGTTTCGCCAGTGCTGAGTTAGATATTAAGTCATGAGAAGGACAACCTGGCCTAGAGGCTGTTAATTAATAAACAAACCTCATATGCAAACTAAGCTACTCAGCTCCAGTTAGCAAATTCCGATAAGAAAATGAAGTGAGTGGAAAAGTACTTCCTGCTAATTAGGTGAAAGGAGACACTGAGTTTTCAAGTTCTGAACAAAGAGCTGTTTTGTGTCTGTCTTCCTCCTGGAGAGATGGGAAGAAGGTATCTTTGGGCCAAGAGTTCCAAGAGAGAGCTGAGAGAGGATCAGGCTGTTACCTGAAAGAGTGAATAAAGGACAAGCTGATGCATTTTCCAAGAGTGAGTGTACATGTGGTCTGAGAAGTCTCATGAGAGAAATCAGCTCAGAGGGCCACAGTGTTGAGAACCAACCAGCGGTTTCAGAAGGTCGCCATTCTACTCCAGGACTGCGGAAGCTGTCAACTTCATTCCCTCCACCACCTCTGCCCATTGTATCAGGAGCCACTTAAAATGAACTTGCAGGTCAAGCCCTATTACAGACTCTGGAAGCCAACTATCTTTGACAGGGGTAATGAAAATAGAGAGAAAAATCTTCTACCCAGCTGGCTCCACAATTTCTGTTAGAGGAGAAACTATCTTGTTTAGGAAAATACCTTGAAAAGCTAGGTGGGAAGAAAGAGTGAGCCCAAGGACTGAGGTTGACAGGAGTTAACAAAGAAGCAGCTAAATTTCTCTGCTTAGAAAATGTAAAGGGACTTAGAGTAGGAGTGGGAAAGAGGAAGGAGATGGAGGAGAGAGGAGATTAGGAAAGAGAGAGTTCACACAGTGGGAATCTGGAGTCTGGGAGCTGGCAGAAATGATATAGGGGACTTTTAAGAACAGGGCTGTCTGATATTAACTCTACATCATCCATTGTCCAGTACTGATCTGTAGCTCCCACCAGCAGTTAAAGTTCTACAACATGCTGCTAAATGCCGTGAGTGATGCTTTAGGAGGAAACCAAGGAGAAGGAGCCCTTGATTTGATCCACAATGGGGTGGGAAAGAACTCAGCCAAAGTTGGAAATCATCGCAGGAATGACTAGGAAACTGTTAGCCCACAGGACTATGCATAATGTGGGAGGGCACTGTACTTCCCCAGGATGGGGCTTGAGTCAATCTTCACAGATACTAAGAGTCAGGGTGACCCCAACTGACATCTGAGTTGCATAAAGATTAGATTAGCCACTCAATGATTGAGCATTACATCTATCTTGTTGCTTTTTCTATCTTGATTTAATATCATGGTTTTCCCAAAACCCGAATGTGCGGTTTTTATCCCGTGCACCATCCCCCACCTCCCCTCCCCCCACCGCCCACCTCTTGGACTAAGTTTCTAGCTTCACATCTAAATCCCTCGTGACTGGCCACCTGACTGCTACAGGTTTCGTTGAGATGTGGTCACCCTGACAATAGAGCGCAGGTGTCAGCAGACCCATTGCCGTGATGATGAAGATTCTTAGGAGCAGCTTTATTATATGATCATCAGGTCAAGCTAGTTTGGCCAAGAAGTTTAGGGGCTGAATTCTTAACCCTCCTAATGCTGAGGACTCTACGGATGAGACCCAATGCTTCCGGGAAGACACCAAGGGATGAGAGTATGTTACCAACATAAGGAAAAGTTTGGTTAATTTATCAGAGCCCTTGTGTAGATGCACTTCACAGAAGGCCTGAGAACATGTACAATTCTCCTCCTTTCAACTAAGTTCTAACAATTCTACCCTCCTCACTTGAGACTGGCTCATGCTACGGCACAAAATAACCTCCCAGCCATGTTGCATTCATCTGGAGGCCTGGGCAGAAGCCTATCACTGCTGACCAGCCCATAAGGGTGGGCAGCACCTAGCTTCAAATACTGCTGACAACCTCTCTGTGTGGGCTTACACACCCCTTATGCCTGGGGCCCATGCTTTACCTATCTCTCTACTCTGACATACTTTGCCTCCAGCCTAAATGCTAGCCATTCCAATGGCCTATCTTTTCCTGTTACCATCACCTCCAACCTCCCCTTAGCTCATCCTCCTTCTTCTTCCTCTCCTACAACTCAACCCCTTCTGCTGGCCCTCTGGAGCCCTCATCCATTGGTAAATGCCTTTTCTTACAATGGAAATCTTTCCCCCTTTGGTCTCCTTTCTCCTCCTGCCTTAACTGAAACACGATCCTTGCTGAAGCACATTGCCTTTCCTGCAACCCCCTGGAAGTGAGGACGTTGATTAGCATCTTAGTGCTATTTAGGGGAACTGACATATTTACTCTTCTGGCTCCATATTACCATATTCAAACTCTTACTCTTCATTGGCTAGAAAAGCCCTTTACCCTGTTTTGTGGCCATTGGTATCTATTCTTCTCTTCGTCATTCACTCCACATTCACTAGACCTCCAACAAGCTTTCTTCCTCAAATCCTGCAAAGATTTCTGGTAGCCACTAGCCACTTCCTCTCCTACAGCTTTATATTAAATGTGATTATTACCCAGATCTATTTCAACTCTGCCAACCTAAACTCTGATGTCACACCAAAAACCATTACCAGTCCATTTTCCAGTTCTCTCTTTTAAAGAAAACAAACAAAAACAATTACTCTTTGACCTCATTTAGAGTGCTAATCCATGGATCCCTTTATGTGATCTTGCTCTATCTCCCATCTGCCTTCACTGTCTCACCTACTGAGACCCTATGTGCTATCCATCAAACCAGTATTTTACCACTATCTTTTATTGATCCTTTCAGATATAGAAACACCTGAGAATAGGTAAGTTCACCTATAAATGAAACACTAAAAACAATGAACAGTGTTCTATGTAAAAGAAACACTAATGACAATCTTAAGGTTTTCTACCAGGGTCTGGCTAATATTTAATGACTAATAAGTCTGAACAAAACGACATCAGGTGCCTATAGATAAACTTTGCTTGGATTTAGATAGAGCCAAAGATGTACATCACTTCCCAGTTGGATTTTGAGCAGTACTGGAACAGTGGAACTTAGAGAATCCTATTCAGAAACTACTTTTTTTGAGACAGGATCTCACTCTGTCATCCAGGCTGGAGTGCAGTGTCTCAATCACTGCTCATTGCAGCCTTGACCTCTCGAGCTCAAGTGATTCTCCCACCTCAGCCTCCTCTCTGTGCCTGCTGCAGCAACACCTGCCCCAGCTACTGGTGGAACAGAGACAAATATCTGGGGCCTGCAGTTCTTATACAGGCCTATCACTGGATGATTGACTCCAGAGAAGACTTCACAGAAGAGTACCTGGCCAAGCTGCAGGACCCACTCTCTCTGTACCACTGCCACACCATCATGAACTACACAAGGACTTGTCCCACAGGTCTGAATCCAGGGAAGGCTACTGCGGAAATCAAGAAAATGTTGGTAACCTATAAGGAGAAGAAAGTTTCAGCTTAATTGTTCCCATGCTAAACATGACTTGTAACCAGTTCAGAGCTGAACATAATTTAGATCTAATTTGAGTTCCTTTAAAGTTCTTGATTTTCCATGAATACAACATGTATAATAAAAATTTTAAAAAATAAATAGATGTTATTCTACTTTATTAACAACAACAATAAAAATACTAACCTTCAAATAAACTCTGTGCAGGAAGATTTCACCTGGACAAGCAGGCCTTACTCTTCAGGTGGCAGGCACCATTGCCCTCTTCCTTCTCCCCTATAAGCCATGGCTCTTTGGAGTTGAGTTCCAGAATCTTATAAGAAGACAACTGTCAAAGTTTGCATCTGGCAAAGGGTTAGGAAAATGGTTGCTAGGAATTGTAGTAAGGAATAGGAATGTAGGGCAAAAAAAAAAAAAAAGCCAGAGATTGGGGAAAAGGATCAACAATAAAAGACAAAAATCTAAGTCAAGTGTAACAGACTTATCTCATTTACAGGCCAGGGACTAAGGAGCCATAAGAAGGGCACACTCAAAGAACCGGAGAAAACACGGTGAGGGGACACTGGGTAGAAGAGTTTCACTGAGGCACGAGGGAAATGGAAGCATGGGCCCACCTCAGGAAACAGGGCTGGCAGGATGAAGGCATGAAGCAGACTCCATCCACCTGCCTGACATGCAAGAACAAGGCTTTCCATCCCTCCACACCACCTGGTGCCAGTGACTTGGGCACCCAGGCACAAGAGGGCTTGAGAAGAATTAGTCCCCTCCCTGATAGGGGATGGCTACAGGGAACCTGGCATCTCCACCTGCAGGTTTAAATGCAGCCAAATACTTATACCCAAATCCCACTGATATGTGAGACTAAACCTGTTGATCTGCCAGTCTCTCCTTGGAAGGGGTGGCATTCACAGGAACAGCTTTGATGGTACATTGAGGTAAAGACTAATAATACTTAATTCATCCATTGATCTTTTACTGAAAATATGATATTATGTATAAGTGAAACACAAAGGCAGCTTCAGCCCCAGAGTGTCTGCAAGATTGTAGCTGAGGTTTGCATTGAGTTTGCCACCCCCAGGCAAAGGGAGGACCTAGAATTTTCAAGCAGGGCTGAAGCAATCACTTTGCTGGTATGTGCCAGCCAAGTGACTAACTCCCAAACATGTTTAATATGAAACAGCATTAGGAGACTGGATATAGCCTCAGGGAGATCAGCTGCTAACCAGTTCAGATTATAGCTGCAATCCCTCATATGCAGCCACTTACAGCGTCTCTCCACATGTCTTCAGAGGCACACAGCACTGTGTACAGGAAAAGGACTACCCTTGATGTTGAAAGATCAGAGTTCTTCTTCCCATTCTGTAGCAGTTTGTCATGTGACTTGGATCAACCTTGTCTGAAAAATGAGGCTGAAGCCTTGTCCATAAAATGGGCAACGCCTTCCCTCTCTACCCTCTGTGGTAGTTTTGAGGATCAAGTGAGAAATATTATGAGAATTAAGAGATGATGAAAATGGTAGAGAGCTATGTACCAAGTATTATATTACACACAAGTATCATAAATCTCCTTCTACACTTTCATTGGTACTAGAGGGAATTTCTTTTAATGGCAGGAATGAGGAAATCAAAACAATAAGATTTTTGGTTCATACTTTAATATCAACACCATCAAAAGCACCAAAGTAGCTGTTTATTGTGGACTTTTGTCATCCCAGGCAATATGTTCGAGTCTTTTCAAAGAGAAGATTAGACCTCCCTCTTCAGTGTTATCTAGGGCTATCAGTTAGACCATCTCTGATATTTTCCAGCTGGTGCTTTAAAGAAATTCGTGTTTGAAAAATGTATGCAAATATTTCTCCCTTCTGCAATTACACAGGCAAGAAAATAAGCAAAAGGATCTTTTATATTTCTTTCTTCCCCTTTTCTTCTTTTTGTTTCTATCCACATGTATATCTCACAGAGGAGCTAGGGTGCAGTGGATGAGGTGGGTGAGGTGAGGAAGGCACTTGCTTCAAGTGCAAAATTTAGTGGAGCACCCAAAAACTCAAAAATGAAGATATGTAGTGTTCTAATGCAACATTTTTAAATTAATGCAAAAAACATGATGAATTACATATCAAAATTTTAAATAAAGAACAGTTACAATACCATGCTGAGACACTTTAAAGACTGAGGCAAAAGGAAAAATCAGTAATACTGATCCTTTATTTAAAATTTTGGTATTTTGTTCATCATAGATTTTTGCGTTCATGTTTATGTATCATAGTAGCAATATTTTTCTTTCTTAGGGGCATTTGAAATTATAGTTTGCCTTAGTATCGGTGGTATCTTGGATTTGATTAAATGCTTTCCGGGTGATATTTGAAACAAGCGTAACTCCTGGCAACCAAAACCCAACTTGACTTTTTCTCCCACAGTTTTCTTTAAACATTTATTCAGTGAAAGTCACCTTCCCTGCTCATGAAGGAAAACTGGGAGTCCCAAGTCTTTTCTGTTCACTCTTAAATAATGGAAAAGCCTCACAGCCATTTTAGGTCACAAACACAGTCTCAGTTTAGTGATTAGAATGCATAATCCCAGGCCAGGCAAGATGGCTCAAGTCTATAAACCCAGCACTTTGGGAGGCCAAGGCGGGTGGATCATGAGGTCAGGAGTTTGAGACCAGCCTGGCCAACATGGTGAAACCCTGTCTCTACTAAAAATACAAAAATTAGTCTGGCGTGGTGGTGCACATCTACAATCCCAGCTACTCAGAAGGCTGAGGCAGGAGAATTGCTTGAACCCGGGAGGCAGAGGTTGCAGTGAGCCGAGATGGCGCCATTGCACTCTTGCCTGGGCGACAACAGCAAGACTCAATCTCAAAAAAATAAAATAAAATAAAAAAGAATGCATAATCCCCTGAAATCATCGAAACTCATAACTTCCCTTAGTAGTAAATCTCCCCTCTACCAGCTGAGCCTGGAAACCTGCAGTAGGAAGGGAAGACCGGGCCTTCTGCTCTCTACCCTCCACCCCTCTCACCTCTCTCTTCCACTCAATACCTGATGTTTTGTTCTCCCTGAAAATGGGAGGAGTTTGGCAGGGAGAAAGATGAAGGGAATAGACCAGTTCTTAACCTCACTTGATGGCTTCATATTCTCTGGGTGAGGAAGATGGTTAATGGGAACCCTTTCTTTCCAGACATCTTCATTGACTTGTCAGAGCTTCCCAATGGGACTTTATCTTCTCATGTAATGTTTATCCATCTGGGTGGTGGGTATGTGGATGTTTATTATATAATTAGCTGTACTTTTCTGATGCTTTATTTTTAATTTTCTTAATCAAAAAAATAAGAACTGAGAAGAAATAAGGGGAAAGAATTCTAACTCCACATGAAAACAACCTTTGCTGAATAGAAATGTGCTTCATCAGTCTGTCTCTCTCTCTCTCTCTGTGTGTGTGTGTGTGTGTGTGTGTGTATTACCAATCATTTCTCCTCTCCTGGCCTTCATTTTTATCACCTACATAGGCCTAGAAACACAAAAGTTTGTCTAGATTGAGATTAACTCCTTTGCCCTGTCACATGCTAGTTTATTTCTTACTCCTTCTGAATAAGCAGAGCAATACACCACTGGTTTCTAATTTCTTCAAGAATAAATGGCCCTGGCCAGAATCCAGTCCACTCCCAGTCTCCTGGAACCTTGTCAAGAGAACTGGAACATCTCTGCTCTCAACCTCTAGGGCAGAAATCAGCAAGAGTCCCACAGCAAAAAATGCACTATGGAAACAGCAGTGTCATCAAAAGCAGAAAACATCTTTTTCTCACCACTGAGAGTTCCACCGTACTGCCTGTCTCCAAGCATTGGAAAGGAAGAGAGAGAAGATGGTGCAGAGGCTAAATAGTTGTTCCCATCTTAATAAAACAATTACTTTTATTGTTTAGCTTCACAATACCAACAATATATTACTAATATCCTTGAATACTCCTTCTCCATAGCAAAGTCTTCAATATTCTGATTTAAATGCATAGTTGTATTTTACCTTCTAGGATCTATGGAAATTGAAACTGGAAAACAATTTCAATTCCTACACATTCAAAGGCCCTGCCCAGATTCAGGATGATTCAGGATGTCTACAGCAAAACACTTTTCCAACATGACAAGTTTCAGGATCATAAGGAGGAGAGAACAGCTAGCTATGGGTAGGTTATGTAGACAAATCAACAAAACACAGAGGGAAACCAAGACAAGGTCCAAGCCCTCTGTGACTAGGACTGGTTTTTATGGCTAGGAGTTACTTACACCAGCAGGCTGGGCCCTGGAATGCCAAGTATTAAGTGTAGGAAAGAAAAGAAGCATGGAGGGCAGAATGCCAAGCATTAGTCCAGGAGCCGGGGTCTGCACTCATCCATATTCCTCACTTCCCTCAACCTCCTTCTAAAGTCTGTTGCTGGGCAGTTGCTATAAAAGAAGAGAAAATAGTGGTAGATGAGGCTAATCAAAAAGTAAAATGTGAAAAGTGTGCAAGATCTCACAGAACAGAAATAGATTCCACAAAGCCATGAACTCAGATGGAGAAAAAAAAACTATGCATTTTTATTTTCACTAATCTGTAAGTGAAAATCTAGTATTTCCTTTATTTATGAATGGAGGCAATAAATCATTGCAGTATTAGTAGTACCCATGTCTGTCACCAATAGAATTCACAGGTATTTTCAATTAACTTTACGGTGTTGTAAATATCTTGAAATATCATTTTTGTTCATTGTTACTCTAAAATTATGATACTAAGTAAATCTGTCACTAGATTTTGATATTTAATCTGTTAATTAAAAATTGTATACAGTGGCGTGCCACATAACTATCAATCAACAGCAAACCACATATACCGGGATGGTCCCATAAGAGTATAATGGAGCTGAAAAAATTCCTATCACCTAGTAACATTGTATTAATAGCTGTCACAATTTTGTAGCACAACCCTGCATTCCTCATGTGTTTGTGGTGACGCTGGTATAAATAAACTTACTGTGTTGCCAGTCCTGGAAAAGTCTGCCACATACAATTATGTACAGTACCTAACATTTGATAATGATAATAAACATTATATTACTGTTTTATGTATTTACTATACTTTTTATCGTTTCAGAGTGTACTTCTTTTACTAACTAAAAAAAAAAAAAGTTAATGTAAAACAGCCTCAGGAAGGTCCGTCAGGAGGTATTTCAGAAAAAGGCAATGTTATCATAGGAGGTGACAGCTTCATGAATGTTAACGCCCCTGAAGACCTTTCAGTAGCTGATGTGGAGGTGAAGAACAGTGACATTGATGACCCTGACCCTGCGTAGGCCTAGGCTAATGTGTGTGTTTGTGTCTTCATTTTTAACAAAAAAGTCTAGAAAGTAAAAAATCAAAAAAAAGTTTTCGTAGAAAAAAGCTTATAGAATAAGAATATAAAGAAAGAAAATATTTTTGAACAGCTCTACAATGTGTTTGTGGGGGGAGGTTGTTTTGTATTTCTTTGTTTGTTGGCCTCCTTATGTTTGCCCAGGCTTGTCTTGAACTCCTGGGCTCAAATGATCCTCCCACCTCAGCCTCCTGCGTAGCTGGCATTACCGCACACCACTGCACCCAGTTTGTGTTTGTGTTTTAAGGTAAGTGCTATTACAAAAGAGTCAAAGAGTTTTTAAAATTTTAAAAGCTTATAAAATTTAAAATTGACACTAAGCTAAGGTTACTTAATTATTGAAGAAAGAACAATTTATTACGTAAATTTAGTTATACTAAATGTAGAGTGTTTATAAAGTCTATAGCAGTGTACAGTGACATCTTAGACCTTCACATTCACTCACCAATTACTCACTGATTAAGTGGCAAGTGCCTTATACAGGTGTATCATTTTTACCTTCTTTTTTTTTTGCTTTTATTATTACTTTTAATTGACACATAATAATTATACAAATTTATGAGGCATAGTGTGATATTTAGATACATGTATGCAATGTATAATGATCAAATCAGGGTAAATAGCATATACATCACCTCAAACATTTATCATTGATTTGGGTTGGAAACATTCAAAATCCACTCTACTAGCTGTTTGAAAATGTACAATAAATCGTTCTTTTTTTTTTATTATACTTTAAGTTTTAGGGTACATGTGCACAATGTGCAGGTTAGTTACATATGTATACATGTGCCATGCTGGTGTGCTGCACCCATTAACTCGTCATTTAGCACAAGGTTTATCTCCTAATGCTATCCCTCCCCACTCCCCCCACCCCACAACAGTCCCCAGAGTGTGATGTTCCCCTTCCTGTGTCCATGTGTTCTCATTGTTCAATTCCCATCTATGAGTGAGAACATGCGGTGTCTGGTTTTTTGTCTTTGCGATAGTTTACTGAGAATGATGATTTCCAATTTCATCCATGTCCCTACAAAGGACATGAACTCATCATTTTTAATGACTGCATAGTATTCTATGGTGTATATATGCCACATTTTCTTAATCCAGTCTATCATTGTTGGACATTTGGGTTGGTTCCAAGTCTTTGCTATTGTGAATAGTGCCGCAATAAACATACGTGTGCATGTGTCTTTATAGCAGCATGATTTATAGTCCTTTGGGTATATACCCAGTAATGGGATGGCTGGGTCAAATAGTATTTCTAGTTCTAGATCCCTGAGGAATCGCCACACTGACTTCCACAATGGTTGAACTAGTTTACAGTCCCACCAACAGTGTAAAAGTGTTCTTATTTCTCCACATCCTCTCCAGCACCTGTTGTTTCCTGACTTTTTAATGATTGCCATTCTAACTGGTGTGAGATGGTATCTCATTGTGGTTTTGATTTGCACTTCTCTGATGGCCAGTGATGATGAGCATTTTTTCATGTGTCTTTTGGCTGCATAAATGTCTTCTTTTGAGAAGTGTCTGTTCATATCCTTTGCCCACTTTTTGATGGGGTTGTTTTTTTTTCTTGTAAATTTGTTTGAGTTCATTGTAGATTCTGGATATTAGCCCTTTGTCAGATGAGTAGGTTGCAAAAATTTTCTGCCATTTTGTAGGTTGCCTGTTCACTCTGATGGTAGTTTCTTTTGCTGTGCAGAAGCTCTTTAGTTTAATGAGATCCCATTTGTCAATTTTGGCTTTTGTTGCCATTGCTTTTGGTGTTTTAGACATGAAGTCCTTGCCCATGCCTATGTCCTGAATGGTAATGTCTAGGTTTTCTTCTAGGGTTTTTATGGTTTTAGGTCTAACGTTTAAGTCTTTAATCCATCTTGAATTAATTTTTGTATAAGGTGTAAGGAAGGGATCCAGTTTCAGCTTTCTACATATGGCTAGCCAGTTTTCCCAGCACCATTTATTAAATAGGGAATCCTTTCCCCATTGCTTGTTTTTCTCAGGTTTGTCAAAGATCAGATGGTTGTAGATATGCGGCATTATTTCTGAGGGCTCTGTTCTGTTCCATTGATCTATATCTCTGTTTTGGTACCAGTACCATGCTGTTTTGGTTGCTGTAGCCTTGTAGTATAGTTTGAGGTCAGGTAGCATGATGCCTCCAGCTTTGTTCTTTTGGCTTAGGATTGACTTAGCGATGCGGGCTCTTTTTTGGTTCCATATGAACTTTAAAGTAGATTTTTCCAATTCTGTGAAGGAAGTCATTGGTAGCTTGATGGGGATGGCATTGAATCTATAAATTACCTTGGGCAGTATGGCCATTTTCACAATATTGATTCTTCCTACCAATGAGCATGGAATGTTCTTCCATTTGTTTGTATCCTCTTTTATTTCCTTGAGCAGTGGTTTGTTGTTCTCCTTGAAGAGGTCCTTCACATCCCTTGTAAATTGGATTCCTAGGTATTTTATTCTCTTTGAAGCAATTGTGAATGGGAGTTCACTCATGATTTGGCTCTCTGTTTGTCTGTTATTGGTGTATAAGAATGCTTGTGATTTTTGTACATTGATTTTGTATCCTGAGACTTTGCTGAAGTCGCTTATCAGCTTAAGAAGATTTTGGGCTGAGACGATGGGGTTTTCTAGATATACAATCATGTCGTCTGCAAACAGGGAAAATTTGACTTCCTCTTTTCCTAATTGAATACCCTTTATTTCCTTCTCCTGCCTAATTGCCCTGGCCAGAACTTCCAACACTATGTTGAATAGGAGTGGTGAGAGAGGGCATCCCTGTCTTGTGCCAGTTTTCAAAGGGAATGCTTCCAGTTTTTGCCCATTCAGTATGATATTGGCTGTGGATTTGTCATAGATAGCTCTTATTGTTTTGAGATATGTCCTATCTGGTTTTTTTGTTTTGTTTTGTTTTGTTTTTGAGATGGAGTCTCCCATCGCTTAGGCTGGAGTGCGGTGGCACGATCTCGGTTCACTGCAACTTCCACCTCCTGGGTTCAAGCGATTCTCCTTCCTCAGCCTCCCGAGTAGCTAGGATTACAGACGTGCCAGGTATGCACCACCACAACCGGCTGATTTTTGTATTTTTAGTACAGGTGGGGTTTCTCCATGTTGGTCAGGCTGGTCTTGTATTCCTGACCTCAGGTGATCCACCCGCCTTGGCCTCCCAAAATGCTGGGATTACAGGCGTGAGCCAACATGCCCAGCCTAATTGTTCTTAGCTACAGTCACCCTATAATGCTATAGAACTCTAGACCTTATTCCTCCTATCTAGCTGTACTTTTGTATCTGTTAATCAACCTTTGGATATTCTCTCACCCCCTACCCTTCCTCTATGCAGAATAGCAGCCACTACTCTACTCTCTACTTCTATGAGGTCATTTTTTAACTACCACATATTGCTATTTATCTTTCTGTGCCTGGCTTATTTTATTTAACATAATGTCCTACAAGTTCATCCATGTTGTCATGAATGACAGAATTTCATTCTTTTTCATATCTAAATAGTATTATATTTTGTATATATACCAAAATTTTTTATTCGCTCCTCTGTTGATGGACACTTAGGTTGATTTCTTATCTTGGCTATTGTGAATAATACTGCAGTAAATATGGAAGTGTAGATATCTTTTCAACATACTGATTTCCTTTCCTTCGAATATATACACAGGAGTGGGATGATTGGGTGATGTGGTAGTTCAATTTTTTATTTTTTGAGGAACCTCCATATTGGTTTTCATAATGGCTGTACTACTTTACATTCCCACCAACAGTGTATAAGAGTTTCCCTTTCTCTGTAATAGAGATCAGGAGGAGCAGGCAGAACGGGACAAACAGGATAAAAAAAAAAGGCCACCGCTTTAGTCATGGCCCTCAGGCAAGTGGACTTTGGAGGCTCTGGAAAAGGGAAAAGCTGGGCAAATTGAATGCCTAATAGGGCTTGCTTCCAGTGCGGTCTACAAGGACACTTTAAAAAAGATTGTCCAGGTAGAAATAAGCCGCCCCCTCATCCATGCCCCTTATGTCAAGGGAATTACTGGAAGGCCCACTGCCCCAGGGCATGAAGGTCCTCTGAATCAGAAGCCACTAACAAGATGATCCAGCAGCAGGACTGAGGGTGCCCAGGGCAAGTGCCAGCCCATGCCATCACCCTCACAGTGCCCCGGGTATGCTTGACCATTGAGGTCCAGGAGGTTAACTGCCTCCTGGCCACTGGTGTGGCCTTCTCAGTCTTACTCTCCTGTCCCAGACAACTGTCCTCCAGATCTATCACTATCTGAGGGGTCCTAGGACAGCCAGTCACTAGATACTTCTCCCAGTCACTAAGTTGTGACTGGGAAACTTTACTCTTTTCACATGCTTTTCTAATTATGCCTGAAAGCCCCACTCCCTTGTTAGGGAGAGACATTCTAGCAAAAGCAGGGGCCATTATACACCTGAACATAGGAGAAGGAACACCCATTTGTTGTCCCCTGCTTGAGGAAGGAATTAATCCTGAAGTCTGGGCAACAGAAGGACAATATGGTCGAGCAAAGAATGCCCGTCCTGTTCAAGTTAAACTAAAGGATTCTGCCTCCTTTCCCTACCAAAGGCAATACCCCCTTAGACCCAAGGCCCAACAAGGACTCCAAAAGATTGTTAAGGACCTAAAAGCCCAAGGCCTAGTAAAACCATGCTATAGCCCCTGCAATACTCCAATTTTAGGAGTACAGAAACCCAGTGGACTATGGAGGTTAGTGCAAAATCTCAGGATTATCAATGAGGCTGTTGTCCCTCTATACCCAGCTGTACCTAACCCTTGTACCCCGCTTTCCCAAATACCAGAGGAAGCAGAGTGGTTTACAGTCCTGGACCTTAAGGGTGACTTTTTATGCATCCCTGTACTTCCTGACTCTCAATTCTTGTTTGCCTTTGAAGATCCTTCGAACCCAACGTCTCAACTCACCTGGACTGTTTTACCTCAAGGGTTCAGGGATAGCCCCCATCTATTTGGCCAGGCATTAGCCCAAGACTTGAGCCAATTCTCATACCTGGACACTCTTGTCCTTCGGTACATGGATGATTTACTTTTAGCCGCCCATTCAGAAACCTTGTGCCATCAAGCCACCCAAGCACTCTTAAATTTCCTTGCTACCTGTGGCTAAAAAGTTTCCAAACCAAAGGCTCAGCTCTGCTCACAGCAGGTTAAATACTTAGGTCTAAAATTATCCAAAGCACCAGGGCCCTCAGTGAGCAATGTATCCAGCCTAAACTGGCTTATCCTCATCCCAAAACCCTAAAGCAACTAAGAGGGTTCCTCAGCATAACAGGTTTCTGCAGAATATGGATTCCCAGGTGCGGCGAAATAGCCAGACCATTATATACATTAATTAAGGAAACTCAGAAAGCCAATACCCATTTAGTAAGATGGACACCTGAAGCAGAAGCAGCTTTCCAGGCCCTAAAAAAGGCCCTAACCCAAGCCCCAGTGTTAAGCTTGCCAATGGGGCAAGACTTTTCTTTATATGTCACAGAAAGAACATGAATAGCTCTAGGAGTCCTTACACAGGTCCGAGGGACGAGCTTGCAACCTGTGGCATACCTGAGTAAAGAAATTGATGTAGTGGCAAAGGGTTGGCCTCATTGTTTACGGCTAGTGGTGGCAGTAGCAGGCTTAGTATCTGAAGCAGTTAAAATAATACAGGGAAGAGATCTTACTGTGTGGACATCTCATGATGTGAATGGCATACTCACTGCTAAAGGAGACTTGTGGCTGTCAGACAACCATTTACTTAAATATCAGGCTCTATTACTTGAAGGGCCAGTGCTGCAACTGCACACTTGTGCAACTCTTAACCTAGCCTCATTTCTTCCAGACAATGAAGAAAAGATAGAATGTAACTGTCAACAAGTAATTGCTCACACCTATGCCACTTGAGGGGACCTTTTAGAGGTTCCCTTGACTGATCCCGACCTCAGCTTGTATACTGATGGAAGTTCCTTCATAGAAAAAGGACTTCAAAAAGCGGGGTATGCAGTGGTCAGTGATAATGGAATACTTGAAAGTAATCCCCTCACTCCAGGAACTACTGCTCAGCTGGCAGAACTAATAGCCCTCACTTGGGCACTAGAATTAAGAGAAGGAAAAAGGGTAAATATATATACAGATTCTGAGTATGCTTACCTAGTCCTCCATACCCATGCAGCAATGTGGAGAGAAAGGGAATTCCTAACTTCCAAGGGAAAACCTATCGAACATCAGGAACCCATTAGGAGATTATTATTGGCTGTACAGAAACCTAAAGAGGTGACAGTCTTACATGGCTGGGGTCATCAGAAAAAAAGGAAAGGGAAATAGAAGGGAACCACCAAGCAGAGATTGAAGCCAGAAGAGCTGCAAGGCAGGATCCTCCATTAGAAATGCTTATAGAAAGTCCCCTAGTATGGGGTAATCCCCTCCAGGAAACCAAGCCCCAGAACTCAGAAGAAGAAATAGAAAGGGGAACTTCACAAGGACATAGTTTCCTCCCCTCAGGATGGCTAGCCACCAAAGAAGGAAAAATACTTTTGCCTGCAGCTAACCAATGGAAATTACTTAAAACCCTTCACCAAACCTTTCACTTAGGCATTGATAGCACCCATCAGATGGCCAAATTATTATTTACTGGACCAGGCCTTTTCAAAACTGTCAAGCAGATAGTCAGGGCCTGTGAAGTGTGCCAAGGAAATAATCCCCTGCACTGCAGGCCATACATTTCAATCCCTGAATCTTTAACCTCCTTGTTAAGTTTGTCTCTTCCAGAATCAAAGCTGTAAAACTACAAATCGTTCTTCAAATGGAGCCCCAGATGCAGTCCATGACTAAGATCCACCGCAAGCCCCTGGACCAGCCTGCTAGCCCTTGCTCTGATGCTAATGACATCAAAGGCACCCCTCCTGAGGAAATCTCAACTGCATAACCCCTACTATGCCCCATTTCAGCAGGAAGCAGTTAGAGCGGTCATCAGCCAACCTCCCCAACAGCACTTGGGTTTTACTGTTGAAAGGGGGGACTGAGAGACAGGACTAGCTGGATTTCCTAGGCCAACCAAGAAATCCCTAAGCCTAGCTGGGAAGGTGACCACTTCCACCTTTAAACACGGGGCTTGCAACTTAGCTCACATCCAACCAATCAGATAGTAAAGAGAGCTCACTAAAATGCTAATTAGGCAAAAACAGGAGGTAAAGAAATAGCCAATCATCTATTGCCTGAGAGCACAGTGGGAGGGACAAGGATCAGGATATAAACCCAGGCATTTGAGCTGGCAATGGCAATCCCCTTTGGGTCCCCTCCCTTTGTATAGGAGCTCTGTTTTCACTCTATTAAATCTTGCAACTGCAAAAAAAAAAAAAAAAAAGGTTTCCCTTTCTCCACATCCTTGCCAGCATTTCTTATTTTTTGTCTTTTCGATAATAGCCATTCTAACTGGGGTGAGATAATATGTCTTGTGGTTTTGATTTGCATTTCCCTGATTCCCTGATGATTAGTAATGTTGTACATTTTTTCATATAACTGTTGGCCATTTGTATCTCTTCTTTTGAAAATGACAATTCAGATCTTTTTTTTTTTTTTTTTTTTTTTTTTTTTTTTGAGAAGGAGTTTTGCTCTTGTTGGCCAGGCTGGAGTGCAATGGCGCAATCTTGGCTCACTGCAACCTCTACCTCCCAGGTTCAAGCGATTCTCCTGCCTCAGCCTCCCCAGTAGCTGGGATTACAGGCATGTGCCATCACGCCTGGCTAATTTTGTATTTTTAGTAGAGATGAGGTTTCTCCATGTTTGTCAGGCTGATCTCGAACTCCTGACCTCAGGTGATCCACCTGCCTTGGCCTGGCAAAGTGCTGGGATTACAGGCATGAGTCACTGCACCCGGTCGCCCATTTTTAAATTGGATTATTTTCATTTTTCCTGTTGAGTTGTTTGAGTTCTTTGTATATTCTGGATAATAATTCCTTGTCAGATGAGTAACTTGAAAGTATTTTCTACTATTCTGTAGGTTTTCTCTTCACTTTGTTGGTGGTTTGCTTTGTTGTATAGAAGCTTTTCAGTTAGATACAATACCATTTGTCTAATTTTCCTTTGTTGCCTATGCTCTGAGGTCTTCTCCATAAAATCTTTGCTCAGACCAGTGTTCTGAAGCATTTCCCGTGTTTTCTTTTCTAGTAGTTTCACAATTCCAGAACTTACATTTAAATCTTTAATTTATTTTAGTTGATTTTTTGCATTTGGTGAGAAATAGGGCTCTAGTTTCATCTTCCTTCTATGGACATCCAATTTTCTCACGCCATTTATCAAATAGACTATCCCATCCCCAGTAAATATTCTTGGTGCCTTTGTTGAAAATCAGTCAGCTGTAAACGTGTGGATTTATATCTAGGTTCTCCATTCTATTCCATTAGCCTATGGTCTGTTTTTATGCCAGTACCATGCTACTTTTGTTACTATTGCTTTGTAGTATACTTTAAAGTTCAATAGTATAATGCCTCCAGCTTTGTTCTTTTTGCTCAGGATTGCTTTGGCTATTCAGGGTCTTTTGTTGTTTCACACAAATTTTAGGATTGTTTTTCTGTTTCTGTGAAGAATGTCGTTGGTATTTTGATAGAGATTGCATTGAATCTGTAGATTTCTTTGGATAGTGTGACCATTTTCACAATTTCAATTGTTCCAATTCATGAACATGAGATGTCTTTCCATTTTGTTGTGTTCTCTTCAATTCTTTTGTCAGTGTTTTATAGTTTCCCCTGTAGGGATAATTTACCTCTTTGGTTAAATTGATTCTTAAGTACTCTATATTATTCGTTGCTATTATAAATGGGATTGCCTTCTTGATTTCTTCTTCCTCTAGTTTGTTGTTGGTGTATAGAAATGCTACTGATTTTTGTATGTTCCTGCAACTTTACTGAATTTGTTTATCAGTTTTAAGAGCTTTTTGGTGTAGCTGTTAAGGTTTTCTATATATAAGATTATGTCATCTGCAGACAGGGATCATTTGACTTCCTCCTTTACAATTTGGATGCCCTTTATTTCTTTCTCTTGCCTAATTGCTCTGGCTAGGACTTCCAGTACTATGTTGCATAAAAGTGGGGAAAGTGGGTATCCTTATCTTTTTCCATATCTTGGAGGAAAAGCTTTCTTTCAACTTTTCCCTGTTCCATATGATGTAGGCTGTGGGTTTGTCATATATGGCCTTATGTTGAGGTATGTTTCTTCTACTCCTAACTTTTTGAGAGTTATTACTATGAAGGGACATTGAATTTTCTCAAATACTTTCTCTGTATCTATTGAGATGATCATATTGTGATCATCTGTTTGTGTGATGTATCACATTCTTCATTCTGTTTATGTGATGTATCATATTTATTGATTTGCATGTGTTGAAACATCCCTTGCATCCCTGAGATCAATCCCACTTGATGATGGTGAATGATCTTTTTCTTGTGCTGCTGGATTCAGTTTGCCAGTAGTCTGCTAAGGAATTTTGCATCTATGTTGATCAGGAATACTGACCTATAGTTTTCTTTTTTTGTTGTATCATCATCGGATTTTGGCATCAGGGTAACTGGCTTTGTAGAATGAGTTTGGAAGTATTCCTTCCTCTTCAATTTTCTGGAATAGTTTGGAAAGCATTGGTATTCATGTTTAAATGTCTGTCAGAATTCTGCAGTTAAGCCATTGGGACCTGGGGTTGTTTTGTTTGTTTGTTTGTTTGTTGTTGTTTTTGTTTTTTTTTTGGATCGGATACTTTTTATTACAGGTTCCATTTTATTAATCATAATTGGTATGTTCAGGTTCTCTATTTTTTTCTTGATTCAATCCTGGTAGGTTGTATGTGTCCTGGAGTTAATTTCCACTAGACTTTCTAATTTGTTGCCATACGGTTGTTAATAATAGTCTCTAATAATCCTTTCTTTTTCTGTGGCATCAGTTTTAATGTCTCCTTTTACATTTCTGATTTTATTTCTGTCTTTTCTCTTTTTTTCTTGGTTACTCTAGCTAATGGCTTCTAGATTTTATTTATCTTTTCAAAAAAACAACATTTTGTTTAATTGATCATTTGTAATTTTTTTGTCTCAATTTCACTTATCTCTTTTTTAATCTTTATTATTTCTTCTACTAATTTTGGATTTAGTTTATTCTTGCTGTTCTTATTCCTTAAGATGCATCAGTAGGTTGTTTATTTGAAGTCCTCCTACTTTTTTGATATAGATATTTTTGGCTATAAACTTTCCTCTTAGTACTGCTTTTGCTATGTCCCATAGATTATGCTATGCTGTATTCCAATTTTCATTGGTTTCCAGAAATATTTAAATTTTCTTCTTAATTTCTTCAGAGACCCATTGGTCATTTGGGAGCATGTTGTTTAATTTTCTTGTATTTGTACAATACATGAAAAGATTTCTAGTTTTATTCCATCGTGGTCCCAAAAGATACTTGACATGATTTTTACTTTTTTGAATTGTTCAGACTTGTCTTGCAGCCTAAGATATAATCTCTTCTGGAGAATGTTCTATATGCTGATGATAAAATAAGCATTCTTCATCATTTTTGTATATGATGTTCTGTAAATGTTAGTTAGGCCTATTAGGACTAGTGCATAGTTTAATTCTGATGTTTCTTTGTTGATTTGCTGTCTGAATGATCTGTCCATTACTGAGAATGGAGTGCTAAAGCCTGTTACTATTATTGTATGGCAATCTATGTCTCCCTTTAGACCTATTAATGTTTGCTTTGTATACTTTATATACACTCTAGTTTTTGCTGCATAGATATTTATAATTGTTATATAATTTGCTGAATTGATCCCTTTATCATTATATAATAATCTTCTTTGTCTCTTTTTACTGTTTTTGACTTAATTCTTTCCGTATCAGTTTTATCAGATATAAGTGTAGCTACCCCTGCTCACTTCTGGTTTTCATTTGTGTGGAATATATTCTTCTATTCCTTCACTTTCAGTTTATATGTATCTTTACAAGTGAAGTGACTTTCTTGTAGGCAGCATATGGTTGAGTCATCTTTTTTTATCCATTCTTCCAGTCTATATCTAGTAAGTGGGGAATTTAATGTCTTTACATTCAAGGTTACTATTCATAGATGAAGATTTACGCCTGTCATTTGTTAATTATTTTCTGGTTGTTTTCTATATAACTTGTTTCTTTCTTTCTTATTGTTTATCACTGAAGTTTGGTGGTTTTCCATAGTGATAAGATTTGATTCTTTTCTCTTTTTCCTTTGTGTATCTGCTCTACCAGTGAGTTTTATACTTTTACATGTTTTAATGATAATAACTATTATCTTTTTTATTCTGGATCTAAGATTCCCTTAAATATTTATTGTAAGGCTCAGGTGGTAGTGATGAATTTCTTCAGTTTTTGCTTCTCTGAGAAAGACCTTATTTATACCCCATTTTTGAAAAACAGCTTCTGCTTTTCTGCATATAATATTATTAGCAGGCAAATTTTTACTTTCAGCACTTCAAATACATCATCCCATTATCTCCTGGCTATTAGTTCTGCACAAAAATATGCTGTTACTCTAATGAGAATGTTCTTATGTGTGACTGGACACTTTTGTCCTGCTGTTTTTAGTATCCTCTATTTGTCTTTGCCTCTTTTTTTTAAGACAAGGTCTCACTTTGTCACCCAGGCTGGAGTCTAATGGCATAATTATGGCTGACTGCAGCCTCAACCTCCTGGCTGAAGCGATCCTCCTGCCTCAGCCTCCTAAGTAGCTGGGACTACAGGCATGTGCTACCATGCCCAGCTAATTTTTCTTTTTTTGGAGACAGGGCTCATTATGTTGCCCAGGTTAGTCTTGAACTCCTGGGCTCAAGGGATCCTCCTGCCTTGGCTTCCCAAAGTGTTGGGATTACAGGCATAAGCCACTGCACCCAGCCTGTCTTTGCCTTTTGACAATTTGACCATAATGTTCCTCAGGAAGGATCTTTTTGAGTTAAATCTACTTGGGGATCTTTGTGCTTTCCAGATCTGGATGTTCATATCTCTCCCTGAACTTCAGAAGTTTTCAGCCATTATTTCATTAAATAAGTTTTTTGTGACTTTTTCCTTCTCTTCTCCTTCTGCAGCTCCTATAATGTAAAAACTTGTTTGCTTAATGGTGTCCCATAAGTCTTGTAGACTTTCTTCATTCTTTTTCATTCTTATTTCTTTTTTTTCTTTTTCTCCTTCTGGGTAATTTC
The DNA here is from genome assembly GCF_000001405.40 of Homo sapiens. Classification (NCBI taxonomy): domain Eukaryota; kingdom Metazoa; phylum Chordata; class Mammalia; order Primates; family Hominidae; genus Homo; species Homo sapiens. The sequence goes on from NC_000003.12 coordinate 135,943,765, forward strand.
AAATGACCTATCTTAAAGTTTAAATATTCTTTCTTCTTCTTGATCAAGTCTACTACTGAAGCTCTGTATAATAGTTTTTATTTAATTCATTGAATTCTTCAGCTGCCGTATTTCTGTTTGGTTCTTTTTTATTATTTCTATCTCTTTATTGAATTTCTCATTCATGTCATGAATTGTTTGCCTAATTTTTTTGAATTTTCTATCTGTATTTTCCTGTATCTCATTGAGTTTTCTTATGATCATTATGTTGAATTCCTTTTCTGGCAATTTTCTGATTTCATTTTCAATTGGCTCTGTTATTAGAGAGTTATTATGTTCATTTGGTAGTGTCGTATTTCCTTGCTTTTTCATGTTTCTTGTGCCCCAGTGTTGTCTGTGCATTTGGTGGAACAATTGCCCTTTCAAACTTTCTAGAGTGGCTTTCATAGAGAAAGACTTTCACCTGCAGTTGGATTTTAGTGTGCCAATTGGGAAGGATGTGGCAGTTTTGTTTATAGATAGGCACAGTGGTATAGTCTCCATGCAGCTTCATCATCTGTGTTCAATGCCAGCATTAACTGTTGGAGTCTCAATAGCCTAGGCTGTGGAAGTTTGTGACAGCTGCAGTGATGGTGAAGGTTGTTCATGTTCTTGGTGTCAAGGGCTTTGGGAGTCTTCCTATGCTCATTTTCCCCACAATGAGGATACTTAGTGAACTACATCCCTCTTGGTGTCATGTCTGACATGTCCTATAAGCAGCTACAGCAGTGCTAGGTTCCAGGTGCAGGTGCTCAGAGCAACTGTAGGACCAGAGTCCTAAGCTCAGTCCTAAGCTCAACAGTTTCTCACAAAACTATTGTTGCAACTGGGTCTTGGGGTACCATTTGTTTGTTTGTCACAGGTTTGTTCTCTGTCACAGGTTTGGATATTGGTTGCCCACAGAGCCAGGATCTGTGCCTCTGAATCACTCCCTAGAAGCTCAAGCCCAGGGGGCAGGTCATAGCTGTGATTCTACACCCAGAGAACAAAGCACAAAACTGGACTAACTCCAGAGAAGAAGGGGTGCTCTGCAGGTTTGGGTCCAGAGAGCAGGGTTTGGCTAAAATTTGAGAACCTGAACCATTAGGGCTCAGTGGCAACTTGGGTCCCAGTGGATGAGGCACTGTGTAGGTAGTGACTGTGAACGGTAGGATGGTGGGGTTGGCAGTATCCAAGACTCTGTGAAGCCAGGTGCAGTGACATCATGTATCCCAGAATAGTATAGCGCAGCTGTTGTTTGGGCCCTGGGGATGACAGGGAATAGTACAGCAATGACTGTATTCCCCAGAGAGTAGGGTGTCTGAGCAACTCAGACTCTAAAAGTCTAGTTCAGCTCCAGGGAATCAGAGTACTAGAGTTGTTTGGCCTACAGCATAATGTGTCTCAGCTCACTACTCTGTTTCCCTGGGACTCCAGGTACTATATCAGCTTAGCCCTGGGGTGTGCAGCTTGTCAGCTTGGTCAGGGCACCAGTTCCTAAGGGGATAATGTGTTGCTTCAGCTCAGGCCTTGGGGGGATGACTATTCCACATGGCCCAAGGCACCATTTTCCTAAGATGCAGGGCACTGCTTCAGCTTAGGTAGTGGGGTATATGACCACTTTGGGTAGCCAAGGCAGTTTCCTGTGATGTAGACACTGCTTCAACTTAGGCGCAGAGAGGTATAACTACTTTAAGCAGCCAAAATACTATTTTCCCAGGAGGCAAGATATTGCTTCAGCTCCAGCCTGAGAGAAAAAGGGGAGGAGTAAATAGAGCAGCTCCACCTCCAATTGGTCTCATAGGGAAAGGTCTATGTAACAGTTGCTTACAGCTTGCCTTGGGGATGTTAGGCCACTGACCTGGGTTGATTTCAGCGGTGACTTAGGGGTGAAGGGGAGCCTTGGCTATTCACCCCCAGGGCAAGGCACACACCAGGTGTAGTAAGCAGAAGGCAGAGGTTGCAATGAGCCAAGATTGCACCACTGCACTCCAGCCTGGGCAACAGAATGAGACTCCATCTCAGAAAAAAAAAAAAAAAAAAAAGATATGCTTAGATACACAAATACTTTAACATTGTGTTTAATTGCCTACAGCATTTAGAACAGTAGCATGCTGTACAGGTTTGTAGCCTAAAAGCAATAGGCTGTACCATATAGCCTAGGTGTGTAGTAGGCTCTACCATCTAAGTTTGTATAAGTACACTCTATGATGTTTGCACAACAATGAAATCAACTTACAACATATTTCTCAGAGCATATTCCTGTGGCTGAGTGATGCATGACTGTATAAATATATGTCACATTCAGGCCGGGTGCGGTGGCTCACGCCTGTAATCCCAGCACTTTGGGAGGCCGAGGCAGGCGGATCACAAGGTCAGGAAATCGAGACCATCCTGGCTAACACAGTGAAACCCTGTCTTTACTAAAAATACAAAAAAAATAAGCCGGGTGTGGTGGCGGGCGCCTGTAGTCCCAGCTACTCGGGAGGCTGAGGCAGGAGAATGGCGTGAACCTGGGAGGCGGAGCTTGCAGTGAGCCGAGATCACGCCACTGCACTCCAGCCTGGGCGACAGAGCGAGACTCTGTCTCAAAAAAAAAAAAAAAAAAAAAAGTCACATTCACTTTAATATTTTGATAACTGTGTTTCAATAGTTGGTTTCCTTTGTGGTCCAATGGATTTTATGAAATAGATTTTAAAACATTTTTCTAAGAAGAGATCCATAGGCTTCATCAGACTGCCAAAGATATCTGTAGGGGAAAAACAGTTAAGAACCCTTTCAATAGGCAGTTGCAGACTAGTGGGGTGAGGGTGACATGCAGAATCCCATCAACCCCAATCTCAAAATGTTGTGCAAGAAGTTTTGGGAAAAAATGGGAGGAGAGGATAAAAATATAACTTTAGGTATGCCTAGAGCCTGTGCAATTCACCAGGTTATGAAACAAGTTAAATTCCAGCTGAAAGGCATGGGCTTGAGGATTTTATTGATACAAAGCCCAGATATATAAGAGGGGATCTAGCTTGTGAAAAGATGGTTCAGGAGATGTAATTCTGAAAGCTGAAGCAGGATCCAGTGTCCAGTCCCCTAACCTCCAACAGATAACCCAAATCTGTAACTACATAGTAGTCCCACATCTTCTCCAAGTAATTGATGTTAATTCAATTGGGTATATGCCCTTCCAAACCTGGGGAAGGAACCCAGAGATAAAAATAATACAAACCTTCATTGGCCAGGCACAGTGGCTCACGCTTATAATCCCAGCACTTTGGGAAGCCGAGGTGGGTGGATCACTTGAGGTCAGGAGTTTAAGACCAGCCTGGCCAACATGACAAAATCCCTTCTCCACTAAAAATACAAAAAAAAAATGAGTTGGACATGGTGGCACACACCTGTAGTCCCAGCTACTTGGGAGGCTAAGGCAGGAGAATAGCTTGAACCTGGGAGGCAGAGGTTGCAGTGAGCCAATATCATGCCAATGCACTCCAGCTTGGGCAACAGGGTGAGACTCCACCTCAAAATAGTAGTAATAATAATAATAGAAACTTTTGTAAAGAACTTTTACTTAATCAAATTATTACATTAACTAATAATCTCCATTCCTTCTATAAAACCTACCAACTGGTCCCACGGCATCTGATCACTGGCAGCCAGTGGGCGTCTTTCTAGTACTCTGCCATTTTCTCAAAACTCAATAATAAGAAAACAAACAACTTAATTAAAAATGGGCAAAATCTACTCCAATATGAAGGTCTACTGGGTAGCTAGCCCTCTGACAATACCACACAGTAATCAAAACAGTGTGGTATTGGCAGAGGGATAGTCAAATAGACAAATGAAACAGAATAGAGAACCTAGAAATAGAGCCGTACAAATATGCCCAACTGATTTATTAAAATAGACTTTATTCTTTAGTTTACAGAAAAATTAAGCAGATAGTACAGAGAGTTCCCATATGCACCCAGTTTTCTTGTTATTAATGTCTTACATTAGTATGGTACATGTGTTACAATGAAGGAACCAATATTGAAACATTATTATTAACTAATGGCCAGCGTATAGTCAGATTTCCTTAGCTTTTAATTGTCATGTCTCCTTAGGATCCTCTTGGCTGTGACAGTTTCTTAGACTTTCCTTGTTTTTCACAACCTTGACAGCTTTGAGGAGTATTGGTCATATATTTTTGTGGGATGCCCCACTTCGGGAATATGTCTGGTGTTTTTCTCATGATAAGACTGAGTATGGGCTATTGGGAGGAAGATCACAGAAATAAAGTGTCATTTTCATCACATCATATCAAGGGTAATAATACTACCAGTGTGATTTATGACCATTGATATTGACCTTGATCACGTGGCAAAGATAGTGTTTGTCAGGTTTCTCCATTGTAAAGTTACTTTTCTAGACTGTTCTCTTTGGAAGGAAGTCACTATGGGCAAACCACACATAAGGAGTGGGGAGTTACGGTCCCCTCCTTCAGGGAGGAGTATCTGTATAAATTATTTGGAATTCTGCATGGGAGATTTGCCTCCCATGTTTTCCTCCACATATTTACTATTCAATTTTTTTCTCAATATACACTCAAAATATTTATTTTATACTTTGGTCTATAACTCCAATGCTACTTTTAAATTTTGTTTCTCAAGTTGTTCCCACTTTGGCCCGTGGAAGCTCTTTCAGCTGGCTCTTGTGCTCCTTTGACATCAATGTGGATTTTGTTGTTATCATTTCCTTACTTTCTGATACTGCAAGAGCTCTAGGATTATCTTGTATAATTTTTGCCCCAGTCCAAGAATCAGCCATTTCTCCAAGGAACCCTGATTCCTTTCATTGGGGAATGGTATTAGAAACCATGACCTGAACACTAGGTGTACTCATGTACTTGTTGCTACTGGGATTCCCAATTGATTTTTGACAAATATTCAAAAGCTAGTCAGTGGAGAAATAATACCCATCTCAACAAAAGGTGTAGAGTAATTGGACATTCATAGGCCAAAGAAAAATGGACCTTGACCTAAAACTCACATCTTATGCAAAAACTAACTCAAAGTGAATCATGGATGTAATATAAAATGTAAATCCTTCTTCAAAACTTCTAGAAAAACAACGGTAGAGGCCGGGTGAGGTGGTTCACACCTGTAATCCCAGCACTTTGGGAGGCCGAGGCGGGCAGATCACCTGAGGTCAGGAGTTCGAGACCAGCCTGACCAATATGGAGAAATCCCATCTCTACTAAAAATACAAAATTAGCCGCGCGTAGTGGTGCATGCCTGTAATCCCAGCTACATGAGAGGCTGAGGCAGGAGAATCACTTGAACCCAGGAGGCAGAGGTTGCGGTGAGTAGAGATCACACCATTGCGCTCCAGCCTGGGCAACAAGAGCGAAACTCCGTCTCAAAAAATAAAAATAAAAAAGAAAGAAAAAAAATGGTAGAATATCTTTATAATCTATAGCTGGGCAAGTCGTTTTTAGACTTAATACCAAAAACATGATTATAAAAGTAAACATTAATAAATAGGACGTCATCGAAATTAGAAACATTTGCTCATGAAAAATCCTATTATGAGGATGAAAAACAACTTACTACAGGCTGGGAGAAATATCGGCAAACCACATATCCCACAAATGACTAGTATCTAGAATATATAAAGAACTCTCAAACTTAACAGTGGAAATACAATCCAAATAGAAGTGGACAAAGACATGAACAGTTGTTTTACTGAAAATGTTAATACAGATGGTAAACAAACACATGAAAAGGCATTCAACATCATTAGCCATTAGGGAAATGCAAATTTAAACCACAAAGAGATAGCACTACATAGAGAAATGAAAACTCATGTTCACACAAAAACCTATACATGAAATATTTCTAGCAGCTTTTTTCATAATACCCCCAACTAGAAACAACCAAGGGGTCCTTCAACAGGTGAATCATCAAACTGCTGTACATCTGCAATATAGAATTCTATTTGGCAATAGAAAGGAATAACTAACACACACAACAACTTTGGTGAATCTCCAGAGAATTATGCAGAGGTACGTGATTTGCAGGAGCCGGGGGTGTGGTGGGGTGGAGGGATTGACTACAAAGGAGTAGCACAAGGGGATTTTGAGAGGTGACAGAGGCATTCCATATCTTGATCAGGGTAGTAGTGGTCATTACATAACTGCAAGTGTTTTTTAAAACTCATAGGGTTACACATTCAAAAGGGCATATTTTATTGTATGTAACGCGTAACTCAATTTTTTTAAACATGAAAAATAATGGAAGATTTTTAAGCCAACCTCCACCTAGCTCAATTACTAAATTAACCAACATTCTCCATTCCTTCTGTAAAACATACCAACGGGCACCCAGGGCACATACAGGTGAGTACTTACAGCTAGTAGATCCCTCTCTAGTATACTGGTGTGTTCTGCTCCCATCACTTGAGCACAACACATACCAAGAATCACATACACATACACAACACTTACCAAGTTGTGTTTGTTCCCAAACCTGCAGATATTAGTTTTGTTATTATAATTACTAATTTGATTAAATATGACATAATCCCATGAAATATAAGTGTAGGAAAAAAGTTGTTACTATGAAAATTAGAAGAGGCTGGGCGTGGTGGCTCACACCTGTAATCCTAGCACTTTGGGAGGCCAAGGTGGGTGGATCATGAGGTCAGGAGTTTGAGACCAGCCTGGCCAACATAGCGAAACCCTGTCTCTACTAAAAATACAAAAATTAGCTGGGCATGTTGGCACCCACCTGTGTCCCAGCTACTCAGGAGGCTGAGGCAGGAGAATCGCTTGAACCCAGGAGGCAGAGGTTGTGGTGAGCCGAGATCACACCACTGCACTCCAGCCTGGGCAACAACAGAGCAAGACTGTCCCCTGCTCCAAAAAAAAAAAGAAAATTAGAAGAAATGCTTTGGAAAGACTTGCTAATGGAAACTTGCTAAAACATTTTTTAAACTAAAAGTGGATGAGACAACTATGAAAGATTGCAAGGAAATATAAAAACCTAAAATCAATTTACATTTACATTGTTTTGCAGAGGCTTATAACATAATCCAAACTGGAAATTACGGAGGATACACTATGGGAGTAGTTTATGCAACGAAGGTGTCTTGGAAGTCTGATTAACAGACTCATACTCAAAGAAAGGGTATGGCAAAAGAATGTGTATTTAAATGTTCTAAACTAAACATTTATATATTCTAAACATTTAACTTAAAATGTTAAACTATGTATGAAGTATTACTTATGATTCTTCACTTTAGCTGAATTTTTTCCGTAAGCCAAACTTATGCAGGCTCTGAGTAAGAGTGAAGAAGTTACTCAAACCCAAGATTTAACATTTTTTGTGTTGAGTTCAAGAATAAGCTATTTTTTAACCATCTTGGCAATTCGCATGTATTTTGTTTGACAGATGGGATATTTGACACATTGAATTTAGACTTGTGATTTTAATCTGAAATGTTTAAAAGAACATAATTGATGGTAGATTGAGGATTTAAATTGAAGATGTGTTGAAGTTGAATTGATTATGTTTGTAAATTGAGTTTGAATTTTTCAGAGAATCTGAGGAATTAAATCTACAACTTTTGAGTTATTAGGTTCGTAAATAGAATGTAAGTGCTTAGGAATATTGGTTTATTAGATTTGTAAGCTTGCTTGTTGAGTGCTTGAAGTGCTTTAGAGAATCAGATACATTTATAATTGTAGTTTGAAATATCTAAGAATTTCATCATCTTAATAATAAATGTTTAGGGAATTTAATCTATCTTATTTAGAAGTGACTGTTAAGTTATAACAGAATACTATATTTATAAATAAAATTTACCAGCTTAAAGTTAAGCTTAAGCACCTAATAAAAACTAGATTTTAAAATCAGATGTCTTTAATAAATTTAACATTAATTAAGCAAAAGTGGCTATAAGTGTTTGGGGTTTTTCTCTCTCTCTCTGTACAAAAGCCTGCCTCATACATTAAAAAACTCAAATGATGAAATGATGAAAGGTTCAACTTTTCCCAATCCAGGTTCTCACAAAAGAAAACATCTCCAACACACCAACATGGCACATGTATACATATGTAACAAACCTGCACATTGTGCACATGTGCCCTAGAACTTAAAGTATAATAAATATATATAAATAAATAATAAAAATTAAAAGTAAAAAAAAAACTCCTTAAACCTTCAAGCAAAGCACATGACCCAGCAATTCGACCACTAGATACATACTCAAGAGAAATGAAAGCATAAGTCCATACAAAGAATGGACATGAATGTTCATAGCAGTCTTATTTGTAATAGCCAAAAAATGAAAGTTACCTAAATGTCCATGAGCAGGCGAATGCATAAACAAACTGCTGTGTAGCTATGCCATAGAACATTATATAGCAATAAGAAGGAATAAATTACTGATAATGGATCAGTACAATATGGATGAAACTTGAAAACATTATGCTACCTATACAAAAGAAGTGAGACAAAAAAGGCATATATTATATGACTTCTTTTATATGAATATTTGTTAATACAGAAAGTAGGTTAGTGGTTGCCTACAGCTGGAAGTGGGGATGGGTGGAAATGAAGAGTAGCTTAATGAGTATAGAGTTTCTTCTGGGGGTGATGAAAATGTTCTAAAATTGATTTTGATGATCATTACATAACTCTGTGGCTATACCAACCACCATTGCATTTTACATTTTAAATGGATGAATTACATGTTATGTGAATTATATCTTCTTAAAGCTGAGAAAAGAAAGAAAAAGAGAGAAAGAGAGAAAGGGAGGAAGGGAGGAAGGGAGGAAGAAAGGAAGGAAGGAAGGAAGGAGAGAAAAGAGAGAGAAAGAGTAAATAAATCCCTCCTACAGGAAAATATCTCTAGGAATATCTTGCACATATATGTAACAATTTTATTCTGTTGTGAATGTCCTGCTTCTTCACTCCGTACTTGTCTTAAAGTCTTGTGTGGTGCATCTGACTAAGCCCAAGTCATGTACCCTGCCCTAGCAGCAAAGGAGGTGATGAAAATGAGTTTTGGTTTGCACTTTGGGAGTCAGGACTCCTAACAGTAGAGATTCCCCAAATACAGGAAAGCTGTTCTACAGATGCGGAGAAACAGAGACTGTAAGAATGTGAGAGACTATTCACTGCACTCACTTACATGTGGAAAATGAGTTTAAGGAGGGGAAGATGAGAGGCAGAGGGACCAGTTAGGTGGCTGGTGCAGGTCCATAAAGAGAGATGGTAATGACTTGAACTGAGACTGCAGTAATCGAGGCAGAGAGTTGGGAAGAGATTTGAGAAATGATTTGGAAGAAAAGTCAGCAGAATGTGGTAATTTGTTGCTTAAGAGAGATGAGGAAAAGGATAATTAAGAATTTCTGGCTTAAGTGACTGAATGGATAATGGGGCCTTGACCTAAGTTGAGAAAAGGACATGGAGGAGGAGCAAGTTTGGGAGTTAGAGTTGGGAGGAGGGTATATACTAAATTCTAGACATGTTATAGGTTTCTAATACAATTGCACTGTAGTCAAAAAGCATACTTTTATAACTTGAATTCGTTTAAATTTGAGACTTGTTTTACAGTACTAAATCTGATCTATCTTGGTAAATGTTTCCTGTGCACTTGAAAAGTATGTGAATAATGTTATTACATGGAGTGTCCTACAAATGTTAATTAGGTGAAGTTGCTTGAGAGTGTTATTCCAGTCTCCTATATCTTTGCTGATGTTCTGTCTACTTGCTTTATCAATTACTTGGAGCAGGGTATTGAAATATACAACTATAATAATAGATTTGTCTATTTCCCCGGCTCCTATCTTTTTTTTTTTTTTTTTGAGACAGAATTTTGCTCTTGTCGCCCAAGCGGGAGTGCAATGGTTTGATCTTGGCTCACTGCAACCACCGCCTCCTGGGTTCAAGTGATTCTCCTGCCTCAGCCTCCCAAGTAGCTGGGATTGCAGGTGTGTGCCACCACACCCTGCTAATTTTTTGTATTTTTAGTAGAGATGGGGTTTCACCATGTTGTACTCCTGAGTACTGTTTGGTACATTGTACTGCAGGGTACTGTTTGGTACATTGATTTCCTTTCTTTTGGATGTACACTCAGTAGTGGAATTGCTGGACAGGTGGTAGTTCTATTTTTAGTTTTTTGAAAAACCTCCATACTGTTTCCATAAAGACTGTACTAATTTACATCCCCACCAACAGTGTATAAGGGTTCCTCTTTCTCCACAAACTTGCCAGGATCTATTATTACCTATCTTTTTGGTAAAGAACATTTTAACTGAGGTGACATGATATCTCATGGTGGCTTTAATTAGCATTTCTCTGATAATTAGTGATATTGAGCATTTTTTCATATATCCGTTGACTATTTATACGTCTTCTTTTGAGAAACATCCATTCAGATCTTTTGCCCATTTTTAGATCAGATTATTTGGGTTTTTTGCTATTGAGTTGTTTGAGCTCCTTATATATTCTGGTTATTACTCCCTTGTCTCCTTATATATTCTGGTTATGACTTCCTTGTATATTCTGGTTATTACTCCCTTGTCTCCTTATATATTCTGGTTATTATCCCTTGTTATTACTATGGACAGTTTGCAAATATTTTCTCCCATTCTGTGGGTCATCTCTTCACTTCATTGATGGTTTCCCTTGCTGTGCAGAAGCTTTTTAGCTTGATATAGTCCCATTTGTCTGTATTTGCTTTAGTTGAGTGTGCTTTTGAGGTCTTACACAAAAAATTTTTGTCCAGACAAATATCCTGGAGCATTTCCCCTATGTTTTCTTCTAGAAGTTTCATAGTTTCAGATCTTAGATTTAAGTCTTTAATCATTTTGATTTTTGTGTATGGTGAGAGATAGGGGTATAGTTTCATTCTTTGGAATATAGTTATCCAGTTTTCCCAGTACCATTTATTGTAGAGATTGTCCTTTCTCCATTATATGTTCTTGGTACCTTTGTTGACTATGAGATGGCTACAAACTTGTGGATTTATGTCTGGATTCTCTACTCCATTCCAATGGTCTATGTGTCTGTTTTTACACCAATACCATGCTGATTTGGTTACTATAGCTTTGTAGTATACTTTAAAGTCCATTAGTATAATGCCTCCAGCTTTGTTCTATTTGCTCAAGATTGCTTTGGTTGTTTGGTGTCTTTTGTGGTTCCATATAAATTTTAGGATTGTTTTTTCTATTTCTGTGAAGAATCTCATTGGTATTTTGACAGGGATTGCATTGAATCTGTAAATTGCTTTGAGTAGTATGGTTGTTTTCACAATACTAATTTTTCCAATCCATGAGCATGGAATATCTTTCTCTTTTCTTTGGTGTGTCCTCTCCAATTTCTTTCATCAGTGTTTTATAGTTTTCCTTGTATAGATCTTTCATATTTGGTTAAATTGATTTCTAGGTATTTTGTATTCTTTGTAACGATTATAAGTAGGATTGTTTTCTTTTTTTCTGATATACATTGTCTATATATATATAATTTTTTATTTTTAATTTTTATGGGTACATGGTATATATATTTATGGGGTATATGATATATTTTGATGTAGGCATACAATGTGTACTAATCACATCAGGGTAAATGGGGTATCCTTCACTTCAAGCACTTATAGGATTGTTTTCTTGATTTCTTTTTCAGATTGTTTTCTGCTGGAAAATATAAACACTACTAATTTTGTATATTGATTTTGTATCCTGCAACTTTACTGAATTTGCTTATCAGTTCTAACAGTTTTTTGGTGGAGCTTTTAGGGTTTTTTTGTATACAATAGCATGTCATCTGTGAACAAGGCTAATTTGACTTATTTCTTTACAATTTGAATGCCATTTATTTCTTTCTCTTGCTCAATTGCTCTCACTAAGATTTCCAGTATTATGTTGAATAAAAGTAGTGGAAGTGGACATCCTTGTCCAGTTCCAGATCTTAGACAAGAGGCTTTTAATTTTTCCTCATCAGTACTATGTTACTATGGGTTTGTCAAATTTGGCCTTTATTATTCTGAGGTATAGTTCTTCAATACCAGTTCCATAAGGATTTTTATCATAAAGGGATATGGGACTTTACCGAATGCTACTAAAATAATCATATAGTTTTTGTTCTTGGTCTGTTAATGTGATGTATCATGTTTGTTGATTACGTATGTTGACACGTCCTTGCATCTCTAGGATGAATCCCACTTGATTATGGTGAATGATCTTTTCAATGTGCTGTTGAATTTGGTTTGCTTGTATTTTGTTGAGGACTTTTGACTCTATGTTCATCAGTGACATTTACCTATAGTTTTCTTTTGTGCTGTGTCCTTGTCTGGTTTTAATATCAGGTGAATGCTGGCCTCATATAATTAGTTTGGAAGTATCCCCTTATCTTCAATTTTTTAAGATTTTGAATATAATTGGTACTAGTTTTTAAATGTTTGATAGAATCCAGCAATGAAATCATCAGATCCTTGGATTTTCTTTGATGGGAGACTTTTTACTACAATTTTGATCTCATTACTCATTATTGGTTTTTTTTTAGGTTTTTTATTTCTTTTTTTTTCTTCAACTTTTATTTTAAATTCAGGGGTTACACGTGTAGGATGTGCAGGTTTGCTACATAGGTAAATATGTACCATGATGGTTTGCTCCACAAATCATCCCATCACCCAGGTATTAAGTCTAGCATCTATTAGCTATTCTTTCTGATGCTGTCTATCCCCTCACCCCCTACCCCCACCACTTACAGGTCCCAGTATGTCTTGTTCCTCCTCCTTGTGTCCATGTTTTCTCATCATTCAGCTCCCACTTATAAGTGGGAACATGCAGTGTTTGGTTTTCTGTGGTTTTCTATTTCTTCATGGTTCAATCTTGGTAGGTTGTATGTGTCTAGGAATTTATCCATTTCTTCTAGGTTTTCCAATTTGTTGCTGTATTGTTTTTCAAAATAGTCTATGATGATTCTTTGTATTTCTGTGTTGTTATGTCTCCTTTTTCATTTCTTTTATTTATTTCCGTCTTTTCTCTTTTTTTCTTAGTCTAGCTAAAGTTTATCAATTTTGTTTATCATTCTAAAAAACAATTTTTTGTTTCATTGATCTTCTGTATTTTTTAGTCTCAATTTCATTATTTTCTGCTTTCATCTTTATTATGTCTTTCCTTATACTAATTTGGGATTTGGTTTGTTCTTGTATCAGGGGAACCAGCCCCCAATATTTCAATGTAGGTTCTTTTCTATTTTTCCCTAAGTGTCGACCAGTCTGAGAAATAAAGAGAAAGAGTACAAAGAGAAGAATTTTACGGCTGGGCCACCAGGGGTGCCATCATATATTGGTAGGACCATGATGGCGACCTCAAGCCACAAAACCAGCAAGTTTTTATTAGGGATTTTGAAAGGCGAGGGGGTGTACGAATAGGGAGTGGGTCACAGAGATCACATGCTTCAAAGGGCAATACAAGATCACAAGGCAAAGGGAATAGCAATATCACAAGGCAAGGGTGAAATTAGAATTACTGATGAGGGTCCACATCCCGCTGGGCATGCATTGTCTTGATAAACATCTTAACAGGAAACAGGGTTCGAGAGCAGACAGCTGGTCTAACTAGAATTTACCAGGCTGGAATTTCCCAATCCTAGTAAGCCTGAGGGCACTGCAGGAGAACAGGGTGTATTTCATCCCTTATCTCAACCGCATAAGACAGACACTCCCAGAGTGGCCGTCTATAGACCTACCCCTGGGAATGCTTTCCTTTCCCAGGGTATTAATTATTAATATTCCTTGCTGGGAAAAGAATTCAGCGGTATTTCTTCTACTCACACATCCGTTTATAGGCTCTCTGCAAGAAGAAAAATATGGCTACATTCTGCCCGACCCCGCAGGCAGTCAGACCTTATGGTTATCTTTCCTTGTTCCCAGAAAATTGCTGTTATTCTGCTCTTTTTCAGGGTGCACTGATTTCATGTTGTTCAAACACACGTTTTACAAACAATTTGTACAGTTAACACAATCATCACAGGGTCCTGAGGTGACATACATTCTCACCTTACAAAGATAACGTGATTAAGAGATTAAAGACAGGTATAAGAAATTATAAGAGTATTAATTGGGGAAGAGATAAATGTCCATGAAATCATCACAATTTATGTTCAGAGACTGCAGTGAAGACAGGCGTAAGAAATTATAAAAGTATTAATTTTGGGAATTGATAAATGTCCATGAAATCTTCACAATTTATGTTCTTCTGCAGTGGCTTCAGCCAGCTCCTCTGTTTGGCGTCCCTGACTTCCCGCAACATTCTTGCTTTTCTAATTCCTTGAGGTACATCATTAGATTGTTTATTTGAAATATTTTTACTTTTTTTGATGTAGGTATTTATTGTTATAAACTTCCCTCTTCCTACTACATTTGCTGTATTCCATAGATTTTGGAATGTTGTGTTTCCATTTTCGTTTGTTTCAAGAAATTTTAATTTTTTCTTCTTATTTCTTCATTGACCCATTGGTCATTCAAGAGCATGTTAATTTCCATGTGTTTGTGTAGTTTCTGTGGTTTTGCTTGATATTGATTTCTAGTTTTATTCCATTGTGGTGAGGAAAAAATACTTGATATGGTTTTTAGTTTTTTGAATTTGTTCAGACTTGTTTTGTGTGGCCTAAGATATGATCTATTCCAGAGAATGTTCCATGTGCTGATGAAAAAAGTATGTTTTCTTCATCATTTGGGTAAAATGTTTTGTAAATGTCAGGCCTATTAGGTCTAGTGTGTAGTTTAACTCTGATGTTTCTTTGTTGATTTTCTGTCTAGGTAATCTGTCCAGTTAAAAATCCCTACTATTATTGTATGGCAGTCTATCTCTCCCTTTTAGATCTATTAATGTTTGCTTTGTATACTTGGAAGCTCTAGTTTTGGGTGCATAAATATTTATAATTGTTTTATCCTTGGCTGAATTGATCCCTTTATCATTATATAATGACTTTCTTTGTCTCTCTTTACAGTCTTTAATTTGTAGTCTATTTTATCCAACATAAATATAACTACTGCTACTGTTTTCCGATTTCCAGTTTCACAGAATGACTTTTACCACCCCTTCACTTTCAGTTTGTATGCATCTTTATAGGTGAAATGGGTTTCTCGTAGGCAGCATATAGATGGGTCTTGTTTCTTTATCCATTCAGCCACTGTATTCCTTTTAATTGGAGGACTGAGTTCATTCACATTTAGTGTTATTATTCATAAGAAATTACTTAACTACTGCCATTTTGTTGCTTATTTTCAGGTTTTGTAACTCCCCTTTTCCTTTCTTGTTCTTATTGTCCTCCTTTGTGGTTAAGTGATTTTCTCTGGTAGTATGTTTTAATTCATTGTGTCTTTTTTTCTTGATAGCATTACCCTTTATTTAGCAATAGGAATATCCTTTATACAGAACTAGTGATTTCACATGCTTTATTTTCAAAATCAAAATGCTCATCCACATACTTCAGAGGACCATGGGTTCACAATTCATTCTAATGATGGTGTTTTTTCAACTATAGTCCACAATAACCACATATCCCAGTTTTTGTTTCTTTGTCTATGTTTACACACACTTTTGGGTAGCCAAGAGCTCCCCAACCAGTTACACAATATTATCCAACTCTCTACTTCACTCATAGGTTGCTCTGTCATCAAATCAGTGGCAAAGTTTACATTCACCTCTTTCTGACAACCCACAAACTGAATTTTTCTGGAGTCTTTATTATCATCAACCTGGCTGGCATGCATGACCTTCTCTCCAGTTGGCAA
The DNA here is from genome assembly GCF_000001405.40 of Homo sapiens. Lineage (NCBI taxonomy): Eukaryota > Metazoa > Chordata > Mammalia > Primates > Hominidae > Homo > Homo sapiens. The sequence continues at coordinate 135,959,545 of NC_000003.12, forward strand.
GGCCCATACCCCAAAACACCTGGCACCTGAGGGCAGGCTCAACACCACTATGCTGCTCCAGCCCACAGCTGGTAAATCATTGCTGCTGCCATCTTCAATTGCTATTTTTAGTGACTGTATTACAGGTTTTGCATATGGTGGTTATCATGAGGCTTAAAAAAAATCTTATAGATATAACAAGTTATTTTAAAGAGATGACAACTTATATAAAAAATAAAAGAATAGACATTAAGGAAAAATAAAAAATAACTCTACATGTTAACTCCATCCCTCCCACATTTTGACTTTTAGTTGTCTCAATTTACATAGTTTTACATTATGTATCTCTTAACAGCCTGCGGTTAGTTACTATTATTCTTTTTTAATAGATTTGTCTTTGGGGCTTCATACTAGAGTTATGAGTGAATTGCATACTACAATTATAGTATTTAAGTATTCTAGGTTTGTCTGTGTACTTAATTTTACCCAGGGGTTTCATAGCTTCAAATGTTTTCTTTTTGCATATTAGTATTTTTTGTTTCGGATTGAAGAACTCCTTTTAGCATTTCTTGTAAGATGGCTCTAGTGGTGGTGAATTCTCTCAGTTTTTGTTTTTCTGGGAAAGACTTTATCTCTTCTTCACAGTTAAAGGATAACTTTGCTGGATACAGTATTCTTGCATGAAAGGGTTTTTTTCTTTTAGCACTTTGAAAATGTCATTCCATTCCATCTTGGCCTGTATGGTTTGCATTAAGAAGTCTGTTGCCAGACAAACTGGAGTTCCTTTATATGTTATTTGCCTGTTTTCTCTTGCTGCTTTTAGGATCCTCTCTTTGTCCTCGGCCTTTGAGAGTTTGATTACTATATGCTTTGGGGTAGTGTTCTTTGTATTAGATCTGTTTGGTGTTCTCTGATCTTCTTGTACCTCAACATTTATTCTTTCTCATGTTTTGGAAAGTTTTCTATTATTATTTCTTTGGATAAGCTTTCTACCCCTTGTTCAACTCTCTCTTGAACACCAATAATTTTTAGATTTGGTCTTTTGAGGTAAACTTCTGTATCTTGTAGGTGGTCTTCATTTATTTTCATTCTTTTTTCTCTTCTGATTGCATATGTTCACATAGCCTGTCTTCAAGCTGACTGATTCTTCCCCTGCTTGATCCGTTCTGCTCTTGAGGGTCTCTAATGAAATTTTTAGTACAGCAAGTGTATTTCTCACTTCCAAAACATCTATGGGATTGTTTTAATTACTTCAATATTTTTGTTAAATTTCTCTGATAAATTTCTGAAATGGTTTTCTGTGTTATCTTGGAGATCACTGAGTTTCCTTAAAAGTGCTATTTTGGAGGATTTTTTTCTATTTTTGCTTTTTTATATTTTTTTTATTTTTGACACAGGGTCTCGCTCTGTCACCCAGGCTGGAGTGCAGTGGTGCCAGCATAGTTCACTGCAGCCTCGAACTCCTGGACTCAAGTGATCCTCCCACCCCAGCCTCCTGAGTAGCTGGAACTGGAGATGTGCACCATTATACCCAGCTATTGGTTTTTTAATTTTTTATTTGTGGAGATGGAATCTTGCTATGTTGCCCAGGCTGGTCTCAAACTCCTGGCCTCAAGTGAACCTCTTGCTTCAGCCTCACAATGTGCTGAGATTATAGGCATGAGCCACCATGCCCAGCCAAAATTGCTGTTTTGAACTATTGGTCATAGAGGTCACATATTGCCATCTCATTAAAGTCAGTTACTGGTCCCTTGCTTTGCCCATTTGGGGAGTTTGTGGTTCCCTGTTTGCTATTGTTTCTTGTGATGTATATCCATGTCTTTGCACTAAAGGGTAGTTTATTCCAGTCTTCTCTGTCTGACTTGTTTTGGGTTTTATTGAATATATTTGCTTAAAGATTCTTCACTGCTACATTTCTGCCTCCTTTTCAGCTCTAGGTGGTGTCTTAAGCCCAGGTCCACCTCAGCTCTAGTAAATGGAAGGTATCCTGGGATATCCCAGCAATGTGGGAAGGCTGGCTAGGGGTTTGTGCCCAAAGTATCTGCAGAATGTACCTCCTACATCATGTTGCTGCTGAACAGACACTCTGATTTAATGTCTCCTTTGGCTCAGTTACAGAGCAGTTTCCAGTTCTGGGGATGGTAGTTCTGCCTCTCGATTTGCCTTTGCCCATCCTCCGGGATATTTCTCCCTTAAGGGACTTGCAATGTTTCTGTGGGCTAAGACAGGGACAAGTCTCCTGCCAAGGATCCCAAGATGGTGGGGAGCTGGTTGTCCACCGTGATCTCACTTTTTCCAGTGTATAAACTGATTTAGGAGGAAACTTTTTGAATGCTTGGTGCTGGACAGAATAGGGGGAGGGGCATCCTGAACATGGAAGTCATTCTCTTACCATCTGCTTGGAGCTTTTTCACTTCTTTGTGACCCTGCAAACTGTCTCATCCTCATATTTCAGTTTTGGGATATTATTGATGGTAATCTTGGTGTTGTGTATTTGGGTTTGGTCTTCTTTTTCTGGGGAAAAGGGGGAGCCGGCTTGCTTCTATGCTGCCATTTTGGAACCAGAAGTCTCACATTTAATATGACTATTGATATGGTTGGATGTAAGTCTATCGTCTGCTGTACTGGAAATTGGAAGTCTGTTGCACTTCTTAGATCTGTGAGTATATAGTTTTCATAAATTTTGGAAACTTTTGGCTAGTATTTCTTCAGATACTTTTTGTCTTCACTCCTCTCCTTTGGAGATTCCACATATTAGGCCACTTGTAGTTGCTCTTTAGCTCACTGATGCTCTTTTCATTAACATTTCTCTTTCTGTGTGTTTCATTTTGGATAATTTCTATTGATGTGACTAATCTTTTCTTTGGTAATGTCTAATTTGCCATTAATCCAATCTAATGTATTTTTATTCTAGACATTATAGTCTTCAACTATAGAAATACAATTTGTGTCTTTTTTACATCTTCCCTTTTTAATATGTACTTAACTTTTTTGGCATTTGGAATATAGTTATAGTAATTGTGGTTTTGTTTGTTTGTTTGTTTGTTTTTGTTTTTGTTTGAGATGGAGCCACTCTGTTGCCCAGGCTGGAGTGCAGTGGCACGATCTCGGCTCACCACAACCTCTGCCTCCCGGGTTCAAGCGATTCTTCTGCCTTAGCCTCCCAAGTAGCTGGGATTATAGGCGCCTGCCACCATGGCCGGCTAATTTTTTTGTATTTTTTAGTAGAGACGGGGCTTCACCATGTTGGTCAAGCTGGTCTCAAACTCCTGACCTCGGGTAATCCACCCATATTAGCCCCACAAAGCGCTGGGATTACAGGTTTGAGCCACCATGCCCAGCCATAGTAATTGTTTTAATGTCTTTCTCTGCTAATTCTAACATCTGTGATAGTTCTGGTCTATTTTTGATTTGTTGATTTTTCTATTCATTATGGGTTATACTTTTCTAAATTGATCAAGCCTCTAGTAACTATCCTTTATGGGAAATACAAGGTTAGAGGCACATGTTAAAGAACATCACAGCAATCAGCAAAATGCAGAATGTGGGAAACTCCTTATAACAATCTATTTCTTCAATATAAAAGTACAAGGAAAGAAAAAGGTGTAAGACATTTTAACCAAATGCATTGTGAGGAACTTGTTTGGATCATGACTGGAAGAAGTAAACTACATGAAACATTTATGAGAAAATTGGGAAATTTTGAACACTGTCTAGATGTTAATAAATTATTACTTTAAAAGACAATTTAATGATTTTGTGGTTGTTTTTAAAAATAGACCTTATCATTTAGAGATGCATAGTGAAATATTTATGGATGAAATAATAATGCTCCATGTGATTTGCCTTAAAATAATCCAAGGAGGGAAAGAAAAGGTGAGGGTACAGATGGAACAAATTGGTCATGGGATAATTGTTGAAGCCAAGTAATGGGTGCATAGTAGTTAATTATATTATTCTGTCTCTGTTTTCAATATTTGATATTTTTATACTAAAAAAAATTTCAGATGTTTTCTTGTCTAATAAGACTTGCCCTACTCTCTTCCTATACCTCATAGAATTAATTGTGCTCATGACTGCTCCCCTACCGTCATGTAATTTAAACATTTATTTTCAAATCTTTCTCCCTTACTTGGCCATAAGCTCCTTGAGAACAAAGATTGACAGAGTTTCACTCTGATCACCCAGGCTGGAGTGCAATGGAGAGATCTCGGCTCACTGCAACCTCCACCTCCCGGGTTCAAGTGATTCTCCCGCCTCAGCCTTCTGAGTAGCTGGGATTACAGACGCGTGCCACCACGCCTGGCTAATTTTTGTATTTTTAGTAGAGATGGGTTTTCACCATGTTTACCAGGCTGGTCTCAAACTCCTGGCCTCAGGTGATCCACCCTCCTTGGCCTCCCAAAGTGCTGGGATTTCAAGCGTGAGCCACCACGCCCAGCCCCTGTATCTTCTTTATTTTATATCATTTGTATTCCTACCACCTAGTACAGTCTGAGTACTCAATACATTGTGGTGAATTGGCAACTCTCTAGCCCCAATTCACCATGGTCCTCATGACAGAGAGACTAACTCTATTGTATTGAATCAAATTTCCAGTCACGTATTGTGTCCTTTATACATTCAAGTTATAATGTGTATAAATGCATGGCAAAAGGGCCAAAGGAGCCCTAATGTAAAAACATTGGCAATAAAACTGTTGAGACAAACCAAGAATCCAGGTTGCCAGGGTCAGCAGTTTTAACATTGTTTTATGGTACATTGTGTACTTTTCCTTCTTACTGATATGCATTGCACTGTGACCTTTGCAGAGTCCTATCCTGCCCTGCATTTTTCACAGAGTTGCTCTCAGTCTCAAATAAGATACCATATGCATGTGAAAGGGCTTTTGAAATGGAAAAGCAGTAGAAAGTTGAAAGTAAAATGGTCTCTTTCTCTCTAGGGCATCAAGGCATCTCACAGAGCACACTTTAGCTACTGGGAGGATTGACCTTGGGTGAAATTTCAGTATGTAAAGCTTGTTTGGGGTTATCTTACATAATTTTTTCTTTCCTTGTGCTATACACACACACACACATATATGTGCATATATGTACAATGCACATATATACACACACACATATGGCACCTAGTATATGCTTGGTGCTATGCTAGGTGCTGGGGAGACAGTGAGAACAACCCAGGTGCCCAGGACCTGTCCTCACAGCCCACCTAATCCTTTTAAGTCTTTACATACCTCCCATCCCCCACCCCCATGCTCCTTACTCATGGTATTCAACCCAACTGATTGACTTATTTATTGTTATTTATATGCTTATATATTTATAGATTTATCATTTTATCAAGATTTTTACGAAGATACTCAATTGGAGGTTCCTAATTCTGGAGAAATTTCCATTTTACAAATATATTCTTGGAGAGGGCATGATTATGGACCTGTCACATTTGAGTACTGTGGCAGTTAGAAGGAGGGCAATTTTGGGAGGCCCTTCCAGGCTATGTCCTTCCAGCTATTAATGAGGTTCTGTTTCAGAGCAGACCATATTACACGGTGTTATTAATAAATCTGGCGAGTGGTTATAAGGGTGTGTGTATCGGAATAATCCATTAAGCTGTACATTGGTTTTATATGGCTGTCTATATTTGTGTTTTATTTAACAGTAACAGTTAACAATAACAGTTAAAAATAAGTATCACTTCTTTTAAAATTCACACAACTTCTTGGGCTGAGTGAAATGTGGCGCAGGTGCAGGACTGTGGGAAGACAGGAGCGCCAGGGAATGTCTGGCCAGCAGCGCGCTGCCCTCAAGGGGCCTCCTTGAAGGCCCCTTGAAGAGGGCAACACAACTAATGACGATAACAATAACAACGATGACAATATTGACGATGACAATAACAGTAATAAATCCGAGCAAGAGACTCGAATCTGTCAAACAGCAGCGACCACCACGAATCGCATCCCCGCGGCGCCGCCATACAGGAGACTGCCCTCGCCGAGGCCACAGCGGCTCTCGCGGCGCCCCTGGAGGCCCCCTTCCTGCCTTGGCCAGAGGGGCGGGGCGTAGGCTGGGGGCGGGGCCGGAGAGTGGGCGGGGCCTGGCGCGTGGGCGGGGCTCCGGGCGGGCCGGCCGCCGAGGGTGGGGCCGAGGAGGAGGAGGAGGAGGAGGAGAAGGAGGTAGGGGCCTGCGGGTGGCTGGGCGGGGCGCGCTCGGGCCTCCGCTCTTCACGCGCCGCATTCGTAGCCCGAGAGTCCGCGCCGCGGGGAGGCTTGGAGGCAAGCGCTGCCCGCGAGCTGAGCCGCCGGAGGAGGAGCCGCGGGCAACGAGGTAGGCAAAGGAACACTGGCCGCACGGCCTGGAGCCTTCAGCTCCCTCGTCCCGGCCCGAGGGGGTGGCGAGGCTCGGGGCGGCGCGCGGAGGCCGGGGCGGGCGGGGCCGGGACCTGGGGGCGGGGACCGGCCTGGCCAGAGGGGCCACACGGAGCTGATTGGGCTGTGGAAGTCGGAATTCCAGTCGGTGCGGTGCGGTGCGGTGCGTTGCCTCGGCGCGGCCGGCCGGTCCCGGGACACGGCACCAGGGAGGTGTGGAAATTGCCTGCCCCAGGGGCGCCCGCGGAGGAGGGTAGGCGGGGGCGGCCTGGGCCCTCCCACTTTTCAGGGCTCCTGGGCCAGTTCGCCCGCACAGCCCTCGGGAACTTGTTAACAGGAAAGCCTGGCAGAGAAACAAATGCCAGCGTTTTGGAAGAACTGAGAGTCACGTCGTTAGGCGCTGAGGCTTTCTTTTCCTTCCCCGCCCCCTGCCCAACCTCGGCCCGACTTGGCCAAAGAAGGATGTGTCACCAGCTCCGGGCCGCGGACGGGATTCCCGGCCCGCCAGGAGCCGGGGTACCTGAAACAAAGGTAAACGGAGGCCGGGCGGCCCCTGGTCCTGCACCGCGGCCGCGCTGGAGCGCCTCGGTGGGTCTCTCCCGCGCCGACCTGGCCGCCGCCGCCGCGGAGGGGCGTTCTCCTGGGGGACCTCTCGATGGAAACCAGCTGGCCGGGCTTGGAGTTGATGTTGCATCCGAACTCTGTTGTGCTCCCGTTATTCCCAGTCCTCCCACTCTGGTAAAGCTTAAGGAAATTTTATCCAGTCTTGGTGGTCAGCAAATGTAGGGGAAGACAAATTATTGTTTGTAAATTATAAGGTATTTTCTAATTAGGAAATGGCCTGAAAACATTAAATTCTTAACACGTAAGCAAAAAAAGAGTAATTCCTTCCAACATCTGAGGAAGTATTCCTCCTCAAATCTTCATTTATGTACAAAACATCCCCCACACCTTTGGTGCCAGGCATTTTTCTTTGTTCTTCCTTAGTCTCAGGCCTTAGTTTCTTGTAAACAGAACCCAGCGCCTAGACCCTAAGAATTGCCATACTAGGTCAGAGCATGGGCGTCCAGTTCAGTAGGCAGCCGGCTTGTGTTGTAGTAAAACTGTTGTTTTTTTTTCTTGGTGGTATGTTAAAAATTATCTCAGTTTCTTTCAGTAGTCCATGAAAGCCTTTTAAAAATTTTCTAAGCCACTGCTAATTTACACACACAATTTATTTACATTTATTGCATCCAAATGGCCCTTTTATCACCTCTGGCAGAAGAACTTAATGGCATGAGATACTTGTGGAAAAAAACTTAGATCTTTTATACAATCTAGGAGCTCAGAAATCTAGGAGATTTCTAGGAGAACGGGGAAACAGATCAAAAAGGTTTTTAAAAAACAAAGCTTTGGGAAAGTGTTACTGGGGCCAATCTGGCTGTTGAGTTCAAAAATAGCTTTATGCACTGACAACCTGAACATTGAGCAGTTAAAGATTTATTTGTACTCATAAGTATTTGCATATTTTAAAATGTAGCTTAACATTCTGGAGAGTGAAGGGCCTATCTGACTTTATCTTGGGCTGAATTAATTTGGCCTTAATGTTCAGCTGAAACCAGCTACTCTGAGAGAATGGAAGTTTTGTTTCAGCGAGAAAGGAAAAAAGGAAATGAATAATTTTGGAGTATAGGGTACTTGGGGGCACCTGTTCAAATCATAACTTTGCTTTTAAACTCTTCAGAGACTCCTCCTTGCTCCTGACAAACATAGTCCCCACTGATCTGGCCCCTGTTACCTTTCAAACACACAGCTGAAGCTTCACCTCTGCCCTGAAGCTTTGCTTGACACCCCCCATCCCCCAAAAAGAAAACAGATATTTAAAAATCACCACCCTCAGAAGTGCAATTGACAGCTCTTTTGAGTGTTATCGTCCTCTGAGTCAGAGTTTCTCATTTGTAGTTCTGTTGACATTTTAGGCCAGGTAATTTCTAGTTGTGGAGGGCTATCATGTGCAGCGTAGGATGTTTAGCAGCATTTCTAACCTTTACTGAGGAATAGATACCAGTAGCACTCCACACACACAGTTGTGAACATCAAAAATGCTTACAGACATCGCAAATGTCCCCCAGGAGGACCAAAATCACCCTTAGTTAAGAACCACTGTTGTGAGCAGACTGCTGCCTTAACACTAGTGACGCAGCATTGTCCTCATTTGCTTAGGTGTTTACTATACTAAGCTTGAGGGCGGGAACAGTTATTTATTTAACAGATTTCTGAAGGCCTGTTTTGCCAACTGGACACTAGATTAGGTATGGAAATAGATTAGTAAAAACAACTTTGCATGCCTGGACCTTATAGTCTAAGGAGGGTGACAGATGTATACATGCATAAATATACATTTATCTCATTACGATTGTGTTAATTTCTGGGAGAAGTACAGGCAGCTCTGAGTGCATAAAACAGATGTCCTGATGTAGTTTGGAAACTGGGGAAAGTTTCCATGGGGAAGTGACCTTTGAGGTGGACGGTGAAGGATTAACAGGAGTTACTAGGTGAAGCTCACGGGAACAATATTCCGGGCAGAAGGAACAGATGTGAATACCTTGAGGAAGAAAGGAACAGGGCCGCTTTTGGGAACCCAGAAGCCAGGAACACGGAGAGTGATGACACAAAATGAAGCTAGGAAAATAGGCAAAGGCTGTCCACTAAGCAGTGGTTCTCAGTCCAACACTCTCATCAGAACCACCAGAACTTAAGACCGACGCCTGGGCCCTCCTCCAAGCAAATCAGAGCATTTTTGGTGGGTTCTGCTCCCTCCCCCAGCTACCATTTTCCCTGTCTTCCAAAGGAATAACCACTGATACTAGTTTTGTATATCATTGTAGACATTTTTTGTGGGCATTCAAGGAAATGCATATCTTTCCTCTTACTGTTTTACACAAATGGTAGCATACTGTACACTCTGTTTTCTTAAAAATGTCTTGGGAATCTTTCCACTTCAGTATATAGTTTCCTTATTTTTTTGAATGACTGTACAGTATTTCACTGTATGGATATACCATAGATTATTTAACCATTCCCCCACTGACAGACATTTAGATTGTTTCCAGTAATTTACCGTAAACAGTGCTACGAATATGCTGTTTCATATGTGAATAAATATATTTATAGGGTAAATTCCTAGAAATGGAATTGTTGGGTGAAATAAACACACAAACACATATATTTACATAAGTATATATTTATGTAATGCGTGTATATGTGTATATATTTGTAATTATTTGTGATTATAAAATATTCTGGTCATATTAGAATGCTTTGGAAGGAAACAAGATTGAGTGTGGGAGACAGCTGCCCCTAATTAAGGTTACTGTGGATAACATAGGAGAGAAAAGGTGGTGGCTGAGAGAAAAGAATGGTCGTATTGGAGATGGAGAGAAGTACATATATTCATGAGATATATTTAGGAGGCGTAATTGATAGGATTTGGTGGTTGATATGGTACAAGGGTTGAGAGGGAGAAATGAGATCCTAAGATGACTCCCAGGGTTCTAGCTTGCCCAACCAGTGAATGGTGGTGGTGTTACCTGAAGTAAAGAACATTTAAGGATAAATAGTTTTGAGATGAGTTTAAATCACAGTTTACATTGGGACTGCTGAGATTTTCAAGTGAGAGGTCACATAAGCATTTGACAATTCTAATTCAGAGCCAAGAGCAGAGGGCTAAACTGGAGGCACGAATTTTTAGGTGTAAATTAAAGGCTGTGGATGAAATTATCTAGGGCAGTGGTTGCAAAGCAGTAGCCTACAGCTGAATCTGACTCACAGATGTTTTGCCCATACAGTGGTTTTGTTATTGTTTAATTTTGAATTAGTTGCCAATATTTTAAAATCTGAAGATTTCTCATGAAAAATCCAGATTTGGGGTTTCTCTTTAAAAATGAGAAAATGTAGCACTACTGAGTTGGTTTTCCAATATGGCAGCAATAATTGGAGCTAAGTCACAGATGATCGCAGCTCTTCTATTTCACTACAGAGCCCACCACTCCCTAAAATTATGCCTGGCCCACTTTGCTCATTTATTTCTCTGACTGTAGGCTTTTGAGCATGTGATCCCTGGTCTGGGAAGAGAGCATAGAACAGTGTTCTCATCTTGGTTGCACATTGGAATCACTGAATGATTAAAAAATGCTAATGCTGTGGTCCACCTAAGAAATTTCTTTTTCTGTTTACTTGATCTGATTTGCTGCCTTGGACGAATCTGAGGTGATTCCACTTAGCTGTGGAAGTTGAGAACCACTGACAGAGATTAAGAAAAAAGGGCTCAGGCCCAGCATTTTGAAGTTTAGTAGAGGAGGATAGCCCAGGAAGAGAATGAGAAGTGGCCACAGAGGTACAGTGGAATGACGCCTTGCTCAGAATTAAAGTGTGCAAACTTAACTGAATGCGCTCTACCATGTTTTTTATTAAATGAGAGAGAGAAAAGTTTTATTTACTTGTATACAGGTGTGCGATATTTAACGGGCCATTTAAAGGATTTTCAAGAGTAATTTAAACAATATTTGGTTTTTGTCTTAGCTGTTTCCTTCACAATCTAATTCTAGTTTAAGATGCATCATAAAAGGTGAGAGAAGAATGTTTCAAATAGAGAGGTGTCATCAAGTAAAGATGTGGAACAAAAATGATCTGTTGAATTTAGCAAGATGGAGTCTTTGACCTCAGCAAGAACCATTTTAGATTGGAAGAGGCAGAAACCAAAATGAAGTGGGTAAAAAGTAAGGAAATGGGAGTGGCAAGTGTTGGAAATTCCTTTGAGAAGCTTGCCCAAAAAGAGGAAGTGGTGAGGGAGGATGAGGTGTCTTACATGCCTACAATGTAGGTGTTAGTCTGTTGGTTACTCAAACATTTCTCCTAACTTTTTAGGGATGTAGGTCAATGGTGTCTGATTACCCCTCTCCCACGTTCTTAGGGGTCTTGTTTTGGAGACTACTTTTTACTGAGAAGAAATTTTGCCAGGACTGTTGAAGGGGCTGACTCAGATGTTGGTGATTAGGCCACAAGTTTCTTTCTCAACTGGAAAGCTGTAGAGCTCCTAAAGGCCAGTGGTGATCTGGGCTCCAGTGACCCTGACATCATCCTCCCATTGAGCTGATGAACAAAGACTATATTGTTGGTATGCTGAAAATGGAATACTTGGCTATGTTAGGGAATGTGTATCTAACTGTGAGATTCCCAGGAATAGTTTTTGCAGCTGTATTTTTTCCAATTAACTTGATATTATAGCTTAATTTTCCAGTTGCATGCATGTAAAAACTCTCATACTTTGAAGTATTTATCATTGATGGTACCTGAGGGATATGGATGTAAGTTGGAGATGTAGGCCCTCATTGAGCTCAGAAAGAAGAAAGCACTGAGCAAACTGGTTTCCAAAAAGTTGTGTGAAGGCTTCTACCTCGAAGACTTGGTGTTAGAGTGACTATTTAGGATGGGTTGTAATGCAAATGGTCACAACCAGTTTGTCTTTTATCCATTTCTGCCACATTGGCAACCTTAACCTAGCAGAGAGGCTTTTAAGGTCAATTTTGTGCTTCATATTTCTAAGAGTTGTAGCCTGCCAACAGAACAGAAAATATAAGGGGTGGAAAATGCCAAGAATTATTGGTTAAGAATGGTTTTGATTAATTGAAGGCATAAACCTCATTGCTATACTCTTGAAAACAGGAATATCATCTTGTGAGGGACCAGACTTCATAGCTGTCATTGGTTTATCAGTTAGGTGGATGATGGTTAACTTCTGTATAAAGGATGACTTTGTGACATGAAAGCAGACCTTGGTCCAAGATGGTTTGTAATGTGAGTCCATTATAAGAAAATATCTTATTTAGAAACTTGTGTATGCTTGGACAGCTGTGGGAATTCCATCATCACAAATATGGTTAGGTACTATGCCTGGCTGGCAGTATATAGAGGCAAAAGTCCATTACCAAGGTGGTCCAGAGCTCCTTTGGTTTGTGGAGGAAACAGGATAGCTGAGTGGGGAGAGGACTTGGAGTCAGTTCCTGAGTATAGTTCCTGGATTTGTCAAGGGTGAACTGTGTGATTTTTTTTAATTGAGGTAAAATTAACCATTTTAAAGTGTACAAATCAGTTACTTCAGTATGTACATTCACAATGTTGTGCAGCCATCACCGCTAATTCTGGAACATTTTCATCACCCCAAAAGGAAACCCTGTACCCATTAAGCAGTCACTCGCCATTCCCCTTTACCCCTACCGTCTGGCACCCGCCAATTTGCTTTCTGTCTATATGGATTTGCCTGTTCTGAAGATTTCATATAAATGGAATCATACAATATGTAACCTTTTGTGCCTGGCTTCTTTCATTCAGCACAATGTATACGAGGTTCACTCAGGTTGTAGCATGTATCAGTACTTCATTCTTTCTTTGGCTGAATAATACTCCATTGTATGGATATACTACGTTTTGTTTATCAGTTGACATTTAGATTGTTTACACCTTTTGGCTCTTATAAATAGTATTGCTAAGAGCATTCTTCTACAAGTTTTTGTTTAAATACCTGTTTTCAATTCTTTTGTGCATGTATCTAGGAATAGAATTGCTGGATTATGAAATAATTCTATGTTTAAAAAGTTTTTGAGGAACTCCCAGACTGTTTTCCACAGATGCTGCACACTTTTACATTTTTTCCAGCAATTTTTGAGAATTCTAGTTTCTCCACCTCCTCGCCAGCACTTTTGTTTTCTGGTTATAGCCATCCTAGTGGGTGTGAAGTGGTGCCTCATTGTGATTTTTATTTGTATTTCCCTAATGACTACTGACGTTGAGCATCTTTTCATGTGTTGGCCATTTGTGTATCTTTGGAGAAATGTCTGTTCAAGTCTTTTATCAATTTTTTAATTGGATTGTCTTTTGGTTGTTGAGTTTAAGAGTTCTTTACATATGTAAATATGGATACAAATCAGGTTTATGATTTGCAAATATTTCCTGTCTTACTGTGTGCTGTTTTTTCACTTTCTTGTTAGTGTTCTTTGCACAGAAGTTTTTAATTCGTGTGAAGTTGAATTTGTTTTTTCTTTGATTGTGTATGCTTTTGGCATTATATCTGACAATCTATCACCAAATCCAAGGTCCTGCCAGTTTACTCCTGTGTTTTCTTCTGGCAATATATAGTTTTAGTTCTTAACATTTAGCTATTTGGTGGATTTTGAGTTAATTATTGTATGTGAGGTAAGGATTCAACTTCATTCTTTTGCATGTGAATATCCAGTTATCCCAGCATAATTTGTTGAAAGAGCTGTGTGATTTATGCAAGTCTGAGACTCTTATTTGTAAAATGAAAGTGATAAAAACACTTGCCTCACAAAGTTGTTGTAAGATTAAATAGGAGAGGATATATGTATTACCACTTTGAAAAGTATATATCATTAAACAAATACTCATGATTATTATTGGCATGCCACATAGAGCTTTCATTTGGTCAAGGCCGCATAGATTGATGTCCTTCAGGGACCACCACACATCTTCCCTCTTAGTGCATAGTGAATCACGACGTAACTAAAGGACTGTGATCCATGTTGTATCCCTAGGTCCAAAGTCACAGGGCCCCAGATGCAAGAGGTAGTTGGAGAGATTGCAGCTATCCAGAATTGAAAGTATATTTTCTTGTAGGGCATGTGTTTGTTGAATTCTGTTGCTATTCCTCATATTGAGGAATGTCTATTCTAGGTGTTTAAAGGCCCTAAAGAGTTTTCAGGCATAGTAGGAAATTAAAAGGCAGTTTCTTCTTATTGGACCAAGAATCCTCATGTTTCACTCTATCAGCTTTTAAACTTCCAGAACTAAGACTGTTTAAATGGCTAGTGATCTCACTTAGTTCAGTCAACAAATACTTACTAATTTATCACTATGTGCCAGGCACTGTTCTAGATACCGGAGATATAGTGCCTTTTAATATAAGACCAAACTCTCTTGACTTTGCATTCCCCTCTCAATTTGTTTTCTACAGTTATCTAACTCACTGACTCCAGTTCCTTTTCCACCAGTCTCTCTTGAGTCCACATTAATCAGGCCCCTTCCCCCACTGAAGCACTCTTGTCAAGCTCACCACTGACCTTCATGTTGCTAGCTCTAGTGAATCAGTTCTCAGTCTTCCTCTTACTTGACCTTTCAGCAGCATTTTACACAGTTGATTATTCCTCTTTCTTTGAAACGCGTCCTTCATTTAGCTTTGCTGCATTCTCTGCATTTCCCTCTCACCTTATTGGAGGTTTAGTCTTTTTGCTAGTTCCTCATGATCTTCCTGACGCCTAAAAGTTGGAGCATTACATGGCTCATTAATACTCCATTCTTCCTTATTGACTCTTATTTCCTTGGCATTTCAGTCAGTCTCATGACTTTAAATACCATCTATACACCAACAACTACATGCTGACTACCAAATGTATATCTCCAAGTTAGGAAGGAAATAACTGCAGTAACGTCTTTTCCTTGCTTATGTCCTTCTCTGACGGCCTATTCCCAACTCAGCAGCCGGAGGAATCTTGTTAAAAGTAAGTTATCCACTCAGAGGCTTTACACTTTCCTACAAGGCCCCTACATAATCTGAACTCCTCTTTGTCTTTCTGACCTCATCTGTTACTGCTCTTCCCTGTGCTTGCTTTGTCCCAGTCAAAAAGGGGACTTTTTTCTTCTTCCAACAAGCCAGGTATGTTCCTTCCACAGGACCTTTGTTTCTCCTAGTAAAGCTTCCTCCCTCGTTCTCTGTCTCCCTTCCCTTTCAAACTCTGCTTCTCAGCACTTTGGGGTAAAAGGGAGGGGTATCCTCCCACCCCAACCCCCTAGACTGAGCACTAAGGCTATCCCCTTCCTCTTGTTTGTTTATTCATCTTACACTTTCATTTGAACAGAGTTCCTCCAGTTGAAAAAGCAGCTTGAAAACTGCTTCTCTGTGAGATTAGAAATAAAAAGCAGAGATTAGTGGTTGTGAATGGAAATGTCATTAAGGGCTTAGGAATCCTAGCAAGGGCCACTTATCCCTTCCATTTTGTAGATCGTAGGCATATTTCCTATTTTACAGCCTTGGGGATTGGGCCCCAGAATACTGCTGTTGTGAGTACTGATGTGCTCCTACCAATGCCAAGTCTTCCATCAAGCACTGTGGCCCAGCTGTTAGCATTTTGTCTTCTCTCAACATGATACATCTTGGCAGTCTTGGTATTCTTCTAGTAGAAGGTTGAGACCCCTTTCCCATGGTGGGCCCTCAATGAGTGGAGGCTCACTGGGTGCTGGCAGCAGTATTGAGATCCAAGTATTAAAGGCAATTGAGGGTTCTGTGTAATGAAGAGTGTGTTGATTCTACTGAGAAATGCCCCAGGCCTTAAAAGGGCAAACAGGCCACATCTAGTGACAGTCTATCTAGATAGCAAGTTTAGACACTTCATCAGGGGCAGTGTTTCTCAGCCTTTGTCTGCAAACCTACAGGCCTTTATGTGGGCCCTCTGGTGGGTTCATGTTATTAAAATCTGGAATGGTGTCTGTTCTGATTTGTTGTTTTAGAAGAAAAGGTATTATTTCTAAGAATTTTAGCCAAACAAGTATTATATAAATACAGTCTCTTTGCTTTCCTTTTCCTAGATGAGCTGATTTCCTAGATAATAAACAAGTAGATAAATTAATATAATTTCAGATAGTAGTAATAGTGCTATGAAGAAAATAAAGTGGAGGGCTTTTCCCCTGATGCTGAACACTTGGGTTGTTTCCAATTTTTCCGTGTTTTAAACATTACTGCAATGAACATCCTGGTACTTGGGCAAATGTGTGAATGTTTATATTGCATAGATTCTGAAAGGTGGAATTGCTGAGTCATATAATCATATAGCTAAAATTTTAATTAAAAACTGCCAAATTGGTCCCCAAGTTATCTGTACTAATATTACATATATAAGATATATATAATCTAATTAAAAGCACTGATAATATTGAATACGTTCTCTTTGTAAGAGTAATTAACATACTGTTAGGCTAAAAATCTTCATACCCTCACCAATTTGTGAATTTTTGCCTCTCTTAAAAGTTGTACAAAATGGTATCTCCTTGTTTTAATTTTTATTTCCTTGGGGCTGAATATCTTCTCTAAAGTTTTTGATTATTTGTATTTATTTTTCTGTCTGTTGGGTTGCATAGCAGAGACTGCTGGTTACATCCTGTGATCCATTCTTCTTTCATCTTTAGTAATAGGAACCCCAGCTTTTACCCAGGCCCATTGTTGCCCATGTAGAACACTTGACCTCCTTGGAGCTAAGTATAACTGTAAGTTTCGGCTAGTGATATATAAGCAGCAAAGGTTAAATGTGACTCTCTGAAGTCTCCTTAAAGGGAGAAAGCACTCCTTTCTTCATCCCTTCATGTGTCTTATATGTTGGAACACAGATGTAATGACTGGAGCACTAGTGGCCATCATAAACCATCAGGACCGTCATGGTAGGTCAGTGAGCCAAAAAGGCTGGCTCTCTTGAGCATTTGGCAGAGTTGCTGCACTAAGAGGGAAGACTTTCTTTAGCATGAGAAGGAAATTTAACTTGTATTTTGTTTAAGCACTCATATTGCATTTTTCTAGAATACACAACATAACAGGTGCTTGCCTTTTCTTGTTTATTTATGTTGTAGATAAATAAACTTAAATAAATAAACTCTAGGTAAATAAACTCTACATACTCATCCTTTATTATAAAAATGGCATATTTCCTCCAATCTGTTGGAGTCCTCTCCCTTTGTGGTATCTTTTGTTAAATAGTAGTTTTTAATTTTGATGGCAAATTTCCCTATCTTTGCCTTATATGGCGTTTGATTTTACTTAACTTTAATACTTCTTTTCTGCCCCAAAGATACACATAAAATCTTACTTTTTAATACTATTTTTAAAATTTAGATATTTAAGTTCATCTGAAATTTATTTTTGTGAATAGTGTGAGGGAAGAATCTTGTTCAGTTGGCCATTCATTTAGAATAATAATTTTAATAGGTGGCATGTCAAATTATCAATTACTAAATTCTCATATGTGCATAAGTTGGTTTTAGGACTGTGTTTGGTCCCATTGATCTTTGTTTCTACACCATTAATACATTTCAAATTGCAGTAGTTTTATAATATTTTTTCTTGGTAAGGCAAGGTCCTCCTCCATTCTATTTAAAAAATGAAATATATTTAAAATTAAATATTAAATAGCTATAGTAGAATATTTGTAAAACATATATATAAGGTGTAAAGCATAGCAATACAATGAACACTTGTTACCACTCAATGTTAAGGAAAAAACATTACCATTCCCTTTGTCCTCCCACTCCAAAGTTGTCTTGACTCTTCTGGCACATTTTCTAATTGATGTGAAATTTTAGAATTAGATTATAAATTGCTCTTAGAATCAATTTATATCATTGACATTAATAATAGTTCTGTGTCAATAAAATATTTAAATATTTTTCCACTTAAAGATAACAGTTTGAGTGGTGTGATGCAAACATACAGTCGTTAGAAGATATTGCTTGAATGTGGTCATGATCTGTAATCATTGTTTATTGTCTGCTTTGTTGGTTTTTAACCATTACACTGTTTTTAATTGTTTTTAGTTGCATTTGTGGTTTTATTTGTACTCATAATGGACTGTTGGTTAAAGATGGAGCATGTGTGCAACACGTGTCAAAATATAAGTTAAAGAGCATAAAAAATATAATTGTGCTAAATTATTTTAAGATGCTCTTTATTAAATACATAAGTTGCATTCATCTGATCAGCATTCTTTTTTTTTTTTTTTTTTTTTTTTTTTTGAGATAAGAGTCTCACTGTGTTGCCCAGGCTGGAGTACAGTGGTGCAATCTCAGCTCACTGCGACCTCCGCTTCCCGGGCTCAAGCGATTCTCCAGCCTCGGTCTCCCGAGTAGCTGTGACTATAGGTGTGAGCCACCACTGCCCGGCTAATATTTGTGTTTTTGTAGAGACAGGGTTTCACCATGTTGCCCAGGCTGGTCTTGAACTCCTAAGCTAAAAGCTATCCGCCTGCCTCAGCCTCCCAAAGTGCCAGGATTACAGGTGTGAGCCACCACACCTGGCTGATCAGCATTCTTATAAAACATCAAGATATATCTAATATTTTTAAAACTGTATGATTAAAGGAAGCCAGGTGAAGGGTGTTTCTGTACTCTTTGCAACTTTTCTAGAAATGTAGAGTTATTTCAAAATAAAAAGTTTAAAAAAATCATTATAAAGTTAGAAACATCAGCCAAGCATGCCTTATATTTAAAGTTATACATTTATTTACATATGCATGTAATTGGCATTTATTATTTCCTATTCTTAAGCCTGTTCTAGAGAAAATAATTTCAGGTTGGTTCACCAAATACAAATAGTAAGGTAAAGGTACTCTGTTGAATCTCATGAAAGATAGCATAGGCCTAATCAAATTAAGAGGCTTTAATTTCTAAAATGAATTGTCAATTGAAAGACCCAATGTGGTATTAAATAATTAGGAAGTGGATTTCTTGAAAAATAATTCATTTTCACCTTTGTATATGATTGGTGTTGTGGACAACTGGATTTTTTTTTTTTGTAATTGTACCCTTTAGATAGTTAAAATTCTAAAAAGGAAAGGTTTAAACACTTGAAAATGTGAAGAAGAAAAAATATGGGTGATTCTATCCAGTTTGGCTTTTCATTTATTGGTAATAAAAATCTACAATGTGTTACAAAGAAATTCTCTCAAAGAGCAGTGTGAAACCATTTCTTCTACCTTGACATTTAAAAACTAAACCCCCAAATTATCAAAATAAGCAGCTGATCTTTATAAGCTCGAAAATGTAAGTATCAGGTTATAGATGCAGTTTGTTATTTTGGATGCTATAATACAAATTAATTTTTAATCTACATTTCAATATACATTTGGTGCTAAGTCCATCTTCTCATCAACCTGTGATTTTCTTTACATGACAAAATAGTTCATCTACTCTGAATGGAAGTTAAAATTTTTCCTTAAATATTATCAGTATTAAAGATTATGCCACAGAAACTTTGTAATACAATCTTTAATGATACGCTGATTTAAGATAAAATATTTTTACCTGAAATTGCTTTATCATATGTCATAAAATTTTTGTAAATGATTTTAAAAATTTCTAAGGAAGTTTGCAGTATTACTTTTAAAATATTTATTTGGCCAGGCGTGGTGGCTCATGCCTGTAATCCCAGCACTTTGGGAGGCTGAGGCAGGTGGATCACCTGAGGTTAGGAGTTCAAGACCAGCCTGGCCAACATGGTGAAACCCCGTCTCTACTAAAAATACGAAAATTAGCCGGGTGTGATGGCACACACCTGCAATCCCAGCTACTCAGGAGGCTGAGGTAGAAGAATCACTTGAACTCAGGAGGCGGAGGTTGCGGTGAGCCGAGATTGCGCCACTGCTCTCCAGTGACAGAAGGAGACTCCATCTCAAAAAAAAAAAAAGATTTATTTGTCAAATAAAAGGTTGAGAAACATTGATCTGCATTAAAGGCCTGACCACTGAAATTGTACTGATTGATGTCCGATTGGATCTGGATTCAGATTGGCCAGCCTGGAAAAGACATACCGTCATCAGAGTGTGGGAACACGATGTGTCATATGATGGGTCCCTTTAACTGAAGTACACAGCGTTGCTGCTCATTTTAAAAGGCTAACAAGTTTCCCCTCTCAATCCATGTTGTTGCTTTGGTTGTAAAAGTGGGCACATGGGCACATGTATTGCTCATCCTGCCATCATTATAATAAAAGATCAGAATGTCCAAAACATACTGGGCAGACAAAAAAAAAATATGGTAAGTATCCATTACATATGATAAGGGTTTTTTGGCTACAGATTAAATGAAGAGAGACACCAAGAGAGGGAAGGAGGCAGAGTATTATGATAGCAAGAGCTGAAAGAAAAATAGATGATCAATGAAGATGTATATTTGCATGTTGTAGAAATTGATTGGTTTTAAGGAATAAACATCCATTTAAGTAAATCCACTGTAAGTAAAATATTGTTTATAGTTAAAATACTCAGGGAACACGTTAGTTCATTCCAATTTTAGTAAGTACAGCCGCCATCATGGAAAATGAACATGCTTCTCTTTCTGTATTATGTCTACTCTGTTTTCTTAACACCAGTGTCTCCTGCCATGTTGCTCATCATGAATGCCCCGAAAGAGTGGCCTCAGGCACAAAATGATAGGACCTTTGAGACTCAGAGCTCTCAGCTAATTGACAGCATTTCAGTGCTTCAATTCAAAGTCCCCAGGACAGAAAATATAATTGGTCTACCTTGAGTTAGTGTCCCAACCAAATTTTCCAGAGATTGGAAAGCATGTGACACATAGTTTCCCCATCTTGCCTGTGAACAAGGCAGGTCTCTAAGAAGTGGGTATAAGTCAAGAGGAAATGAACGAAATATCTTGCTCAGTACATAAGACAGAAGACTTGTTTGAAAAGGAGTTAATTGCTGCCCCAAGCCTTGGGGGATTAAAAAAAGGAGCATAAAATGTTCCAAAAAAAAAAAAAGTTGGTAAGTGTATAATAGAAAAGGAAGGTTAAATTAGTTTATAACATGAACTACTTTTGCACTGGGCAGCTTTATTGCCCCAATAAAATTTATAGATGATTCCCACCCAACAGGAACGAGGGACTTTAGGAGGTGAGGTGAAGTAGATGACTGGAACTTTAAGTATATAACCAAAAATTTCCATAAGGTGTATAGACTCCTATACATTGGTATAGACCATCTTGGCCAAAATCTGTTTCCCTTAAGAGCCAGTTGCCATCATGATAAAGCCTGTTTAGGCTGATGCCTAATCAATCTGGTGATTTCCATGAAGTTCCACTCAGTTCAGCTAGCTTGGTAACCACTGATGTTCAAGTGTCTTAGTTTTCCCACACCCACGTAGTGGAGTTTGGTTTGTCTTGAGCTGTTCTTGCATAGCACAGATGAGTGGTAGCGGGGCATTTACAAGGAGGAGCACCACCAGGTGTAGGTGTACTGAATGACAGTGGTAACATCAGAAGCTCTTAATGGTTTCCAGTCATCAGTACATGTATGTCACTTTGCCTAAAGGAGCAAGGCCTGGTTGACAGAATGTCCTAAAATGTTTGGATAACCAGATGCCTATGCAGGAATGTGTTCTCTGGGGATTTGGACATAAGCTCTTTAAGTTTGGTGATCATGGTGATGTGGGTCCACCTTACTGGTGAGCCAGACGACTATTCAGTAATTAGACTTTTGTAAAGTAACTTGCTTAGCTGTAGTAGATTCATAATTGAGCATCTTGTTGGCGGTGTTTCTTGGTTTGTATGTTGGGGAGTTGTGCTGGGTCTTGGAGCTGTAGCAGATTGTCTTCTCTACTTTGCCTCTCTGTATTAGAGGATTTGGGATGGGGGCCAGGGGTGCTGGTCTTAGGTTCAAAGAAAATGCTATATTTTTTCATCAGTTAAAATGCCAAATGAAGCTGAACAACTCTCAGAAATGGTCAGTAAGGCCACTTTATCCTAGATGGAGCCAGTTAGCCCTTCCTTAAAACTGATTACAAAAAGTGACCTTTTTTTCTAGTCCAGGTCTTGGCCAAGGAAACAGAAGTGGTGGTATATTAGCAATTTGCCTTCCTCCTTTCTTCCTTCTCTTCCTTCATTGAGTACTTATATATACTAGGCACTGTTTTAGTGTTAGGATGCAGTGGTGACCACAGCAAACAAAATCCTTGCCTTTGGAGTGTACATTCTATTGCAGGGATAAAGACAGTAAACGTGTAAACAGTAAATAAAGCCAAGAACTCATAAGTTTTATGAAGACATTAAACTACATAATAGGGCAGAGAGTAATGAGAAGGGGCCAGGGTCGAGGGAGAGGAAGAGGCCATTTGAAGAAAGGAAGGCCAAGGGAGAATAGTACAAGATGAGGTCAGGGAGGTGGTTAGCAGACTGAGCTATTAAAGGCCATGGGAGAGGAGTTTAGACTTTGTTCAAAATGCATTTAAACAGGAAAGCAATTCACTCTGATTTGTATTACTCTGGTAGTGCTGCTTGCAGAATGACTGGAGTTTGGAGAGGCAAGAGTGGAAGCAGGGAGACCAGTTAGAAGTCCATGACAGTACTTCAGGTGAGAGAAGATGATGGTTAGGATCGTGATTCTAACAGTGGAAATTAAAAGTGGTCAAAATTAAGAGATATTTTTGAGATAGGGTTGACAGGTCTTACTGAATGAGTTTATATCCTGGGTCTGGGCTGCACATGTGGCAGTTGGCCATTCCACTTTTATGAACTTGCAAACAAGTTCATAGCAAGACATCTGTAAAAAGTTCTGTTTCACAATAATGTACTCCAGTTGTGCATCTACTGGGTCATCGGGTTCTTTGTCTATATAATGGGTAATTAATAACAAACTCTTGTTGGGCCTCATCTGCAAAATACAGGGATTCCTGCAGTCCCACATGTAGGATGTCCGCTGAATGAAGAACTTTGGAAGTGTCTCAGGTTCTCATTATACCCTTCAGGGCACTTGAGGCTGAATGGCGGTCAAAGGTTGGTGAAGCAGGGTGGGTTGCTGTCCTGACCCTAGAGTTGGACCTGTCAGCTCAGCCTCACATACCACATATATGACCAGGAAATAAAAAACAAATAATGAACAACCTTGCTGGCTCTCTTACAGCAGATGAGTCTATTTATTCTCAACCCTCCCACTCTCAAATTCCTGACTCTGTGGTCAACCTCTGTACCCCTTCTGGTCTTTTGGTTTGGACTCCCCTTTGGATTCTTGAAGTTGAACCTTGCTCTCAGTTCTGCTTTCCCATCTGATCTCAGTATCATCTTCCCCAACTCCAGCCACCCCTGCAACACATGCATACACACACACCTTTCATAATATTGAATGAAAAATTTCCTGCCGAAATTATGGCCACAGAACCCCACTAGAGGTGGTAATTCAGGCTTGTGTCCTATGGGTGATTTTGCTTAGTTAGGTGGTACTATTGAGCCCACAGGATCATAACTTTTTACCTGCATTTGTCTTACAGACAGATGAGTACTTCATGCACTCTTCCAATTGGCAAGCTTAGTGCAAAAATGAACTAATAACGTTAGATGTGATAAGTTTATAGTCTTGCTTGGTTAAATAGAGGGCATCAGTGGGGTCAAGAAATAGGATTCCAAAGCCATATCCAGGGCAGGAGCTAAGCAATGGGTTCTGTCAAGGGACACGTGAGGACTGTGAAGGATCAGCTCAAAGTAATCTGCATTTTCTTCTTACAGATATTTCCACTGGGCTTTTGCCCCATTTCTCTACCCAAGTTTAGTTTTGGGGTGTGCTTCACAGAATCTGACCGTTTATCCATTAAGAAAATATTATTGAATTTATATTTTATGCTGTGCACTGGCTATGTGGTGGGGATATGAGGATGAGTAAATTGTGATGGCTTTCTGACTCATCTGCGTCTGCTTCCCTGATTCATCACACTGCCACCTGAATCCCATCATCCCCCTTCCTGAAAAACTATAACAGTGTTATAAATGCTTAATACTAAAAAGACAAGACTTTGCAAATAAGTGGAAATTACTTCAAAATGTTTCTTCTTTTCAGTGCATTTTTGCTTTTCTATTTATATGTTTCCTCTAAATCAAATCCTACGTTTTACTCTTCTGTTAAGTTTCTTTAAATTGCTTTGTCTTGCCCTGATATTTGTGTTCTTCCACATTTAGAGCCTTCTGCATCTTCTATTTGCCTCTTGTTGATTTAATCTCACAGGTCATTTTTTAAGTCAGGCTTTATGCTTAGCCTTATGGCATGTTTTGTATGTAATTCTATTTCTGGATATGATGCCATTTGTGAACATGCTTTTAATTATGTCCTAGTCAGTTACATTATTGAACAAGCTCATTGTTTTAAGTATACTTACAAAGTTTGACAACAAACTTATAGCCTGAAGTTCAGAGAGAGGTAGCACTTAACATTATTCATTGGTTTTTAAGAGTCACCTGTAAATTTTACTCCATTAACTTTATCTGTTATGACTTTTTTTATAGCTATTTTATGTGTCACAGTTTATTAGTTTTCAAACTTTTTGAAAAACAAAATTGGAGTTTAACAGAAATCCACCTTTTTGTTCATCCTATCCAGGTTACTATAACAACTTCAGTGTTGTATAGATTTTCCCTCCCTCCTTCCCCTTCTAACTACCCTTCCTTTCCCTTCCTTCTCTTTCCTTCTTTTATTTCCTAATTTGAGAGTTCCTTCCCTAGAAGTTGAGAAATCTGGAATTGTAGCAGGGATTTAGGAACTGACTACCCCAGCTCCTTTAGCCTTAATATAGACATAGTATATGACAAAAGAGCTTTGATCTTACAGAAACCTGGACTCAAATCACAGTTCTACTTTCTGAGTATGTAACATGCGTAAATTTTTTTCTTCTGTAAGCCTCAGTTTCCTCATCTGTGAAATAGAGATAACACTTCAATGTTGACATAAGAATTAAATTAGATGATGCATTTAAATACTCAGCACAATCCTAGTAATATGGTTTGGCTTTGTGTCCCAACCAAATCTCACTTCGAATTGTAATCCCCAAGTGTTGAGGGAGGGACCTGCTGGGAGGTAATTGGATCATGGGGGCAGTTTCCCCCATGCCGTTCTCGCGATAGTATGTCCTCACAAGATCTGATGGTTTTATAAGGGGCTCTTCCTGCTTTGCTTCCTCTGTTTCCTGCTGCCATGTAAGATGTGCCTGTTTCCCCTTCCACCATGATTGTAAGTGTCCTGAGGCTTTCTCAACCATGCAGAACTGTGAGTCAGTTAAACCTCTGTGTTAGTCCATTTTCACGCTGCTGATAAAAACATATCCAAGACGGGGCAATTTACAAAAGAAAGAGGTTTTATTGGACTTACAGTCCACATGGCTGGGGAGGCCTCACAATCATGGCAGAAGGCAAGGAGGAGCAAGTCACATCTTTCGTGGATGGTGCCAGGCACCACCACGAGAGTTTGTGCAGAGAAACTCCCATTTTTAAAACCATCAGATCTCATGAGACCCATTCACTGTCACGAGAACAGGACAGGAAAGACCTGCCCCCATGATTCAATCATCTTCCACCATCTCCCTCCCGCAACATGTGGGAATTATGGGAGCTACAATATGAGATTTGGGTGGGGACACAAGGCCAAACCATATCAACCTCTTTCCTTTATAAATTACCCAGTCTCAGGTATTTCTTTATAGCAGTGTGAAAATGGACTAATACACCTAGCATGTATAAGTACTTTAAAATGATGATGTAATAATATTAATCTTCTCTTTGAAAGCCCAGTACAAGAAGGGTCAGCATAGCAGCACACCTCCGTCTCTAACCCAGTCCTGCTCACTTTGTCTCTCTCTCTCTCCCCCTTTCCCTTTCTCTCTCTCTCTCTCTCTCCCCGCCCTCTTTCCCTCTCTCCCTTCCTCTCTCCCTCTCTCCCTCTCTCCCTCTCTCTCTCGCTCTCTCTGTCTCTCTCTCTCCCTCTCTCTCACACACACATACTCTTCCCTACCTAAGGAATACAAGCCCAAGATTAGAGGATGCATGCCAAGTTCCCTCCTCCTTGCTGTTTATCTGTTGATGAAGGTAGCATGAATTTCTGCAGAGAGTAGTCTTACACCTAATGTATAACCGTTCCTTTGACCCTGCCAGTGGAGGCATACAGACGGATTGTCTTACTTGGAACTCACCAGTAAACTTTTTGGCAAATGATGCATCTCCAGATGTATGGTTATTAAGATGTACTCTTAGATGTTCTAAAGGCTTAGGATGTGACCATGGGATAAAGTGACTGAGACAGGGTAGAGAACAAGATCAGCATGATTAATGTTGTGGGAAAAAAAGATCAAGAAACTAAGGACAGAATATCAGATGAATTATTTGTTTGGATGCTAAAATCAGTAAGACTTATGACAGAAATAGTGTTGGAGTGACAGCCAGGAACTAAAATCAAGGAATGAAAGGGAATGACTTTGGGGAGCCATAAATGACTGCAATAAGGAACGATAGTAGGCAGTAGAGTCTGATGGTATGTAACTCAGAGCAGAGGATTTTTGGAGAGCACACAGGGAGAATGATCTGGAAGCAGCGGTGAGGAACAAGAAAGGCAGTTACCAGGACTCATATTTTGAGGAGTATGGAAGAGAAAAAGAGTCATCATCTAAAAGGGATACAGGGAAAGCAGCGTTCTCAGGGGAGAGTTCAGTTTCCATTTAAATATGAAGGTAAAGGAAGTTGAAGAAAGCTGTAGAGGTCAAGAATATGAGGATTTTGCTGATAACTGCTCATGAGTCCCACAGGGCTCAGCGGAAGGGTTAAGTTTTCAGGAGGTAGAAGGGGTAGAGGCTTAGATTTCATCATCAGTCACCATCATCTCTCCCTTGCATACATCCTCAATTCCTCTGACCCTCTTTCACTTCAGCAACCTTGCCTGGCTAACCCACAGAGCCAGTTAAATCCAGTTCTTTGCCTATTCTATGCCTGTAAAACCATGCTGCTGAACTTGACATATTAATTATCATATCCTCAAGTGGACCCTTAATGTTACCTGGCTATTATACTAGATTTCTCCAGCCATTTTCTGTCAGTTTCATCTCCTATTTGATGACTATTTCTTCAGTCTCCTTCATGTTGGATACCTCCTCCCCACTCTTCGCTCTCAACTGATGGCTTGCTTCCTATTTCACCAAGAAACTGAGTCAGGAAGGAGCTTTATCACCACAGCTACCCACTACCCGCAGTAGTATCCATATACTCTGCTTTCTTTCCTGTTAGTGTGAAAGAACTACCCTAAGTGCTTTATAATTCTTTCTGTTGTGTCATCAGCTTTCCTTTCTTCTGAACCATTCTCTTGTGCATGAACATATGCTTTTATTTCTTCCATGTTAAAAACAATCCTTCTTGACTCCACTTTCCACTCTAACTTTTGCCTTATTTAATGTAAACATCGTAGTAAAACTTATTTAAAGAGTTATTTATGTTCTGTTGCTTATTTTTCACTTCCCATTCTTTTTTTAACTAAAGCCAGTCAGACTTCTTCCCCCATAATTCCAATAAAACTGCTCTTTTCGGTTATCAGTGATGTCCACATCTGTCATTTCTCAACACCTATCTGACTTAACATTCAGGAACAGAGTTGATCGTTCACTTTATCCTCCTTGAAACACCTTCACTGGGCTTCTGAGATACTTGTCAAGAACTCTGAAGGATCTAAGAGTTTACTGTATTTGTATACTAACAAGTTAGTATGCAACAGTTTGATGTATAATGGTAGAAGACACAAGACTTCTGGATCAGAGACAGAAGACAGTTTATTACTTATAGCAGTAACATAACCAGAGTATCAGTATTTTTGTGCTGGTTTCCTGATCCCAAGTTCTCCTAGGGCAATATGAAGAGGCCAGATGACACCTGCACACACAGTAAGGCTGTGTTATTGGAAAGGAAACTTGATCTTAGGTGGAACCCAAATCTTTTATAATGGGCCATAAGCATGCTTGCTCTTTGTTTCAGAGGGAAACATTATCTTTATTATGCTGGACAGTAACCCATTGCTCTGGAGGGAGACACTACCAAGTCTTCCAAGGCTATTCAGTATAAAAAACATCCTTGAAAAGATAGTCTAGAACTGTCATGTGTCACATCACCGACTATCAAGATAGTGCCTCACTTACAATATTTGCAGAAACATAAGAGACCTATGGAGAATTGACTCACAGTAATTCTTCCCTCTCTGGCCATTTTTTGTCAGTCTCCTTTGCTGGTTCTTCTTCAATTCGCCATACTCTAGATCTACACTGTCTAGTACTGTAGCCACTAGCTGCATGTAGTTATTTCAATTGGCTGTATTTCAAGTGCTCAATAGCCACATGTAGGAAGTGGCTGCTATTGCATGGTGCAGATATAAAAATATTTCATCATCACAGAAAGTTCCATTGGACAGTGCCACTCTGCATGTTTGAAGTGCCCCATGGCTCAGCCTTTGGATATCTCCTTTTTACTTCTGTATTCCATCCCTTGGTGATCTCATCTAGTTTCATGACTTTAAAAAAAGACTCCCAAATTTCTATCAACCCGGATCTGTCCCCTAAACTCCAGGCTCAGTTCTCTAGCAGCCCTCTGGACACATGTACCTGAATGTCTTAATAGGCATCTTAAAGTTAACATGTCCAAAACTGAACTACCTGAACTACCGATTCTCCTTGCAACCACTACTTCCTCTCCCACAAACAAATCTTTTCTTTCTGCAGTCTTTCCAGTCTCAATTAATGTGAGTTCTCATCTTCAGTTGTTCAAGGATTAAAAAAAAAAAAAAACAGTTTTTTTAAACTCTTAGATTTATTATTGACCTCTCTGTTTTCTATAAAACCCACTCATGTATCCCATTGGCTCTACTTTCAAAATATATCCAGAATCTGACCACTTTGCTCCTGCTACCACCTAGTCCAAGCCAGCATCATCTTTTGCCTGGATTATTCTAATAGCCCTCCTTCTGGTCTCTCTCTTCTACTCTTGTCCCCTGTAGTCTGTTCTCATCCTAACAGCCAGAATGATTTTGTGAAGAAGAACATCAGGTCATGTCATTTCTCTGCTTAAAACTCCTCAGTAGCTTTCCATCTCACTTAGGTAAGAGCAAAGTCTAGTCACACTGGCATTCTCACTCTTGCTAAAACATTCAAGCCATGCTCCCACCTCAGAACCTTTATATCTGGTGTTCCTTTTGCTTCCTTTTCCCCTAACCCACCCACTGAAGACACCAGTCCAGTTGTCTTATAGAATGATCCATACTATGAATTTCTCTGCTTCCTCATGGTATTAATTTATTTCTCTATAGCCTGTATTTTCTGGAATTGGACATTAGATCTAAAGGATTGATTAGATTAATTAAATATTTTTGGTGAGGAAATTCCATCAATGATGCTACAGTCTTGACATTGAATCATTTTGGGAGGCACCTATTGATTATCTCACCATTAGTGACGCCAAGTTTGTCTAACGTGTTGAGATGGGAATGTTCGTATCTCTCCATTATATATTTACATTTTTCCCTTCGTGGTTAACAAAAAAGCTGAAGGGTGAATGCTATTTTTTTTTAACGCTGTTATTTTAAGAACACTTTTTAGCTGTGGAAATGCTTTTTCAAATAAAACGTTTTTTGGAGATCCAGTATCTAAAACAGATAAAAGCAGAGCTGTTTTGTTGCAGTAGGAAATGCAGCTTCCAAGGGAACTTTGACAAGCACAGTTTTTAACCCACAAGGCCCACCCAAACACTTGAGAAGGTGGAGACCCAGAGGACACATGAAGTCTTAAAGCCACCTAGCATCTCGTGAGAAAGGCTCAGTACACCTTCTATTAGAGCATAGTTTGGGAGCTCTGCCACTTCCTTGGAAAGCTGTGGTTGTGAATGATCATTAGAATGAGACTTGGTTTTTCCCTGGCAGTCCACCCGCTGTTTTTAGTTGTCTCAGTGCTTTCTTGACATTCTATCTATCTGTTCTGCAGATGTGAAGATTTGAAATTACTTCATTTATAGTGTGTGTTGGGTTGCAGTCCTTTTTTTTTGCCTTTTGGAAATTCTTCATCCACAAAGAATTCCAGATTCAGACATTATTCATCTATGTCTGGAACACAAAAAAATCTCCTGAGCTTCCATATGTCTTACCTTCTTTCTGCCTTTAAAATAGTCAGAATGCTGCCACAGCTGAAGTCAGTTTTCTCATTTGCTTGTTGCTTGCTTCCTTTCTGTACCTTACTTACCATACAGCCTAACTTGCCTTACTAGAGAGTTAAATGAGTAAATTTACTGTGCTCATACAATATCTATAAGTTGTATACTATAGATTTTTATTTTCAGGGAAAGAAGTTTCTCTATATTAAGTGGAAAAAAACAGGCAATAAACTATAATCTTACTTTTGTTTAAAAAGTTATATGCACAAAAATCTCCATGACTGTTTATGTGTATATGTATATTTAAAGCCCAAAAGGATATTTACAAAAATGTTCACATTGATACTACCTCTAGCTGTGATCTTTGCTTTCCTCTTTGTAATTTCTCTGGTATCACTCTCACTTTTGTTTGTAGTGTGTCTTATTTCTACAGTCATTACTTTTATAAAGATTAAAACTATTGTTTAAAAAGACAAAACAGTAACTTTGGTTTGTCAAATCCAAACTGCCTTGAAGGCGGGTCCGGGCACCACCCCAGCTTACTGCCATCCGTACCATTCTTTGGGATTCTTATCTTATCCCAAATGAGCAGCTTTTCCCTGATCTCATGATTCCATTCTTTTACAATAGGTTCTTGGCCGTCCTCTAGAATCCACTAGGCGCTGAAGACCTTCTCTGCTCACTTGTATCAAAATGAACTTGTCAGGGAAGGGAAGGAGGATGTAAAAATGAAGTTCTAAAAGGAATTGTCACTAGAATGTGATCTCCATCAGGACCCAGGAGGAGCTCAATAAATACCTCTTAAATGAATTGGCCTATTATTTTTTGTCTCATTTATTTTATCTCACAAATTCCTACAAACAAGCCGTGTTTGTTTTCTGTAATGCCCTGAACATTTGGAGTACTTAATATAAATTAATGAATAAAGTCCTTTTAAAAATAAATCCGTACTTAATAAAAATAAATTTCAGATTTCTTGTTATCTTTAACCAGAATTTGTGCTTGTACAGGAATTTAGAAAGGGACAGGACTTAAAGATAAAAGTCTTACGTTAGATCCCGCTCACAGTTTTGTGATCATGATTAGTCAACTTAAGCCCCTGAGCTGCCTTCATTTATAGCCTCACGGATTCTCTTCTAGACTCTTCTGAGGCCTTCTACCTGGCCTACCTAGCTTCATCTTGTGTCCTCAAGTCTGCCCTCCACAATGCTACAAAGAGTAATATCCCACAATGCACATTTGATCTTGTCTCCTCTCGCAGCCACAATTTGTAACCTCTCGGGGGCTTTCTGATGCTGTGTTGCCTTTGCCCCACTCCTTCAGCTTTGGCTCCTGGAAGCCTGTCTTCAAACTTGAGACTCAAATAATACCAAGTTCCTGCTAGCTCCCACACATCCCATGCTGCTTTCTGCTTTGCTCCCTCTTACAGGACGTTTTCCCTTCAGCCAACTACACTACTCTATTCCAGGACTGGGTTTGGCAGATCCCCTCTCTGGTGTGTCGTCTTTTGCGTAAAGGTTATGTATCCACTGTCCTGCCCGCTCAGACTGTGAGCTGCTTGAGGCAAAACCATAGAGTTCATAGTTCTTTATGTTGAAGGGTACCTGGCCTGTAGTGGGACTCAAATGTTTATTAAACTGTGTTGTAAAATACATGTGTTCTTCTGAATTGTCTAAATGATTTTTACCCATAGAATGTTACCTGATTTTTATATGTTCTCCTCCAAAATAAAAAAATACTTAGAAAAGGAAATTGTGTGAATTAAAGTAACTTAAAATATAGCTAGACAGAGGCAAAAACTATTGGTGATATTTTGGAGTATATAATAAAGAATTTTTTAAAATTAGAAAATGGTAAAAGTTTAACCCCAAATATTCCTTTTGGAGATAGTTCTCAGAGAAAGCAGTAGCTTTGCAGATTACATGCATTAAATATTAATAGCCTATTCATCATACTTCCCATATCAAATAATACAAAATAGTTCTCTGGTAAAATGTAGCCCTTTCTTAATTCAAACCAAGAAAAAACAAATTTTGCTTTTCTCATGTTCCCTAGACCCCAGAGCCATTTTTCATCCTGTTTTTCCTGAAGAAAAGATAAAATCCCTGTGAGGGAAGTGACTTGACCAAGTTACCCAGCTAGTCAGTGCAGAAGCTGACTGCCCACCTGGTGCTTTTTCCCCTCAGCCACACATTTCCTGTTTCTCCACTGCGGTAAAAATAAAAGTTAGTTTTTAAGCGCTTCCTAATTCCCATGTGTTCAAATCAGGTCCACTGCTGAATGTTTTTATATTACCCTTAGCCTCATTCAGACATTAGCCCTAAACCTAAAGCATTAATTTTTCTGTCATACCCATGTATACACTTTCTTTGAGCATCAGAAAATCTTTTCTATAAGAGATGTTGTATTTTCTCAACTATATTAATTTTATTTATTTTATTTTTTAAATTTCTCAACTATTTTTGAAGTGGACATGACAAATAAAATATTCCAGGTCTCCTTTTTTATTCCACAAATAGGCCTTACTGTACACTTTTGGTATTCTTTTAAACTGTTCTGTTGGAAGCAGTTTCCACACTGAGTCATCCACCCAAGATTGCCTATGTTTTCCAGGCAAAGTAATAGTTTTATTATTTCTAAATGACTCATTACTTCTGAATCATTACACCTTGTGTTCTCTGTTAAATAAAAAGTTTTCAAGACAATTTTCTACAGTTTTTTTCTGCTCCTAGTCTTCAAGTGATCCACCTAAGTGGCATGGACATTCAATCAACTCTGTCTTTTCTTTATGATTGATGTTGATCATTTCTTCTTTAACCCTTTCATCAGCTGAGATAAGCAGTGGAATTTCTTTACCTCATACTCTGCTCCAGATGTTTCCTGAAGTGGAACAAATAAATAGCAACATAGTATGTGTAACACCGTTCTATAATTTCCATCATTACATTAATGTTTAAGATTATATTAACTTCCCAAATTTCTCCATGAAATTAGGGAGAGACACCCCAAAAAATGTAGCTCTAATATCTGCAGGGAGATGAATTCAGCTTCAGGCATGGATTTCAGTACACATTCAGGAGAAAATATTCCCCATGTAGTTAAATATACTTGGCAGTGAAGAGACCGGAGTTAAAGATAAATATTTGAGAGGAAGCGCCAGATAAAGATTTTAAGGCCACAAAAGTGGACAAGATTTGAGCATATATAAGATGAGAAACGGGGCAAAGCACAAAACTCTGAGGAAGACTGGCACATAGGGGACAAGAGGAGAGATGCAAGGAAGGAGACAGTGAATTTTCAAAGGGCAGGTGGAGAACCAGCCAAATATGTCCCAGGAGTCAAGTGAGGGAAGTGTTTCATTCTTTTCAACTATAAAGCCATTGAAAATCCATATGACCTTAGGATAGGCAAAGATCTTAAGGTAGTATATATAAATGTATTAACTATAAAAGAAAAAATGATTAATTGGATTGATGAAATTAACTTACAGAATTAAAACCTCCTACTCTTCAAAAGCCACTGCTAAGAAAATGGAAAGAGAAGCCACAGACTGGGAGATAATATCTGTATTTAAAATATATATGTAATGAACTCTTAGAATTCACTAATAAGAGATGACCCAAAAGATTCTGGATAGACACTTCACAAAAGAAGATATATATGAATTTTTAATAAGCATATGAAAAAATACTCAACATCATTAGTCAGCAGGGAAATGCAAATTAAAGCCACAGTGGGATACCACTTCACACTCACTAAGATGGCTAAAATTTACAAGTATCTGAAAGGATGTAGAGCTACTAGAGCTCTCAAGTGCTGCTAAGGGTATAAAATGGTAGAACCACTTTGGAAAACAGTTTTGCAGGTTCTTATAAAGTTAAATGTACATTTATCATGATGCAGTAATTCCATTGCTAATTACCCAAAAGAAATGAACACATATCCACAAAAAGACTTTTACTTGATTAGTCATAATAGCTTTAAATCATAATAGCACAAACTAGAAATAGCTCAAATGTCCATCAGCTGTATGAATATACCAGAATTTGTTTTATCTATTTGTTGAATAGCATCAGAACATTTGAATAGACAAAACAAATTCTGGTACATTCATACAGTGGAATACTACTCAGCAGTGTAAAGGAATGTACAATTGATAACATACAGTAAAATGGATAAATCTCGAAACTAAGTGCTAAATGAGAGAAGCCAGAGAGAAAAGTACATATGTAATTATGCTAATATGAAGATCTAGAACTGGCGAGACTTACCTACAGTAATAGAAATCAGATCAGTGGTTGTTGGATATTATGGGTAAGGGAAATTGAGAAAGGGCCTAGGGATAATTTTGCGGTGATAAAAATGTTCTGTCTTTTTTAAGGCAGTGGTTACATGGTTCTTGTCAAATCTCACTGGATTACAAACTTAATATGTTTTTTATTGTATGTAAATTATCAGTAAAGTTGATTTCAAAATAAAAGTGAAGCTCTAAAAAGCTGAAGGGAAGCTCTGTGTTTGTGGACAGCGTTTGTCAATTAGTGGGCTTCACTGTAAGATGATCATGTAGCTAGATGAGATTTCTATTTCTCTAGAAAAAGATTCTTTAATCCACAGTGGAGACTAGGAGCTGGAGTTAGTAAGCCTGGTTTTTGGTGACCTGGGCCTCCTTTATTTTCAATCCTTTACCACCGTCTTTGTCTGATGCCCCTGATGTTGGTGCTTTTCTGTTTCAGTTTTTTCCTCCCAGCACATCAACTTTCTATCTTCAGCAGGGTGAAAGAGGGATGATTTCTGAGCTTGTGGAGTGGGGGTATGGAGACCTAACTATTCTCTTACAGACTTTCAAACAGTCCCCCTATGTTTAATCCTCTACCCTACTCCATTTTCTGTGGTACCTGCTACCAACAAACCTTGGCTTTCTTTGGGTTGTGCAGGGTATGAACTGGTTTGCTTGTCATCAGTAAGCTGTCATTTACCATTCCTACTTCTCTTTTCTGTCTTCATCTGGAGTTACAGGTGTCTCCTAGGTTTTTGAAGATGGAGTTTGCATTCCTGTTTCTCATTCTTATTATTTGGAGGAGACTTTAAAACTGTGAAACCCATACTGCACATTTTCAGCGTTACCAATACCAGACTCCTTATACCTCTCTAAACACACCAGCCTTTTTCTGTCTCTGTGCCTTCATAGAATTCCTTTTTGCTTACAAGGCGCAGTCCAACCTGTTTTTACCTGATAAGGCTCTTATCTTTCAAAAATCCAGTTCCTCTCCATCCTAACTTATCTGCTGCTTCTAAACCTTTGTTTTACAGCAGATCTTCTTCATTAGGAACTGCCATATAGCAGTTTATTGTGGAGCTTTCCAGAGGCACTGGAAAGTATGTGTTAGAGTAATCGTAATCTGCTTAAAGTGGTGGTAATAGTAAGTGCTTGATAAATATCTGTTGAATGAACTCTAAAGATGCATATGAAACACTCACCCAGAAATTAGGAAAACAGACTCTGGCCCTTTGTGGAGATGAAAGGACCAGCAGAGACCAAAAGCCTGGGGGGGTGGGGCTGGCAGCATGCCACAGACCTGAGGTGCATAAATATACACATTCAGAACAATTATGATTTTGCAAGTAGTCTGTTGTATTAGGGGTATAAAGCAGACTATAACAGATGTTTAGACTGAAAATTTTTCTCATATTTTATCTCATCTAAGATTATAAAACTCATTATTTCATATGCCATTAAGAAAAAACTCTATTGATTATGATAGAGTGCTTATCCTCTAGAACTTTTTTTACTCATTGAAAGAGTTCTATGAGACTTACGTTGACAGATTTTTTTTTTTTTTTTTTTTTTTTTGAGATGAAGTCTGTCTCTGTTGCCCAGACTGGAGTGCAATGGCACGATCTCGGCTCACTGCAGCCTTAGACTCACTGCAGCCTCTGCCTCCCGGGTTCCTTTAATTCTCCTGCCTCAGCCTCCCAAGTTAGCTGGGATTACGGGCACACACCACCATGCCCAGCTAATTTTTGTATTTTTAGTAGAGATGGGGTCTCACCATGTTGGCCAGGTTGATTGTGAACTCCTGACCTCAGGCAGTCTGCCCACCTTGGCCTCCCAAAGTGCTAGGATTATAGGCATGAGCCACCACACCTGGCCTGATGGATATTTTTAACTATATATCACTCTTGTGCATATATAAATAAAATACAGTGGAAATAATTGGCTAAAATATTTCTAGAATTTCATCTATTCGGATTCAGACTCTTTAAAATCACTTTTCAATTTAGAGCCACCGATGTTTATACTTTCTTTCTCTGCCATCCAGAGTGTTTGGTGATGACGCATTTCTTAAAAGAGTGTTCTGCTATGATCTTTGGGAATTTTCTGCCAAGTTATTCTGCATGTTTTTTTACAATGGTGTTTTCTTGACCTTACTAGAGTGCGTTCAATAAATGACAACCATGTCACAGTTCTGCCTGACCAATAGGGATTTTAAGATGCTACCAACTATAAGATGTATTTCCATTTAAGTGATGTTAAAATGTCCAAAAAAAAATGTATTTTAGAATTGAAAAATACTGTAGCTCAATAATTAATGTGATTCTGGCCTCAGAAACTTTCTCTTTGTTCCTGTTATTTAAAGGCTGCTGCTTTGTAAAAATGTATTTATAACCAAACTTTTCTTCTAAACTGTCATTTTTGTGAAAATTTTTAAGGTTTTCTTTTCTACTTTGAAGTTTTCTTGTCTTCACATTTTTTTGCTTAAAGTTAGCAGAGGCACTTTTATTTCTATCAACTTTTAAAAGAAGCCTGATGAAAAAATAGACCTTCTACATCTCAAATGATTTAATGAAGTGTCCACTGATATGTAGAGAGAAATATTTGTTGGTTAATCTAACAGAGTTAAAGCTTATTGCACAAACAGATGTCATCCTAGTGGAAGATATTTAGTAAATTGCTAAGGAACTTTTTCTCTCCTTTGCTCCTTCTTGATCAGCATTATTTAATCAATAAACATATTACTTCATACTTCTTTTTGTATTCTGGCCTTCACGAGAAGCCCTAGATCAAGCTAGTCATTTGTACCATCTCTACTTCTACATCAGTCCTGCTCAGTGTTTCAGGATCTATCCTTACTTTTGCCTGTTCCTAATCAGATACCTCCTTATTTTCATTAACATCTATTTCAGATTTTCACTATCTTCCCAAATTCCTTAATACCTCTCCTGCCCCCTAAACTTTAATCAATAATTTTGCTTTCAGTTTCACTGAGAAAAATTGAACCTGTCATGGAAAAAAATTCCTTGTATTTTTCTTCTTCCATTTATAAACTGGTTTCTTTCCCCCTGCCTCACTAGGAAAGGTATCCACCTTCCTCTGAGACTAATCCCCTCACCAGGGCTTTGGCTACTAGTTCCTGGGTCCTCAAAGCTTTTTCTGGATCTTTCCCTTCAACATGTACACAAGCTCAAATATCTTCTGTCCTTTAAGAAAAAATTCATATCTCCATTCTCTTCTAGCTGCCGTTTTATAGCCCTCCTTTTCTTAGCAAAAAAACTAATGGAAAATCTAGTCTACCTACACCACTTTTTTTGACACCAAGTCCCTGAAATTGCACGTGATAAGGATACCAGCAACCTTCATATTGGCAAATCCAGTTTTTTGTTTTTCCTGGACCTCTTAGTAACATCCAGTGCTAGTGACCTCCATTTGGAAAGTCCCTTCTTCAGCCTCCATAAAACTGCTTTCTCCTGGTTTTCTTGTTATCTTTTTCTCTTTCTTCTTAGACTCCCTCTAAGAATTCTGTTCCTCTCTTCAACCCAGAAATGTCATTGATCCTCAACTTTTCCTCAGTCCAGAGCTCCCCTCACTTTATGCACTCACCCTGAGTAAATTCTCAGAGCTGCGTCTCCAACCCAGATCTTTCTGCTGACCTCCAGGTTTTTGTGTTCACATTTCATTCAGTCATCACCACTTAGATATTCCACAGGTACCTCCTCAAACAACACATTCAGAAAATAACTTTATCTGTCCTGTGGCCACCCCCTGTAAAACAAAAACAAAAAGTCTGTTTTAGGATTAGCAACACAAGTCTCCCAGTACTTAAGCCAGAAATCCAAGATTCCTCCCTGTCACTTTCCCCTCCTGCTGTTCTATGGATTCTTCCTCCTGGGCTAATCAGTGCCCTCCTCTTTGTTATTACTGTCACCTACTTGGTTTAGATTCTCATCACTTCTTGCATGGATTATTATCATAACCTCCTAATCGATTTCTAGGTCTTCAGTCTGGTTCCTATCTATCCTCCACTCAGGTGCTACAGTGATCTTTCTGTAACAAATTTCATCGTGTTACTCTTACTCTCTAGCCTAAAAGTCTTTGTTTTTCTCATAGCTTTCAGAATAAAGTTCAGACTCCTTAGTTTAGCATACAAAGGCCAACTGTGATTGGCTTTTGCTGCTGCTGCTGCTCTGTTTTCCTGCCCTCTTGCTTGTCTCTATACGCCCGCCAGTGAAACTGGCTGGAACTACTTGTACTTCGGCATTCACTGTGCAGTGTTCTGCCTCTCTGCCTTCACATATGTGTTTCCCTCTACCTGGAGTATTCTTCCCTTCCTTTTTGTCTAAGTAGCTCTCATTGATCCTTCAAAATTATGTACCTACATCGCTATATTTCAGGAAACTTTTCCTGACTCCTCAGTCTGATTCAGATGCTCCCTCTCAAAACAGACAAAGGACATGAAGAAAGGCTTCACAAGTGAACAATGACAAAATGTCTAATAGGTAAATGAGAAGATATTCAGACTTACCAGCAATCAAGGAAATGAAGATTAAAACAATGTACTTCCATTTTTTTCATCAATCAAATTACCAAAAATTTAAAGAGAGGAATCAGTCCAAGAAAACATGGAGAAACAGGCCCTCTTCTAGATTGGCCCTATGTATCTAATGACTTTTTTTGAAAAAGTATATGTACACACACACACACATCTTTTGACTCAACATTTTACTGTGTGGAATATATTATAAGCAAATAACTGGAGAGCTATGTAAAATATATGTAAAAGAATGTTTATCACTGCTTATTTGAAAACAAATAGTAAATAACCTAAATGTTCAGCAATAACAAATGGCTAAATTTATTTATATGATAGAATGTTATTCATTAAAATGATCTATGTCTATTTTGACCTGGAAGTACATTTGTGAGATATTGTCAAAGTAAGTTATAGTATGGTCCAAATTTTGTAAAAAATACATACATTTATAAATTTTTGTAAGAGAAAGTTAAAGTATATACATAAGAATATCAACAGTGTTTATTTCTGCTTGTGAATATTGTCCAGCTTTTCTGAAAAGAACATTTATTAATTGGGGGAGCAAAATGGGAGAAACTTGGCCTCACTCCCAATAGCTGCTGTGCTTGCTTGCTTCTGTCACTGCCCTCATTAAACATTGAGCACTCCGAAGACATCACTATATGTCATTTGGCATCATTCTCCCAGGGTCAGGCACAGAGTAGGAAATGTTTGATAAGTGAATTAGAGCAATAACAGCAATAATATTTATTGTGCATTTACTGAGTCTTAGGTACTGTTGTAAGCATCTGACATATGTTAACTTAATCTTCATGAGATGGGTATTATTATTCTCTCCATTTTGCCGTTGAAACAGACTGACAAGGTTAACCACCTTATATTAGGCCACACTGGCAGGATTGGGCTTCAAAACCATGGAGTCTAGCTTTCTCTTAGACGCAGGACTGCATGGTGCTTCTGAGTTAGGTTGGATCTCTGATTGAAAATAGTGGATTAGATTCCATGTCTAAGATTCCATCTAGTTAACTGGGCATCAATTGAATTATGGTCTGAATAAAAAGGCAGAATTTGACACCCATGGGTCTGAAACAAATAGCAGGGAAAGTAATCTTTGATTCTTTGGCATTTTTTTTTTAACTCAAATGATTTTAGACTGTAAATTTCTCATTGATAGTTGGTGCTACCCCTTGAGGTTTGGTTTTCTGCTGTTGATGTCCTTTCAAAACTTACTCAAAGACCTAAATTTGTGATTCGTTCTTTTAAGTCTTGCCCCATCCCCTTTTTCTTTCTCAGCAAGATGACTCGTGAAAAGTTCATCAGATTTTTATTTATTTACTTATTTTTATTTTTATTTTTTTCTGAGATGGAGTCTCGCTCTGTCACCCAGGCTGGAGTGCAGTGGCGTGATCTCGGCTCACTGCAACCTCTGCCTCCCGGGTTCAAGACATTCTCCTGCCTCAGCCTCCCGAGTAGCTGGGACTACAGGCCATGTCATCTCCCACATTGTCTCCTTGCTTTCTCTGCTCCACCCACTTTGGTCACTTTGCCATTCTTTTAGTGAATCACGCATGCTCCACTCTAGGGCCTTTGTACTTGCGGTTATTCTACCCTGGAGGATTTACCTCATAATACCTCCTTGGCCTCCTTCCTCTAGTCTTTCAGGTCTCTGCTTTTCAGATGTCAGTGAGGTCTTCTCTGACAACCCTTCATAAAACAGCACCCTCCCAGCATTTCTAAACCCTTGCCCTGCATCATTTTTCTCCCCAACACATGCCACCATATGATAAGTTTATATGT
The DNA here is from genome assembly GCF_000001405.40 of Homo sapiens. NCBI lineage: Eukaryota > Metazoa > Chordata > Mammalia > Primates > Hominidae > Homo > Homo sapiens. The sequence goes on from NC_000003.12 coordinate 136,000,229, forward strand.
TTAACTTGTATGTTGGGTTTTTTCCCCTTGTTTTATTTCCTGCTCTATCCCTAGTGTATACAAAGAACCTGGTACACACAGTAGGTAGTCAGTATTTGTTGACGGAATAAATACATTGACAGAACCTTCTTGGAAAGCAACTACAGTATATTTTAAAAGCTGTTCTTTAAAAAGAATGATTAAGTAAATTCTGTCCACTTGATGCAGAGAGAGAGATATCCACATGGAGCAGGGTCTGGGAGATGGGATCAAGATCAGTAATGAAACTTGTGTTTTCTTTCAGTAAGCAAAAAGAAGATGATGGGAGAATAATTTCTAGGAGTAGAGGAAGTTTGAGACTCAAGAACAGGTACTAGGTGTTGGTAGTCTTTGAGAAGACTAGGTTGATGGAAGCAAAAGGTTGGTGCAGGGACATAGTAGAAAATATGATTATAGATGGATTGGAACAGGTGTTGAGGGACTTAAAAGTGAGTCAAAAGAGGTAGACTTGCTGTGATCCATGAGGAAATCAGAAGTGTGAATTTTTAAGCTGTGAGGGATGAAAATGCCGTGTAAATCTAAGCTTCTTAATATCATATAAGGTGGCAAGGAGCATGCAATAAGAAATTCATCTCAGAGGCAGATGTGACAAGGCAGAGTTGAGGTAATATTACTCTAGGCAATAAGGAGTATAAGGTGTGATGAAACAAAGGCATGAGTTGAATATCAGCTGTAAGGGATATTGCAGATAATAAAGCGTGGTGGTTAACTGCAAATGGGATGCAAAGAAAGAGGAAATCAAAAGTTCCAGCATTAAAAAAATTTCCTTTTAATTTTTTTTTTTATTACAGGTTTCTCTGTCATTCACAGAAAAATGAATCATTTAAACCTTTGGAGGACTCAGTTATCACAATACTTCTCTACTACCAACTAAGATTTATGATAGTAAATTTATGAGAGCAAATTTCCATGTTATAGAACTGTTGAAGAACTAAAAGAGGATATTCTTTCATCAAAATAATTCTGCAGTATCATAATATTACTAAATAAAATTAAAAAGCACAATTATTAAATTATTAAATTTGCCACACATGTGCAGCAGCTACTGTATCCTGATAGTGACCAAACCTCAAATATAAATGGTTTCCCTTCATGGGAAAAGCCATTATATTTGGAAGAAACCACTGAACATTGTTATTAAATATATTTTCAGCTAACTGTCATTTAGGAGAATTTTCATGAAACAAGTTCTAGAAAGTTCCAAGTCCCACCAGTAAGTGGATTTGATATTATGGCAGCAACTTACAGACTTGTGGTTAGTACTGTGAACCACTACAGCAGCGTGGTGATAGACCGGCGTTTTGAACAAGCTATACATTATTGCACTGGAACCTGCCACACCTTCACACATGGAATTGACTGCATTGTGGTACACCATAGTGTTTGTGCAGACCTCTTGCACATCCCTGTGTCTCAGTTCAAAGATGCAGATCTGAACTCTATGTTTCTACCCCATGAAAATGGGCTTTCTTCGGCTGAAGGAGACTATCCCCAACAGGCCTTCACAGGCATACCCAGGGTCAAGAGAGGATCTACATTTCAGAATACCTACAACTTAAAGGATATTGCAGGAGAAGCAATCAGTTTTGCCAGTGGGAAAATAAAAGAATTTTCCTTTGAAAAACTCAAAAACTCTAACCATGCAGCTTACAGAAAGGGAAGGAAAGTTAAGTCTGACTCATTTAATAGGAGGTCAGTTGATTTGGACTTGCTTTGTGGCCATTATAACAACGATGGGAACGCCCCATCCTTTGGTTTACTGCGGAGTTCCTCAGTTGAGGAAAAACCTTTGTCTCATAGAAACTCACTGGATACGAACCTGACTTCCATGTTTCTTCAAAACTTTTCTGAAGAAGACTTGGTTACTCAGATTTTGGAAAAACATAAAATAGATAATTTTTCTTCTGGGACAGACATAAAGATGTGCTTGGACATCTTATTGAAATGCTCCGAGGATTTAAAAAAATGCACAGACATCATAAAACAATGCATAAAGAAAAAATCAGGGAGTAGCATCAGTGAAGGAAGTGGTAATGATACAATTTCTAGCTCTGAAACTGTCTATATGAATGTAATGACCAGGTTAGCATCCTATCTGAAAAAGTTACCATTTGAATTCATGCAGTCTGGGAATAATGAGGCTCTAGATTTAACAGAACTGATCAGTAATATGCCTAGCTTACAACTGACTCCCTTCTCCCCAGTGTTTGGCACTGAACAACCCCCTAAATATGAAGATGTTGTCCAGCTCTCAGCTTCTGACTCTGGACGATTTCAAACTATTGAATTGCAAAATGACAAGCCTAATTCTAGGAAGATGGACACTGTACAATCCATTCCAAACAACTCCACAAATTCCTTATATAACTTAGAGGTAAATGATCCTAGAACTCTAAAAGCTGTCCAGGTCCAATCACAGTCATTAACCATGAATCCTTTAGAAAATGTTTCTTCTGACGACTTAATGGAAACTCTTTATATTGAAGAAGAGTCAGATGGAAAGAAAGCATTAGATAAAGGACAAAAGACAGAGAATGGACCTAGTCATGAGTTATTAAAGGTAAATGAACATAGAGCAGAATTTCCAGAACATGCTACTCATCTTAAAAAATGCCCCACCCCAATGCAAAATGAAATTGGTAAGATATTTGAGAAATCATTTGTTAATCTACCTAAGGAAGACTGTAAATCAAAAGTTTCTAAATTTGAAGAGGGAGACCAGAGAGATTTTACAAATTCCAGTAGCCAGGAAGAGATAGATAAATTGTTAATGGATTTGGAATCTTTTTCACAGAAGATGGAGACCTCTCTAAGAGAGCCACTTGCGAAGGGTAAAAACTCTAATTTTTTAAATAGTCACAGTCAGTTGACCGGTCAGACCCTTGTAGATCTTGAGCCTAAATCTAAAGTCTCTTCACCCATAGAAAAAGTCTCACCTTCCTGTCTAACAAGGATTATTGAAACCAATGGACACAAAATAGAGGAAGAGGATCGAGCCCTCTTACTGCGAATCCTGGAAAGCATTGAAGACTTTGCTCAAGAACTAGTTGAATGCAAATCAAGCAGAGGGAGCCTATCACAAGAAAAGGAAATGATGCAAATTCTACAGGAAACCTTGACAACTTCCTCCCAGGCCAATTTATCAGTCTGTAGAAGTCCTGTTGGTGATAAAGCCAAAGATACTACTTCAGCAGTTTTGATTCAGCAGACTCCAGAGGTGATCAAGGTAAGACCCAACAATTTTGAGTCCTAGGAACTCTTTAAAAAATGTTTAGTGTTTGAAAATTTTATAAAGAAAAACTTTTTTGTTAGCCATTTTTTGTTCTACTAAAGCTCTGCCCTACACTAGGAATGATCTCACTCAGCTCAGAGTCAGTAAAAAGCAAAGATTATACAAGATGATAGAGGAAAAAAAAAAAGCAAAGACTTTAGACTCAGACTGGTTCCTACTGCCCTCCCCATACCCTTCATCTTCTTCCCAGCTCTGTGACCAAAGAAAAATTACTTACCTTTAATATCCTCATCTTTATGGTGGAAATAATAAGGATCAAAATAACTTGTGTGAAACATAAGCAAGGTTCCTTACACAAAGTAGGCATTTAATATTAGTCGTCACCCTCCCCAGCCAACCAAGAGACCAGTTGTTACTGCATGCCTGTGTAGACCTGTGTAAGGTTAGTGTAGAGTACAAAAGGAGAGAAGACATGATTCTTTAAGAGCTTAAAATCCACTTGTAGAGACAAAACTGACAATGTCTGAAACAGTTCATGAGCATGTGAACACCATTCTGAAAGTATTGTCATAACAGTAGGCCTTCAAAGAAGATAAAGACTAAAGGGTAAGATTTGATTCTCCAGGCAACTGAGAATAAATATCAATCTAGAATCACGGAAGTATTTTCAAAAGTTTTTAATCCATCCCCCTACTGAAAGCACTGCTTTTGAATACTCCCAGAAAGGCAGTTGTCTTCCCATTTTATTTACATACGTGTGTCGTAGCACAACAAGATTATTCCTTGTTCGTTTTATAAGTCCAACATGGGTTAGCAAGAGGCTCTGCTCTACTTCATTCAAGGACCCAGTCTGATGGAGGCTCCATGTTCTTACTGCTGCCCATTGACCCATCTAGGATATGTGGCTTTTGAGTTCACTGAAGGAGGGGAACAAAGGGGTGATGCTTTTAACTGCCTTGTCCCAAACTTGGACACACTTCATTTCTGTTCACAGTCCAGTGATTCCCAACCTAAAATCTAAGAAACATAGAAAAGCACATGGAATATTTGTTAAGCACTGCCCCTACCACATGAATGAGCTATATGTATCAACATGTATGAATTCAGACATAAAGCCAAATCGACAAAAGCAAGTTGTAAAATAAGGATATGAATCATTTTGAGATACATACATTTTTACAAAAAGTATGAAGAAATACATGGATACACAAAATCCAATGTTAATGGTTAATCCTGGAGGAAGGGAAATGCAACTGAGGAAGGGCGTACAGGGGGCCTGAATAGTATTAGTCATATTTTACTTCATAATCTGGGTAGTAGATCTGTAAGTATTTTGTCATGTTATTCTTTGTGCTTTTTTATATTCTTAAATATTACGTAGTAATTTTTTAAAAAACTAATTGGATATTTGAGATGCCATTTATGTGGCCAAGTTAAAATACAAGTTACATATTAGGCTTCTCATTACAACTGTCATTTGAGCAGGGGAACAAATGCATATTGTCATCAGATGAATCTTTCTTTCCCTGGTACATGTTGAGCATCCAAAATCCAAAGTGCTCCAAAATTTGAAACTTTTTGGGCACCAACATGATGCCACAAGTGGAAAATTCTGCACCTGACCTTGTGACAGGTCACAGTCAAAACGCTATCAAAACCTTGTTTCACGTACAAAATTCTTTAAAATACTGTGTAAAATTACCTTCAAGCTATGTGTATATATGAAACAAATAAATTTCGTGTTTAGACTTGGGCCCCATCCCCAAGGTATCCCATTATGTATATGCAGATATTCCAAAATCCAAAAAAATTCTAAATCTAAAACACTTCTAGTCATGAGCATTTTGAATAAGGGATACTCAGTCTGTATGTTTTGTGGCTGCTATTCTTCTGTGGACTTTTTTAGTCACTAGCAACACTAAAGTTTAAAACAATACATACTTTTAATAAGGTTACTAAGTGATTATTTGGGTCTAAATATCACAGATGTTCCCTGAGCATTTCTGTGAAATTACTTTGTGTGAATCTCCTCATTTGTTGGTTCACAGGTGGTAGTATCTTTAGTTTGGGGTCAACACTAGGGGAGAAACTTGGAATTAATCACAAAAGTAAGAAAAATCCCTTCACATGGTTTTTTTTCCCACATGACACATTGCAGTACACAGGCAATACTGATGTGCTTAATAGTTTATTATAAAGGAAAGAAAATACCTACATAGCAACTTCAAAATGATAATAATGTCATAAGAGCTACCAGTTATTGTGAACTAAGGCATACTAAGACATTTAAAGGTATTATCTCACTATTTTCCCTCACAATAACCTGTCTGCCCATTGAAGAAACATCTGCTTTCTCTGATGACCTATTCCAATATCTTAAAACCATTATAACCAGAAACTCTCACTGTGATACGGTGTTTTGAATTTTACTCAACCCTCTTCCCCCATTATCTTCTGTGACAAAAAGGAGACAAATTCTCTAAAAAGAGATGGACTGCATAAAGTAGAAAATGTCTGAGCATCACCTGTCCTGTGTTCCTGGCTAACACCTCATGAGTGGGTTCCCCGTGACCCCCAATCTAGGTACAGCTACCTTAAAATGCCACACTGGGCTCTAAATGTGCTTCCCACTTTTTTGACAAGTAATGGACTGAAATCAGAATCTTATTAAAAGATTGTCTCCTGCCATTCTTTTAAATAAGTTTCAATATCACAGAATATAATAAAATTTGATGAGATTTCTTCTTGATAAAAGTTGGAAAAGTACTTAATGAAAAGCTAATTCAAAGAGACAGGTAATATAAAATGTTTAATTCAGGAAGATGCTTAATGCAAGAAGACAAACCATTCTTCCTTGACTCAGTTGCCTTCCTACTTGTCTTTTTTTAATCTTTCTTTTCTTATGAAAAGTTTAAGTGAGGAATTGGCAAACATTTCTATGAAGAGCAAGATAGTAAATATTTTAGGCTTTATGGGTCAGAGTCTCTGTCATGTAGTCTTATTTGCCCTTTGCAAGACAAACCAACAAACAAACAACCCAGTGCTTTAAAAATGTAAACCATTCTTAGCTCCAAGACTTAGAAAAACAGGCAGTGGGCCAGATTTGGTCCATGGACTGAAGTTTGTCAACCCATCTTAAGCAAATAGAAAAGTATGGTGAATGATACAAAAGCACTGTTATCACCCACCATTTAGCTTTGTCAAATCTTAACATTTTACTGTTTGCTTCAAATCTTCTCCAAATACCTTTTGTCCCAGGGGAATTCAGCAAGAGACTATATAGATATATATGAATCCATTATTTCTCTCAAACCTAAGCTCTGTAATAGTTTTATCTTGATGATCAAGGGCAACAAAAATTGTTCTAACAGAACTTTCCTTCCTAGAGAATATAAAGGGAAATTGCAGACTGCTCTGCTTATATTATTATGAATTCCAAGTTAGTAGAATCCACACCAATAAGGGATAGAGAGTAAGAAGCCTACCTGTCCTTCAGGTGGTAACCTTTTCCCATCGGTTTTCTGGAGTTTAAAGTCAGAATTTAAGCAGGCAGTCTGCCTGACAACCTAATTCACATCTGATCTTCTCTTTTTCCATTCAGCCTCCAAAAATGTTATCTCAAGCTCTCAAATGTATCCGAGGTAAAAATGAAATAGTGAAATAAGAATATGGAAGGAGATGTGTGAATCTCTCTTAAGTTTCCACATCTGGGCTACTAGCCTCTGTTGGCCTTTATTTAGCATTAAATAGCTATTTGTTGAATGAATAAATGAGTAAGTGGATGAATAACCAAGTGAGGGGATGTTCACTTTCCTGCTTTGTCTCCTCAAATGGAAACCGCTCCCTTGCCTGAGGGCCATCCCTTTCCCTGCTTTTTGCTTCTCAAGGATGGGTACAAGAGGACCTGACATCAGGGTGCCCTTCTCAGACTTCAGGGTAGTGCCTCAGCAAGACTCAAGTATCTTACCTAGACCTCTAAGTCTTTTAATTCCTCTAGCCTTTAACACCTAAAAAACGACAGTACCCTAGGAAGGGTCTGGTCACCTTTCCTGGCAAGAGGGAAAGACATCATGTGAGTGTAGATTGTTTTACTTTATTGTGGGGGCAGAAATCCCTCGATAATATGCTGTAGCCATTTTGAGGAGAGGGTGCTTTCTCGATCACCATTGTTCCCACAGGCTTTCTTACAGTACGCTATATACAAGCTCTTTGTTTAAATTTTGAAAATTTTGTAACAATTTACTTTCTCTTTAAGGAATACCTATATATTCATTGTCCTTTTGCCCATTCTTAGAAGTTGCCATCTTCCTCCTCATGGATTTGGGTTGGAAAAGGATATTTCTGGCCGTTTAATTTTAGTACAATTGTTTGTTTATTTGTTTTTGGATGCCCGAGAGAAATCTTTGAAGGTGAGCATAATTTCTGTTGTTACTAGAACTCACTTTGCTTTCTTCTAACCCTGAGCAGGAATTTGTATTTGAGATTTCATTCCAGAGGAAATAAAGAACCTTCCTATGTTAATGATCTAACATTTAGGTTTCCTCATTGTTTAGATAGTATAGTGTATAGTTTTATATGCATATTTGAATGCAGAATAATTAGGAAAATAAATTTAACATTTTAGCAAAGCACATTTTAGGAACTTTGTTAAACGTTCCTTGTGGAGCCTTAATAAACACTTTTCTCTCTTTACTTTCTAGGTTTATATCCATGCCTTCATTAACATTAGCCAGTCATGTCACTGAGGGAAAATGTTTCTTCCCTGGCTTTGTAGGTGCTCATGGTGCCTGGATTCAGTGCTGGGAATGCTTAAGTAGAAATCAAGACACTTAGCAATACAATAGGAAACCATTCTCTCCTCCTCTCAATTGCCACCAAGCAGATTAATAAAAGTAAACACATCTGCCTGGTGGCAAATAGGAATTTGTGGAATGAGCCCAACCTGAATATCCCCCTCCACATTTGGTGGCTTCTGACGTCAGGTACCTTTGCATTAATACCTGCATTCTTTCTGATTAACATCAGGTATCTCAAATATGTCCCCACCTATGTTCACAAGAGCCTGGTAGATATATATGTACTGATGTAGAAGGGTCAAGATAAAGTTAAAAATGTAAATTGCAAGATGTACCATTATGATCCCTTTTTGTTATTAATATATTTTTATGCACACAAAGTTTGGGGTACATATGCTCAATATTATTCATGTTCCTCCAGAAGTAGAAAGTGAATCTCATATCCAGGTGTTCCTGATAAGTCTGCCCTCTCCCAGCCTCCACTCCACCCTTGGCAGGAGTGAAGAGGAGCTCCCAGAACCCAGCTTGCTCCATTAAGCCCACAGGCCTGTCCAACCCTCACAGCTTCACCACCACTCTCTGACTTAAGGTCATCAGGACTAATCTGTCTAATATGCCCTTCATCCTTGTTTACATTAGTCACCACCAGAAATCCAGGAATCCAGATCACCCCCCATCCCCCACCCCACTTTCCTCCTCACACTGCTCTTATATATTTCCTAAGTCCACTTCCAACCCTCCCAACTCCTGAAATCGTTTCACCATGTCCTCTTGCACTCTGAATTCATGATGATTTACCGGCAAAGTTTCCTATGTCATATCTCTTCTCTAAACATTTCCCTTCCTATTATAACTTAAACTCGTCTCTTCCTAAGGATACTGTAGCCAGTGAAATGGTGGCTCTATTCTTTCTCATTCCCACCCCCTATCCCACTGGGCCTGGAGGGGGCAGTAAGGGTTCTTGCATTTCATTGCTGCTCTAGACTATTCTCCTGGCTGCCTCCCTGAAACCAGCCCCGCCCCAACTTTGAACTAATACCATTAGACTCTGCTATCCACTACCTCTTCTGATTGTAGTCATCTACCAACCCAGGTCACTTATTTCTTGAAGGTTTTATCTCCTGGCTTTATGACACACTTTTCAATATTACTCTTGCCACTGTTCGAGTGTTTGATAGATAAGGTATCCAATACAGGAGCTTCTCAATTCCTTGATCTCCTCTAATGAGTCTGTCCTCTGCCCTTCTTCGTTCATTTTCTGGCCTTATGTTTATGTCAGTGGTTTTAAGAGTATGGTTCCCAACTAATACTGTTAGCATTACCTGGACACTTGATAGAAATGCATATTCTCCTACCCCAACCCAAACCTAGTAAATCAGAAACTCTGGGGGTAGGGCTCAACATTTTTTGGTTTTAACAAGCCCTCCGGGTGATTCTGATGCATGATTATGCTTGAGAACCACTGCCATAATTCGTCACTAAAATCATTCCCTTGAATATACTCTGAGGTTCCTTGTCATCCCCTCATTTCATGGTACCCACCTGGAACAGCTCCAACTCAGATTAAATTGTGTTCTCTGTCTACTTTGAGCTTTTATTCGTGCAGCTGAACTTGGCTACAGAAGATCACACAACCATGCTGAGTGGTCTTGCTTTAAATTCATGACCACCAACCTCCAGTGGGTCTTTAGTACTGTGTGGCAGTCCTACTGTGTTTCCCTAGTCCATTCACTTTCCACTCTGCAGGTGCCTTTTTCCCTGTCTTCTAACCTCCAGCATCTTTCCCATCCTCACCCTCAGCTAATCTTGTTTCCTATTTTACTGAGACAACTAAAGCAATCAGAAGAGACCTTTATCCATCTCCTACCCATATCAGTACTAAATATCTTCTCCCTTTCCTTCTATTTCTATTATTTCTATACATGAACCATCCAAGCTCCTGTCTTTTTCTTTTCTTTCTTTCTTTTTTTTTTTTTTTTTTGAGGTGGAGTCTCACTCTATTGCCCAGGCTGGAGTGCAGTGGTGTGATCTTGGCTCACTGTAACCTCTGCCTCCCTCGATTCTCCTGCCTCAGCCTCCCGAGCAGCTGGGACTACAGGCGCATGCCATCACGCTCGGCTAATTTTTTTTTTTTTTTTTTTTTTTTTTTGAGACGGAGTCTCGCTCTGTCGCCCAGGCTGGAGTGCAGTGGCGGGATCTCGGCTCACTGCAAGCTCCGCCTCCCGGGTTCACACCATACTCCTGCCTCAGCCTCCCAAGTAGCTGGGACTACAGGCGCCCGCCACTACGCCCGGCTAATTTTTTGTATTTTTAGTAGAGACGGAGTTTCACCATGTTGGTCAGGCTGGTCTTGAACTCCTGAGCTTGTGATCCGCCCACCTCGGCCTCCCAGAGTGCTGGGATTACAGGCGTGAGCCACCGCGCCCATCCCCAAACTCCTGTCTAAGGCCAGACCTACACTGGGGCTTTATTAATAGATACCATCCCCTCCCATCAACTCACAAACACTCCTGCAGAGATTGACCCATTTCTCCCCTGCAGTCATCAGTTTTTCTCCTCTGCTCAATCACTCCTTCAGCAGATAAACATGCTACAATTCTCCCAGCTTTAAAACAAAACAGACCCCTAGTGCTCCAACATACCAGTTGAGTTAACACTCATTTGTCTGCTCTTCTTCACTCCAGGGCTCTCTGAAAGAGCTGTTATTATTGTTTCCAGTTCCTCCTCTAGCCCTCCTCTTTCTAAATATACCAGACATATTCCCATTTGCTGTTCCTTCTTCCTACAACACCCCCACCCCATACCTGCAGGACTCACTCCATCACCACATCCGTCTTTGTAAAAATATCACTTCACTGAGGCCTTTTTGCCCTAAAAATTTCATGCACACATACAATCTTTGGCATTCCCTTTCCCCCTCTACTGTTTTTTTTTCCCCTAACACTTATCACCCCCTGATATATTATTTCAATTACTGTTTCTTTTTCTCCACTGACTCCTACCACTAGAATGAAACCTCTATGAGAACAGGGAATTTTATCTGTTACATTCACTGCTATATCCCTGGTAGCTGGCACTCAGTGTTCAATTGATATTTGTTAGTAATTGTCACTTTGTATAGGGACTTTTGTTTCTATGTTATATTTCTGTAGTATTTAAATTTTTCCTTACAACCAACCTTATCCTTTTGTAAGAAGAAAAAAATAATAAAGGTAATTTTTCTAAATTCTCTTAGATACCCTAAGAGATTCCACTATTTTAGCCAGGCTTGAGCCCCTGAAACCAGGCTTCCCAATATGATCATCTTCAGAAATTGGATAAAATTACGTGTGTAAACTGATCACTTCAGAAGCTCTATTATACCATATCTTGCAGTCCTTCATAAGAACTGGGAATTACATAGAGATCTTTGAATCAGTCATCTCCCTTGAGATTGCCAGCAAACCGTAACTAGTCTAGCCTTGGTCTGAGGAGTTATTCTGTCATCCCCTCTCATGGATCTACTTTTGGAGACCACAGTTAAGGTGTTTACCCTGGGAGGTGCTTTGGCATCCAAGAGACGTATTTGTCGTACTTCCAGCATAATGCTCATTGTCACCAGCGTCCTTGACTATCAGTTCCAAGCTCCTGTTTTGACATCTGTGAGTTCAACTCCCACCCACAATTACTGAGAAATCATACACACACACACACACACATACACACACACACACACACACTCTCCACCAAGGAAGACACTGGGGCAGAGTATTTTATAGCACCAGTCACCAGGCATTTATTTAACATGGCAGTGTCAGTGAAATAGAATCCCTTCATTTCTTTTTTCTCCAACATATTTATAGGCCAAAAATGAATTATTATGGTCTGTAATGAGCAATCTCTAATTGAATTAATTCCTCAAGGAGAGAGGGAAGAAAAAAAGCAGACTAAGAAGTACAGAGAACTCTAGACACTAGAAATTCTAGGGATCCCAGAATTATTATTCCTGATCATTTTAGGCTCTAATTCTTCCTTGCTGCCCCAGATCCTAGAACAACATCTACCCCAAGTATTAGGAACACTGAAAAGCAAAAACACCAGATTTTGTGGGTTCTTTCTGTTATTAGTCATAGAATGTGTTCCCATAATTTGGAGGCAATTGGAGCAAGACACAAAAATGCTTATTAGGTTTCCTCTATCATACACATGCTTTCCTATTTTGCTGCAGCCAGTGAAGTCAAGGCTAGAGAATTAGGCTGGGAACAAATAAACTATAGATAACTACCACTACCTGGCCTCCTTTCCCCCACCAGTGTTTCATTATTTAAGAGTGAAAAAAAAAATAGTAACACAGAACAAGCCACTAAATAATGAAGAAAACACCAAGTTAGAGCAGAAAGGTTATGAAATCTAGTATTAACTAATTAGCTTATAATCAGTTGGCTCTCATAAGGCCTATTTACAGGGATATTTTAAAGAAAGTCTGTGATTCCAAGCTGTTAACCCTTTTGATTTATTTTCTATTTATTTTTATTTCAATAGGTTTTGGGGGCACAGGTGGTATTTGATTACATGGATAAGTTCTTTAGTGGTGATTTCTGAGATTTTGGTGCACCCATCACCTGAGAAGTGTATACTGTGCCTAATGTATAGTCTTTTATCCCTCACCCCCTTCCCACCCTTCCTCCCAAGTCCCCGAAGTCCATTCTGTCATTCTTATGCCTTTGCATCCTCATAGCTTAGCTCTAGCTTATAAGTGAGAACATACGAGTTTGGCTTTCCATTCCTGAGTTACTTCACCTACAATAGTAGTCTCCAATTCCATCCAGGTTTCTGCGAATGCCATTATTTCATTAGTTTTTATGGCTGAATAGTATTCCATGGTGTGTGTGTGTGTGTGTGTGTGTGTATGTATGTATGTATGTATGTATGTATGTATGTATGTATGTATGTATCACATTTTGTTTATCCACTCATTGATTGATGAGCATTTGGGCTGGTTCCATAGTTTTGCAATTGCAAATTGTGCTGCTATAAACGTGAGTGTGCAAGTATCTTTTTCATATAATGACTTCTCTTCCTCTGGGTAGATACCCAGTAGTGGGATTGCTGGATCAAATGGTAGATCTACTTTCAGTTCTTTAAGGAATTTTCATACTGTTTTCCAGATTGATTGTACTAGTTTACATTCCCACCAGCAGTGTAAAAATGTTCCCTTATCACCACCATGCCAATATCTACTATTTTTTGATTTTTTAAATTATGGCCATTCTTGCAGGAGTAAGGTGGTATCGCATTGTGGTTTTGATTTGCATTTTGCTGATCGTTAGTGATGTTGAGCATTTTTTCATATATTTGTTGGCCATTTGTACGTCTTCTTTTAAGACTTGTCTTATTTGTGTCCTTAGCCCACTTTCTGATGGGATTGTTTGGTTTTTTCTTGCTGATTTGTTTTGAGTTCTGTGTAGATTCTGGATATTAGTCCTTTGTCAGATGCATAGTTTACAAAGATTTTCTTCCACGCTGTGGTTTGTTATTTCTTTTGCTGTGCAGAAGCTTTTTAGTTTAAGTAAGTCCCATCTATTTATCTCTGTTTCTGTTGCATTTGCTTTTGGGTCCTTGGTCATGAAGTCTTCACCTAAGCCGATGTCTAGAAGGGTTTTTCCGATGTTGTCTTCTAGAGTTTTTATGGTTTCAGGTCTTAGATTTAAGTCCTTGATCCATCTTGAGTTGATTTTTGTGTAAGATGAGAAATGAGGATCCAGCTTCATTCTTCTGCATGTGATTTGCCAGTTATTCCAGCACTATTTGTTGAATAGGGTGTCCTTTCCCCACTTTATGTTTTTATTTGCCTTGTCAAGGATCAGTTGGTTGTAAGTATTTGGCTTTATTTCTGGGTTCTCCATTCTGTTCCATTGGTCTATGTGCCTATTTTGGTGACTATAGCGATATAGTATAGTTTGAAGTCAGGTAATGTGATGCCTCCAGATTTGTTCTTTTGCTTAGTCTTGCTTTGGCTATGTGGGCTCTTTTTTGGTTCCATATAAATTTCAGGATTGTTTTTTCTAGTTTTGTGAAGAGGGATGGTGGTATTTTGACTGGAATTGCATTGAATATGTAGATTGCTTTTGGCAGAATGGTCATTTTCACAATATTGATCCTACCCACCCATCCATGAGCATGCGATATGTTTCCATTTGTTTATGTCATCTATGATTTTTTTGGCAGTGTTTTGTGGTTTTCCTTGCAGAGGTCTTTCACCTCCTCGGTTAGGTATATTCTTATGTATTTTATTTATTTTGTTTTTTTACAGTTATTGTAAAAGGGGTTGAGTTCTTGATTTGATTCTCAGCTTGGTCTCAGTTGGTGTATAGCAGTGCTACTGATTTGTGTACTTTGATTTTATATCCTGAAACTTGACTGAATTCCTTTATCAGATCTAGGAGCTTTTGGATGAGTCTTTAGGGTTTTCCAGGTATATGATCATATCAGCAAACAGCGACAGTTTGACTTCTTCTTTACCTATTTGGATGCCCTTTATTTCTTTCTCTTGCCTGATTGCTCTGACTAGGACTTCCAGTACTATGTTGAATAGAAGTGGTGAAAGTGGGCATCCTTGTCTTGTTCCACTGCTCAGGGGGAGTCCTTTCAACTTTTCCTTGTTCAGTATAATGTTGGCTATGGGTTTGTCATAGATAGCTTTTATTACCTTAAGGTATATCCCTTCTATGCCGATTTTGCTGAGGTTTTAATCATAAAGGGATGCTGGATTTTGTCAAATGCTTTTCCCGCATCTATTTGAAATGATCATGTGATTTTTGTTTTTTATTCTTTTTCTGTGGTGTATCACATTTATTGACTTGTGTATATTAAGTAATCCCTGCATCCCTGGTATGAAACCCACTTGATCATGGTGGATTATCTTTTTAATAGGCTGTTGGATTCAGTTAGCTAGTATTTTGTTGAAGATTTTTGCATCTATGTTCACCAGAGATATTGGTCTGTAGTTTTTTTATGTCCTTTCCTGGTTTTGATATTAGGGTGATACTGGCTTCATAGAATGATTTAGGGAGGATTCCCTCTTTCTCTATATTTTGGAATAGTTTCAATAGGATTGGTACCAATTCTTTGAATGTCTGATAGAATTCAGCTGTGAATCCATCTGGTCCTGGACTTTTTTTTGTTGGCAATTTTTTTTTATTACCATTTCACTCTCTCTGCTTGTTATTGGTCTGTTGAGCTTCTGTTTCTTCCTAGTTTAATCTAGGAGGGTTGTATATTTCCAGGAATTTATCCATCTCTTCTAGGTTTTTCAGTTTGCGTGCATGAAGGTGTTCATAGTAGCCTTGAATGATCTTTTGTATTTTTGTGGTATCAGTTGTAATATTTCCTGTTTCATTTCTAATTGAGCTTATTTGGATCGTCTCTCTTCTTTTCTCGGTTAATCTCTCTAATGGTCTATCAATTTTGTTTATATTTTCAAAGAACCAGCTTTTTGTTTCATTTCTCTTTTGCATTTTTTGTTGTTGTTTGAATTTCATTTAGTTCTGCTCTGATCTTTGTTATTTCTTTTCTTTTGCTAGGTTTGGGTTTGGTTTGTTGTTGTTTCTCTAGTTCCTTGCGGTATGACCTTAGATTGTCTATTTGTGGTCTTTCAGACTTTTTGATGCAGGCATTTAATGCTATGAACTTTAATCTTAGCACCACTTTTGCTGTATCCCCGAGGTTTTGATAGGTTGTGTCACTATTATTGTCTGGCTCAAAGAATTTTTTAATTTCCATCTTGATTTCATTGTTGACTCAACAATCATTCAGAAGCAGATTATTTAATTTCCATGTATTTGCATGGTTTTGAGGGTTCCTTTTGGAGTCGATTTCCAATTTTATTCCACTTTGGTCTGAGAAAGTACTTGATATAATTTCAGTTTTCTTAAGTTACTGAGACTTGTTTTGTGGCCTATCATATGGTCTGTCTTGGAGAATGTTCCATGTGCTGATGAACAGAATGTATATTCTGCAGTTGTTGGGTAGAATATTCTATAAGTATCCATTTAGTCCATTTGTTCTAGGGTATAGTTTAAGTCCATTGTTTGTTTGTTGACCTCCTGATGTGATGACCTGTCTAGTGCATTCAGTGCAGTATTAAAGTCCCCCACTATTATTGTGTTGCTATCTGTCTCCTTTCTTAGGTCTAGTAGTAATTGTTTTATAAATTTGGGAGCTCCAGTGTCAGGTGCATATATATTTAGGATTGTGATATTTTCCACTAGTCCTTTTATCATTATATAATGTCCCTCTTTGTCTTTTTTAACTGTTGTCGCTTTAAAGTCTGTTTTATCTGATATAAGAATAGCTACTCCTGCTCACTTTTGGTGTCCATTTGCATGGATTATCTTTTTCCACCCCTTTACCTTAAGTCTCTGTGAGTCCTTATACGTTAGGTGAGTCTCTTAAAGACAGCAGATACTTGGTTGGTAAATTCTTATCCATTCTACCATTCTGCATCTTTTAAGTGGAGCATTTAGGCCATTTACATTCAACATTACTATTGCCATGTGAGGTACTATTCTATTCATCATATTAGTTGTTGCCTGAATACCTTGGGGGTTTTTTCATTGTGTTATTATTTTATATGCCGTGTGAAATGTATGCTTTAAGGAGGTTCTATTTTGGTGTATTTCGAGGTTTTGTTTCAAGATTTAGAACTTGTTTTAGCAGTTCTTGTAATGCAGGCTTGGTAGTGGTGAATTCTCTCAGCATTGGTTTGTCTGAAAAAGACTTTATCTTTCTTTCATTTATGAAGCTTAGTTTAGTTGGATACAAAATTCTTGGTTGATAATTGTTTGTTTAAGGAGGCTAAAGATATGACCCCAATCCCTTCTAGCTAGTAGGGTTTCTGCTGAGAAATCTGCTGTTAATCTGAGAGGTTTTTCTTTAAAAGTTACCTGATGCTTTTACCTCACAGCTCTTAGGATTTTTTCCTTCATGTTGACTTTAGATAACCTGATGACTGTGCCTAGGCGATGATCTTTTTGCAATGAATTTCTCAGGTGATTTGGATATCTAGATCTCTAGCAACGCCAGGGAAGTTTTCCTTGATTATTCACTCTGTTATTACCTTTTTAAACTACTCAGCCTGTTAGAACTACAACATGAGAAGGCTTTTTAAAAATTGAGATAAAATTCATTTTCTGGACATTTGGGTTGTTTCCACTTTTTGGCAATTATGAATGATGCAGCTGTGAACATTTGTGTATAAGTTTTTGTGTGGACAAGGACAGGCTGTTAACGTATTTAGATTTTTCCAAACAGCTGGCTGGCTTTTGTTAATCAGAAGCACCCTCATGATATACCAGGACCTCCACTTTGATATGTAACTTTTTTTCTGTAGCATCTTCTGAGCAAAATCCTTTGGTGTCACTTCAGAGTGACTCTCTGTCTTTGGTGTCACTTCAGAGTGACTATGCTATCTTTCTGGACCTGCTTCT
This sequence comes from Homo sapiens, assembly GCF_000001405.40. NCBI lineage: Eukaryota > Metazoa > Chordata > Mammalia > Primates > Hominidae > Homo > Homo sapiens. Next base: position 136,017,763 of record NC_000003.12, read on the forward strand.
AACACTAACCTCAATACAGGTCCTCACTTAGCTGAGCTGATTTCCCAGCCTCACTGTGCTATGTTTCTGTCATCCAGATTTTTATAGCTTTGCTGCCTGCATTATTCCAACTGCCTTTCCTACTCTAAGGCCTTAGCTGATGCTATCATCTCAGTCTCCATAACCACATTCAGCTGAGACTGTTGAATGGATTTACATGTTTATATATAAAATAAAGGGCTAGGCCAGGCACAGTGGCTCACACCTGTAATCCCAGCACTTTGAGAGGCTGAGGTGGGCAGATTGCTTGAGCCCAGGAGTTCAGGACCAGCCTGGGCAACATGGCGAAACCCTGTCTCTACTAAAAATACAAAAATTAGCTGGGCACAGTGCCATGTGCCTGTAGTCCCAGCTACTCAGCAGGCTGATGTGGGAGAATAGTTTGAGCCAGGGAGGTGGAGGTTGCAGTGAGCCAAGATCATGCCACTGCACTCCAGCCTGGACAACAGAGGAAGACCCTGTCTCAAAAAAATAAAGGGGTAGACTTACTTTGGTACAACACATTGCATATATAATACTGTTTTTTAACAGTTATACACAAATCAAAATAAGAGACTTCTTCAGACAAATGTTCAAAATTATTTTCTTTGTCCTGTGTAATCAACCCATTTTTTCTTAAAACATCCCATGTAGCTGATTTCCCCAGAAAAAAAGAATATTATAAATCACTATTGTCTTCGTTTTCAAAGGGGGAAGGGCAAGGAATAATAAGAGGGTTCAGAAAGTTCTAAGAAATCTGTCTTGGATTTCAAACTAAGCCTAACAGAATGAATTGTATAAATACAGAATGTGTTGTGTTTCACAGTTTTATTCTCTGTTTCCTACCCAATCTCACCTTCCTTCAGGGTACATTTTAAACTTATTCCTCAGTTTTGTAGGTCCTTTCAGTATAGGGTAAGGGAGCATCTTTTCTCGCTTGGGATATTAGAGGCTATCCTAAAAAAGAAAAAAAATATTTAGTTTTTAGGGTCATAGTGGAGAGGCCAGCTTCTCTTCCATATAACTCTGCCAGAGGGAACCTGTAAAACTCATGCCCAGCAGCCTATCCTACCCGGTTCTTTTTGAGAAAGACTGTCTCCCTTGCCCAGGCATGCTTGTTCTGGAGAAAGATATATGGAATGGTAAGGCAGGAAAGGAACCCCAGACCCAGACCAAGACAGCTGGATCTCAAATTAACAACTGATGTGTTCCAGCCACCCCCACAGCAGAGAGCACCAGTCTTTTGCCTAATGAAGCTCTCTTATCGTTGTCATCCTGAAGACTCAGATTGAGCACATGGTCCAGATAGGACTGCCTGTGTCTTCAGACAGGGAAAGTTCATGAGTGATCTGCAGGCCAAGAAGAGATGCAGGCAGCTGTGCAGGAAGTTCCTACTGGTGGTAATCAGCTAGCTTGTTAGGATGGACTTAATTATATGCTGCAGGGAGCAGGAGAAAATATTTTTTAGTTTATTCCAGAAAGACATTTGGAAAACTTTTACAGTGGCTCTTTCCATTGTAACTGCACACAGCTCCTAATTTTCCACGTGCTCAAACTTAATTTATAACCTATGTGTTTATGATTCTCTATTTTTCCTCATTCTGGTTAGTTCCTCCAGGAGAAATCTGTCACCCCAAAACAGCTTTTCTCTTATAATTCCCAGCCCCATAGATTGTACATTCCCTTGTCATCAAAGCAGAGAGAGAAGAGAGTAGATCACAGATCATATATTTCTCTGTAGTGAAATTCCCCTATGTTTGATCTTTTCCTGGAAAGTCACTCTAAAAACCATATTCTTTGGTGCTATATTCCAGTTGTCATGAACTCCTTGAAACTAACTCGTGTTCTCAGATCCTCTCAGAAACCAAGCATATATACTAATACTTCCATTCAAACACAAGTAAATAAGTAAAAAGCAAATAAACCAACTTCATGCTAGTCTTCCTCTGTCAATAACTCATTGCCACAGACCAGTTCTTTTCTAAGCCCTTTAGGGATCCTGGTCTTTTTGCCTCTGAATTTTTTGGAAAACATTTTGATATATCAAAACTTACCAATTATTTCCTCATCAAAAGACATGAAGAAATATTTTCTTGCTTAAGGGTATAACAACAGGGCAGGCTTTTAACCACTGTTCTGACTTTGAAACTTAGCAGATTTATAGGAAGTAAATGAAATGAAAATATTTCTTGTCCTTTGCTCCAAACCAACATTGTGCTAGAAAGCACAGTAAGAAAGAGACCACATCTTTATCATCTCTCTAGCTTCATATCAAGCAAAGTGTCTGGCATATAAGTGATTATATATAAAAATATTTGTTGAGTAATTGAATGACTATAAAATTAAAATCTAAACTCTTGTCCTCAAGAGTTTAGACACTACTGGAAAATAATGATCAAGTTACAAAATATTACAGTAGAAGCCCTTTTACCTGAACATGATTGAGTTTGATAGTAGGGAATCATAAACTATATGTGTGTGTACTATAAAATGTCTATATAAACATTTTAACTCAGGCATTAATTTATTCTGATGTCTTTTGATAGAGGGTCAAAGCCTTTTTTCTGAGAATGAGTCTCATACATATTTAGAGTTCTGTGACATATTTCTTTGATAAATCACACTCATAATAGGTTTGTTGTCTGATTTGTAGTTTTAGTTTCTTTAGAGAGAGAACATAGTAGTAAAGCAATTTGAATGTAGACACCTTCTAAACTTCAGTGATTTTTCTCTTTCATCCCACCCTTACCTAATTTTACAGCAAAATCTTTTTAGTAGTTTACTTTTACTAAAACTTAGGGTTTTTTTTTAATTTTAGAACAGCTTTTCTTTTCCACGCTTATATTTTGTTAGTTTATGTAATGAATTGAATAATTACTGTGAAAAGTATAACCAGCATAAACAGACTGAGGACAAATGCAGCTGACTCTTAGTAAACACACAACCCAACTACTAAGGTAAGAAATATGAGAGTGTAAGAGAAACTATTAGCCACAAATCTGTGTGTGATGGGCATTAGTTGCTCTGTTTCAGAGGAGAAATGGAGAGCTTTGGCTAAATAAGATAATATGTTAAGTGGAGTTCCTTTGAGAGACGTTACATAGTATTTCACTAAGTGCTGTATATATAAAGTTAAGAATTACAGTAAGGGGACTTAAATAAACAGGAAGCCTTCATGAAATAGCTAAATTTTGAGATGGATCTTGAAAGATGATTAGAATGTATAATTTGAGGAAAGGGAGCATTCTCAGGAAAGGAATGAACCTACTCACCTACAGCCACAGGTTGGTGTTGGGAAGGAGAGGAAATTTAAGGTGTGGTTTAATAGAATAAGCATTAAATTGTAAGTCTAAAGGCCTAGTTGCATTCCTACAAACCTTTTTGACATTTTATTTAGGAGATAAATAATGAGGGAGAAAAAGAGTATTCTAGTCGGGAGTGTAAGGAAAAAATATGGGAAAGCTACCCACCTCAAAGAATTAACATGGAAGCCCAGTGAGAGAGAAAATTGAGAAAATAAGGAACGACTCAGGATGAAGCATAAGACCAGTGGTTTTCAGTTGTAATCCTCTTTCAATCATAGTACGTATCAAAAGCTTTCAGATAAAATTTGATGTGAACAGAAGACTCTGCCACTTAAAAGAAATTCTTTAAAACACAGCTTTAGACATATAAGCCTAATGTATACATTAGAAAGAGTTGTCAGAATGTCTTGAAAAGAAATCAGTGGGAAAAAGCAGACTTAAATTTGTAGGAAACAGTGGAAAACCAAAGAATTTAATTCCCACTAAATTAGACAAAGGTTCAGTAAAAGAGGGTTGTAAGCTATTTTTTTGTTTTAATAATGTTTGGTGTATATTTTCTAGACATAGAAAAATATTGAATGATGTGGTTGATTGAAAATAAATATTGAAATCTAAATATAAAATGTGAGAAAACAGCCCTCTGTATCAATGTGTTCTACATCTAGTTGGAAAATATTTGGGGAAAAAAGTATGGTTGCATATGTATTGAATATGTACAGACTTTTTTTTCTTGTCATTATTTCCTAAACAATAGAGTATAACAGCTATTTACATAATACTTATATTGTATTAAGTATTACAAGTAATCTAGAAATGCTTTAAAGTATATGGGAGAATGTGAGTAGGTTGTATGCAAATATTACACATTTTATGTAAGAGACTTGAGCAGCTGTGGATTTTGGTCCGTGGAGGGTCCTGGAACCAATCCCCACAGTTACCAAAGGATGACTTTACTTTATGATTCACTTACAAATAACTATATGAGGCAGATATTTAATATATGATGAAATAATAGGTATTTTAAAAATCTTAACTGATTAAAGCTTCTCAAAGGAAGAAAACTTACAAATTCAGTATGTAGTATGTCATTGCTGTTTGATCATCTTTTGTCCTTTTTTTAGCCAAATTTCACTTGCTTATATGTATCTAAAACTTTTCTATGGCATTCAGTTGTTCTACTTTCTTAATACTTCCAAGAACAAATTTTCAAATATGTTCATCATCAGTTCAAGAAAATGTTTGATAACTATGATAGTCTTTTGCTTTAAAAAATTTTACATCTGAGATCAACAGATCTTTTTGTAAATTCCCATTTGAGAATGAAAGTTTCTGTTTTTCCTCTTGTTTTGACTAGAGAGATCTGGAAAGATTTGGGTATTTACTTCCCTTCAAATAAAAAATAAAAAACTATTCTTAATAGTTTCAAATTCGAAGTTCAGTAGCCTGTTCTTTTTTTTATAAAATATTAAAGAGAAAAAGCCGAAAATGTTCTACATACTCTTTTTCTTCTAGTTTGAGAAGAAACTGCTTTATGTGGATTGACACCTCACATACCCTGAGTTTAAGAAGTTAGCATTATCTGAGAAGGTACTATTTTTAGGTCCAGCTGTAATGTTTCTAACTTTGGTACACAGAGTAGTGGGTGCTCCCTTTCCCAGAAGGCTCCATATTCTCAACATGTGCAGGTCAATTTGACATAAAGCTACCAACAAGGAGCAACAGGCCCACTGCAGGCTGTGTTTATAACTTGAAAATTATGAGCAGGTATTGGGAGCCACAGACTGTATTTGGGAACCAGCTGCATGTCAGGACAAGCATAGATTGTGGTCTGTGGAGGCTGGGAGAGCACAATGCTTGAATTTCATTTCTTTGGGAGATAAGAAGAAAAAATACCTTCCTACCTGACAAGATTGACAACTTGCTAAATCTGATTATCTTCAGAAGTGTGCTGGACAGTTGCGAAGTAAACATTTACTTTTCAAAGATGATGATCAAGGAAACATCTCTACGAAGGGACCCGGATTTAAGGGGAGAGCTAGCTTTCCTGGCAAGGGGCTGTGATTTTGTTCTCCCTTCACGGTTTAAGAAGCGGCTGAAGTCATTTCAGCAGACACAGGTTTGAAATTTGGGTGTTTTGTTTTGTTTTGTTTTGTTTTGTTTTGAAAATATTTTTATTACTAATAAAACCATCCAGTGAACTAACTCACAAGTAATTTTACAGCTCCCTTGTATCTTGATATTAGATCAAGGAATTAATGTGTGTCCTCTATTCAGCTATTTGCAGAAAGCTATTTGCAGAGGGATTCCAACAGGTTTAAAAATAGACCTTCTGGACCTGGAGTACAGTACTCACATTTTTCTCTTGTAGAGAGGGAATCCAGTTTTAGAGACAACAAATACAACTTAATGAACATTTTACAATTTAGGTAGAAAATTACCAGAATTTTTCATAGAAATATCCTTGAGAAACTAGAATTTCTGTATTAAAAGCCTTGTTTGCACTTTGAATCAATAGATTATATATTAGCGTGCATACACATCTGTAACAAATGTTTGTTTAAAAAGTATGTTAATCCTGGTAATCTTTTTTTAAAGCAAGACGTATTTGTCTATATAGACAATTGTGTATGTGTGTGTCGTAATGTATGTAGATAACAAAGACTGGTGGTTACTTCTAGATCATTAAAAATGTCTTCCCTAAGCAAGCTGTGCAATTGAGTCATTTCTGCCTATGATGAGTACTTTGCAGAGTCCCTACTTTCTTGCTTAAAACCTATGGCAGTGTTTCACCAAACAAGTGCCTAACATTGACTACAATATAAATCAAGGACTGTACAAATGCTGGCCATCCAAAATCCAGCAAGAAACCATAGTTTTATGGTTATTCTGACCCAGAATAATCTCAAATTATTTGGGTAAATATGAAATTGCTTTTTTGTAGGTCAAAAATGATCAAATATTGGAAATGCTACAGTGACATAATAGCACAAGGATACTATTCTGAATGAATATCTAAATGATACTGTGTTTATAGGGAAAGACAAATGGAGAATTGAAGTATTTTACCCAGCTAATTCTATTCTAATGCTGCTCCTAGACTGGACTGAAACCACTGTATCCAAAGTGAGCAGATGCTAAACTTGCTAGTAAATCTGGCAGAATTTATGTTACTAGGTTTTCTTCCATAATGTTTGTAAACTACCAGTTTTATTCAGCTACTTTAAGGTTTAAATTATATATCTCCTGTAGAACTCAATAGAAAGTAAATTGAGTATCCAAAAGCTCAAAATAAATGCATTATTTTAATGTTATTTTCCTTTTAAATATTAACATCAGTTTTATTAAATATGGAATTGACCAGTGGATTAATAGTTGCCTATCAGTGAATTGCTCTGTGTTAAGTACACTAAGAAAAGCAGAACAGAATATTTTATAATCAGATATTTTCCCATTCAAATAAAATCTTTGGCAGCCAGTGTTCTGAATATCACTTATTTCTGTCAAAGCAAAAGCATAGAGTTAACATTGAAGACCTTGCTGTAAACCTTTCCCACTAGTATGTATTCATGAGACTCTCAGGTTTCATCCCTGCTGGCACCAGTGGTCTTAATTCTATGGGCATAACTGCCCTAGATGTGACACCACAGAAAACATTGGTGATTGTACACCTGAACCTCACAAATCTCTTTCAGCATAGAATAATGGAAAAGGAATGACACTAATATAAATGGTCTAGGTAAAGCCCCTGAAGAATTCTGTGCCTTACTTTAGAATTTTAAGAACACTTTGAAGAATAATAATAATTTATTGACTTACGGGACTGTGTAATATTTACAGATTTAGCATTAAGGCAGAGAGAAATGTTTATTGAAAATGGATTGTCAATTTGTTAACTCAAAAGTGGTTTGTAAACTTCAAATTGCTTTACATATGCAAATGATTATTTTATTATTGAATCTGAAAGATTATGCCAAATTATGCTTCATCTAATTTTTTGAGAATCTCATCCTTTGGTCTTGTCATTCATCTTCTTACATGATAGATGGATCTCTGCCCAGCACTGTTCTAAACCTTTTACCTATATTACATCTTGTAATTTCCTTTAATCCTCACAACAACCTTCTAAGAAGTAGACATTGTAATTTCTGTTTTATTATTGAAATTCCAAAAGGTTAAGTAACCATTTTGAGGTCACAGAGTAGTAAGCCATCAGTGTTTTAAGTTTTTCATATTTCATTGGTATCACTTCCCTTTGTTCTGTTTCTTCCTTGACTATTGCTTTATATGGGTGACATCCTGATACTGTAGCAAAGACATGGTGTGACAACTGGCCTTCATATCCCTAATAGTCTTAATATATGAGCAGACTCCATTCTGTGTATTAATGTCAGATATTAACACAGGGAAATTGGGCTATTATGACAAAAATAGGAGATTTAACCATTTTCATATATTTATATGAATAAATCTTATCTCTTTATAAAACTCACATTTTTAAGGGTAGCTAAAATTTTTATCATGATTTTTAAAATTATGTTATAAACCTATATGTTAAGAAATATGATAAATATATTTCTTACAGATATATCATTGTTCAAACTTTAGAGATGGCATTAGGGTAATTTAAGGAAGAAATTTGAATAATACTTTGTGTTCATAATACCTATACAATGTATTTAGCTAGTCAACAGTTGTGTTCATCTTTCATACTTTATGTAGCATCTAATACAGTACCATGCTCATGAGCCTTGATAATTTGGCCATTAATTAAGAGTGGAAATTAGAACTATGAAAATCCTCATGGAATCTTTTTTGCTTTTTCTGGTAAGAATCTCAGAACTAAATTTAGTCTTTATTGGTAAGATAAATTTCTACCTGAATAATGGTGTACCTCCCCTCCCTTTTTCCTAAATCATGGGCAATCTTAATTTCCTCGTTGCCTCCCTGCCACTCTTTACTGACCTTTCTAATGTCTCTTTATAGTATGCCACATCAAATCATTTTTTTAAAAGAAGAAGAATATAAACTGTAAATGAGTTATTAAACTGTAAAGGGAGTTTGGTTGTGATGAAATTAATGACCATGGTTTTTGCCTATTGGAGCAAACCACAAATAAGATACATGTGTATCTTGCAGAAAATGGCGTGGCCCTAGTGGCAAATAAATCAGCCAGGTAGGGGACATTTCAGAACTAAAATGCTTTAATTTTCTTAACAAAGATTTTCTCAGCATCAAGGGCTGGCAGTGATTCTACCTCAGCAAAGTCAAACTAGAGAAGGTAAAAGGAGCCCCTTCCCCAAATACTTTTCGGATATATATATTTAAAAGGAACTTGTTTTTGCCTGTTGAAAGAGAGGTAAAAGTCACAGAAAGACCAAGAACTGTCTTCAAAAAGAATGTATTAATCCAGTTCCAACAGAGTGAGAATACACCTTGAGATTCTTAATATATCAACTAACATTGCTCTTTGAGTCTTTTGAAATGTCTGCCAAATAGTTGATGGAGAAACCTATGTATTTTTTTAAACGTAAATCTATGTAAACTTGAGTACTGGCAGATAATTAATAAATTAATTAATTTAGTGCAGATAAGCATTCCCTAGAAACATGCTTACCACCTTTAAGAGTACAGTGAGCCCTTAATCTCTCCTGTCTCTGATTGTGGTTTCTTATATTGCTGGTGAGAATTTTCAGTAAATGAATACTGTTTAAATTTTTTGTGTCTCATAATCTTATTTTTCTTTTAGATTCAAAATAAACCAGAAAAGAAACCTGGAACACCACTCCCACCTCCAGCCACCTCTCCAAGTAGTCCCCGACCTCTCTCCCCGGTTCCCCATGTGAATAATGTTGTGAATGCGCCATTGTCCATAAACATTCCACGGTTCTACTTTCCTGAAGGACTCCCAGATACCTGTAGTAATCATGAACAAACTCTAAGCAGAATTGAAACTGCTTTCATGGATATTGAAGAACAGAAAGCAGACATTTATGAAATGGGGAAAATTGCAAAGGTAATGTAACTACTAAATGATTTACAATCTCCCCTTCTTTAGAAACCCTGATCCCCTCCCCTTCTCTAGAAACCCGGATCCCACCCCCCTTCACTGCCTCTTTGCTCTGTTTTTAAGCATGCATGGAATTGTTGTTGTTTTTCCCATAGTGATCTTCCATTTCAACCTCCTATTTAATATAAGAATCCCTTCCAAGACATCACCAACTCATAAATTCATTCTCTGCTTGAATGCTTTCAGAGACTAGAAGCTCTACCTTGCCAGGCAGCCTGGCCTATTGTCAAATACTTGTTTGTTAGAAAATTTTTCCTTGTGCTGAATAGGAATCTGATTTTTAGTCTCACCCATTGATCATAACTGCCCTAATGCCAGACAAGGAAGCATTAGACCATCTCAATACAGTCATTTTACCCAGAAATAAATGGATTTGACAATAGGAAGCAAGTCTTTGGAACTTTCAAATATATCCAACTGCTTCTGAGTTAAAATCTTATCCCCCTAATGTCAGGACTACTCTGACTTGATTCTGTGCCTCCAGCCTCCTCCCAGAACAGTTAATACTTAGCATAACCATCAGATTATATTTGATTATGCCATTTCCCAATTTAGCAATATTCAAGAATTCCCACCTTCTATAGCAGTGCTTTGTTTTGTTTGGGCTTTATTTTTATTATGCATAAATATTGAAGAGTCAGGTCACACTTCAGGCTTTAGCAGTAGTTTAGGCTGTGCTTCAAGAGGCAGAGGGGTTTAGAAGGCTAAGGGCTGCATGGAGGCAAGTAGGAGACCAAGTGAGAATACCTAAGAGCCCATGCACACTTCCACTGAGAAGGGTTCCCCTGCTTTCAGGAGTAATGTTAAAAAGTTGGAAAACTACCATTCTTCAGGATAAACCTCAAACTTCTCTTCCTGGCATTCCATGGCTTCCACAGCCTGGCCCCAGAGTTTCTTTCCAAACTTGCCTAAAATTTTCCTGTATAAGCGTGACCCTCTTGCCCTCTCATAGGCACACCTCTGCATTTGGGCTCTCAGAGTTCTCCCTCCAGAGTGGGCTTCCCCTCCTGCCAACCTCCTCAGCATCCACTTTGTTGAAGACCTAGCTTCCATTGTGTATTATTGGAGAAGTCCCTGAACCCTCACTTGTCATGCCCTGCCCTACCTCTGACCTCACAGAGCATTTGTCATTGCTGTTAAATGATATGTAACTAGAGTGATTTTAAAGGAAATGAAAAGGAATTCTTTGTTCTCTTCCTTCATTCCCCCTTCTTAAAAATTGCTTGTTGATACCCTAGATGCTTCTAATGAAAAACAAACTCATTCCAGAAATAAGAGCTTATCTGTTTCCATTCCATTTTACTTATGAGGGAACTGCAGTTCTACAAGTACTTACCTGAAGTCACAGAGCTAGTTCATGCCGGGAGACAAGTTGTCTAACTTCTAGCACAGTGCTGTTTCTACATATGTCATCTCCCTGGACATGTGGTAACAGTAACTAACTTCCAGTTAATAGCCACCCAAATATATTACAAGTTCTTTAAGGCATTCAGGGTTTTCTTACCCAATTCTTTTAGAGGTGGCTATTGCGTTAGATGACAGAACCCTGATGATAAAATTTCTGAATGGGCTGGAACTATGGCTGTAAATCCAAAAGATAAAATTTAACAAGGCTGAATGAAATCTGCATTTGGAGGTAATATGGTAACTACATAAATGCCAACAGGGTTGTTGTTGTTGTTTTTTGTTGTTGTTGTTTTGTTTTGTTTTGTTTTTTGAGACAGAGTTTCACTCTTGTTGCCCAGGCTGGAGTGCAATGGCGCTATCTCGGCACACCACAATCTCCACCTCCCAGATTCAAGCGATTCTCCTGCCTCAGCCTCCCAAGTAGCTGGGATTACAGGCATGCACCACCATGCCCGGCTAATTTTTGTATTTTTAGTAGAGATGGGGTTTCTCCATGTTGGTCAGGCTGGTCTCAAACTCCCGACCTCAGGTTATCCGCCCACCTCGGCCTCCCAAAGTGCTGAGATTACGCCAACAGGGTATTTCTAACACGAGAGCAATTTGTGTGAAAGAGACAGAAGGTTTCATGGATTGCCTCAGGTAAGCAGACAAAGAGAAACTTTCCAGATTAGGGCATAGTAGTTCCCTGGTACAGTGCTGAGGTCATCATGTCTGGAGAGCCCTTCTTCCTCTGAATATTCCCAACTGCTGACTGAGGAGCCCATTCTCCTGTGTCTTTGTACTGCTCTGCCTCCACATCCTTTATGGTCTGGCCTCCCATTCCTGTGGCATGGTAGCCCTGCCTTGCTCTGTGGCTCGGGGCCTTGCTAGCACTCCACAGATTCAGTGAGAGGAGAGCAGAAAGCCTAAAGACTCCACAGTGCTCAAGGGAGGTGTCAAAAAGAATATAGTCAAGGCAGGATAGAGGTCTCTGGAAGGTGGGGAGCCGGAGGAACGACTTTGCCATTTATGTGCAGTGAGAATCAGTCTGTATGTGGCATCAGAAAAAAACAGCAGTGTTGAAACTGACAGATAACATGGAGAAGTTTAAAAAGATAGAAAACTAATTTGTTTAGCCATAGGGACAGTCATTTACGTAACAATTTGCTACTTATACCTAATAATCGTGGTGCAATAGCCATTATACATATATATGTCTGATTAACTTGTCTGAATTATACTTCATTATAGCCCTAAATTCTATTCATGGGCACCAAGCCTTTTTGTTCATTGCTCTTAGATCTTAATTGTCAGTTCAGGTAGCAAAGTAAACTGCACATACCTTTAAAAAGTTAAAACCAACACTGCATTTTTATAAAATGAGGATGCGTGGCCAGGCACAGTAACTCATGCCTATAATCCCAGGACTTTGGGAGGTCGAGGCAGGAGAATCGCTTGAGCCTGGGAGTCCAAGACCAGCCTGGGCAACATAGTGAGACCCCATCTCTACAGATAATAATTTTTTAAAAATTGCCTGGGTGTAGTGACATGTGCCTGTGGTCCTAGCTACTCAGGAGGCTGAGGCAGGAAGATCACCTGAGCTCAGGAGGTTGAGGCTACAGTGAGCCATGATCATACCACCACACTCCAGCCTGGGTGACAGAGTGAGAACCTGTCTCAATAAAAAGTTGGGGCGGGGGGGATGTGTATATAATTACCTGGGAAGTTGAGGGGGATGTGTATATAATTACCTGAAAAGATATCTTGAGTGTGTCAGTTTGTTTTTTTTGCCTCTTTATTCTTAAAATTGTTTATTTAAAAGTTGATTTAATCATGTCTTCCAGTTAGCTAATTCTCTTTTTTTCTAATTTTATTTCCATGGTTTGTTGGGAAACAGGTGATGTTTGGTTACACGAGTAAGTTCTTTAGTGGTGATTTGTGAGATTTTGGTGCATCCGTCACCCAGGCAGTATACACTGCACCCTATTTGTAGTGTTTTATCCCTCACCCCTTCCCACCCTTTACCCCTTAGTCCCCAAAGTCCATTGTGTCATTCTTATGCCTTTGCATCCTCATAGCTTAGCTCCCACTTATGAGTGAGAACATATGATGTTTGGTTTTCCATTCCTGAGTTACTTCACATGGAATAGTCTCCAATCTCATCCTGGTCACTGCGAATGCCATTAATTCATTCCTTTTTATGGCTGAGTAGTATTCCATCACATATATATATATATATATATGTATGTATGTATGTATGTATGTATGTATGTATGTATGTATGTATACACACACACACACACACACATGCCCCAGTTTATCCATTTGTTGATTGATGGGCATTGGGTTGGTTTCACATTTTTGCAATTGCGAATTGTGCTGCTATAAACATGCATGTACAAGTATCTTTTTTTACAGTGACTTCTTTTCCTCTGAGTAGATACCCAGTAGTGGGATTGCTGGATAAAATGGTAGTTCTACTTTTAGTTCTTTAAAGAATCTCCACACTGTTTTCCATAGTGGTTATACTAGTTTACATTCCCACCAGCAGTGTAGAAATGTTCCCTGTTCACTGCAGCCATGCCAACATCTACTGTTTTATTTTGTTTTGTTTTTTCAGGGGTAAGGTGGTATCACATTGTGGTTTTGCAGGGGTTAAGGTTCTTCTTGGAGGGGTAAGGTGGTATCGCATTGTGGTTTTGATTTGCATTTCCCTGATCATTAGTGACATTGAACATTTTTTATATGTTTATTGGCCATTTGTATATCTTCTTTTGAGAATTGCCTATTCATGTCATTAGCCCACTTTTTGATGGGATTATTTTTTTCTTGTTGATATGAGTTCATTGTAGATTCTGGATATTAGTCCTTTGTCAGATGTATAGATCTTGAAGACTTTTTCCCACTCTGTGGGTTGTCTGTTTACTTGCTGACTGTTCCTTTCACCATGCAAAACCTCTTTATTTTAATTAAGTCCTAGCAATTTATCTTTGTTTTTGTTACATTTGCTTTTGGGTTCTTGGTCATGAAATCTTTGCCTAAGCCAATGTCTAGAAGGGTTTTCCCATTGTTATCTTCTAGAATTTTTATAGTTTCAGGTCTTAGATTTAAGTCCTTAGTCCATCTTGAGTTGATTTTTGTAAAAGGTGACAGACGAGGATCAGTTTCATTCTCCTACATGTGACTAGCCAATTATCCCAGCACCATTTGTTTGAAAAGAGTATGCTTTCCCTGCTTTATGTTTTTGTTTACCTTGTCAAAGATCAGTTGGCTGTAAGTATTGGGCTTTATCTCTGTGTTCTCTATTCTGTTCCACTGGTCTATGTGCCTATTTTTATAACAGTACCATGCTGTTTTGGTGACTATGGCCTTATAGTATAGTTTGAAATCAGGTAATGTGACACCTCTAGATTTATTCTTTTTGCTTAGTCTTGCGTTGGCCATGCGGGCTCTTTTTTGGTTCTATATGAATTTTAGAATTGTTTTTTCTAATTCTGTGAAAAATGTTGATGGTATTTTTATAGGAATTGTGGTGGGAATTGCATTGAGTCTGTAGATTGCTTTTGGCAGAATGGTCATTTTCACAATATTGATTCTACCCATCCATGAGCATGGGATGTGTTTCCATTTGTTTGTGTCATCTGTGATTTCTTTCAGCAGTGGTTTGTGGTTTTACTTGTAGAGGTCTTTCACCTCCTTGGTTAGGTATATTGCTAAGTATGTTTTTTGTTTGTTTGTTTGTTTTTTGCAGCTGTTGTAAAAGGGGTCGAGTTCTTGATTTGATACTCAGCTTGCTCGTTGTTGGTGTATAGAAGAGCTACTGATTCGTGTACATTAATTTTGTCTTCGAAAACTTTGCTGAATTATTTTATCAGTTCCAGGAGTTTTCTGGAGGAGTTTTTAGGATCTTCTGGGTAAACGATCATATCATCAGCAAACAGCGAGAATTTGACTTTCTCTTTTTTTTTTTAATTAATTAATTTATTTATTTATTTTTTTTTTTTCCTGAGACGGAGTCTCGCTCTGTCGCCCAGGCTGGAGTGCAGTGGCTCAATCTCAGCTCACTGCAGACTGCAAGCTCTGCCTCCCGGGTTGACACCATTCTCCTGCCTCAGCCTCCCAAGTAGCTGGGACTACAGGCACCCACCACCATGCCCAGCTAATTTTTTGTGTTTTTAGTAGAGACGGGGTTTCACCATGTTAGCCAGGATGGTCTCGATCTCCTGACCTCGTGATCTGCCCGCCTCGGCCTTCCAAAGTGCTGGGATTATAGGCGTGAGCCACCACACCCGGCCGACTTCCTCTTTATTGATTTGGGTGCCCTTTATTTCTTTCTCTTGTTTGATTGCTCTGACTAGGACTTCCAGTACTATGTTGAAGAAGAGTAGTAAGAGTGGGCATCCTTGTCTTGTTCCAGTTCTCAGAGGGAATGCTTTCCACTTTTCCCAATTCAGTATTATGTTGGCTGTGGGCTTGTCATAGATGGCTTTTATTACATTGAGGTATGTCCCTTGTATGCCAATTTTGCTGAGAGTTTTCATCATAAAGGGATGCTGGATTTTATCAAATGCTTTTTCTCCATTTATTGAGATGATCATGTGATTTTGGTTTTTAATTCTGTTTTTGTGGTGTATCACATCTATTGACTTGCATATGTTAAACCATCCCTGCATCCCTGATATGAAACCCACTTAATCATGGTGGATTATCTGTTTGATATGTTGTTAGATTCAGTTAGCTAGTATTTTGTTAAGGATTTTAGCATCTGTGTTCATCAGGGATATTGGTCTGTAGGTTTTTGTTTGTTTGGTTGGTTATGTCCTCCTTTCCTGGTTTTGGTATTAGGGTGATGCCGGCTTCATAGAATGAATTAGGGAGGGTTCCCTGTTTCTCTGTCTTGTGGAATAGTGTCAATAGGATTGGTACCAATTCTTCTTTGAATGTCTGGTAGAATTCGGCTGTGAATCCGTCTGTCCTTGACTTTTTTTGTTGGTAATTTTTAAACTACCATTTCAATATCACTGCTTGTTGCTGGTCTGTTCAGGGTATCTAATTCTTCCTGATTTAAGCTAGAAGGGTTGTATCTTTCCAGGAATTTATTCATCTCTTCTAGGTTTTCTAGTTTATGTGTGTAAAGGTGTTCATAGTAACCTTGAATGATCTTCTGTATTTCTGTGGTGTCAGTTGTAATATCTCCTGTTTTGTTTCTTATTGAGCTTATTTGGATTTTCTCTCTTCTTTTCTTAGTTAGTCTTGCTAATGGTCTATCAATTTTATTTATCTTTTCAAAGAACTAGCTTTTTGTTTCATTTATTTTTTGTATTTTTTTTCTTTTGTATTATTTTTTTCAATTTCATTTAGTTCTGCTCTGATCCTGGTCATTTCCTTTCTCCTGCTGGGTTTGGGTTTGGTTTGTTCCATTCTTGTTTCTCTAATTCCTTGAGGTGTGACCTTAGATTGTCTGTTTGTGCTCTTTCAGACTTTTTTTCTTTTTCTTTTTCTTTTTTTTTTTTTTTGAGACAGAATCTCTCTCTGTTGCCAGGCCGGAGTGCAGTGGCGTGATCTTGGCTCACTGCAGCCAGCACCTCCTGGGTTCAAGTGATTCTCCTGCCTCAGCCTCCTGAGTAGGTGTGACTACAGGTGCGCACTACTACACCCAGCTAATTTTTGTATTTTTTAGTAGAGACAGGGTTTCACCATGTTTGCCAGGATGGTCTCGACCTCTTGACCTCATGAACCACCGACCTCGGCCTCCCAAAGTGCTGGGATGATGGGCGTGAGCCACTGCGCCCAGCCCAGACTTTTTGATGTAGGCGTTTAGGGCTATGAACTTTTCTCTTAGCATTGCCTTTGCTGTGTCCCAGAGGGTTTGATAGGTTGTGTCACTATTGTCATTCAGTTTGAAGAATGTTTTAATTTCCATCTTGATTTCATTTTTGACCCAGTGATCATTCAGGAGCAGGTTATTTAATTTCCATGTATTTGCATGGTTTTGAGGGTTCCTTTTGGAGTTGATTTCAGGTTTTATTCCACTGTAGTCTGAGAGAGTGCTTGATATAATTTCAACTTTCTTAAATGTATTGAGGCTCGTTTTGTGGCCTCTTCTATGGTCTATCTTGGAGAAAGTTCCATGTGCTGTTGAATAGAATGCATATTCTGCAGTTGTTAGATGGAATGTTCTGTATATGTCTATTAAGTCCATTTGTTCCAGGGTATAGTTTAAATCCATTGTTTGTTTATTGACTTTCTGTCTTGACCTGTTTAGTGCTGTCAGTGGAGTACTGAAGTCCCCCACTCTTGTTGTGTTAAACTGTCTGTCTCATTTCTTAGGTCTATTAGTAATTGTTTTATAAATTTGGGAGCTCCAGTGTTAGTGCATATATGTTTAGGATTGTGGTATTTTCCTGTTGGAAAAGGCCTTTTATCATTATGTAATGTCCCTCTTTTTCTTTTTTAACTGTTGTTCCTTTAAAGTTTGTCTGATATAAGAATAGCCACTCCTCACTTTTGGTGTCCATTTGCCTGAAATGTCTTTTTCCACTCCTTTACCTTAAGTTTGTGCAAGTCCTTATGTGTTAGGTGAGTCTCTTGAAGGCAGCAGATAATTGGTTGGTGAATTCTTATCAATTCTTCAATTCTGTATCTTTAAGTGGAGTATTTAGGCCATTTACATTCAACATTAGTAGTGAGATATGAGGTACCATTCCATTCATCATGCTATTTGTTTCCTGTATATCTTGGTTTTTTGTTTTTGTTTTTTAAATTGCATTTTTGTTTTATAGGTCCTGTGGGATTTATGCTTTAAAGAGGTTCTGTTTTGGGTGTTTCCAGGATTTGTTTCAAGATTTAGAGCTCCTTTTATCAGTTCTTGTAGTGGTGGCTTGGTAGTGGCGAATTCTCTCAGCATTTGTTTTTCGGAAAAAGACTATCTTTTCTTTACATATGAAGCTTAGTTTTGCTGGATACAAAATTTTGGCTGATAATTGTTTTGTTTGAGGAGGCTGAAGATAGGGCCGCAATTCCTTCTAGCTTGTAGGGCTCTGCTGAGAAATCTGCTGTTAATCTGATAGGTTTTCCTTTTTAGGTTACGTAGTACTTTGGTGTCACCACTCTTAAGATTCTTTCCTTTATCTTAACTTTAGATTACCTGATGAGAGTGTGCCTAGGCAGTGATCTTTGTGTGATGAATTTCCCAGATGTTCTTTGTGCTTCTTGTATTTGGATGTCTAGGTCTCTAGCAAGGCTGGGGAAGTTTTCCTCAATTATTCTCCCAAGTATGTTTTCCAAACTTTAAATTTCTCTTCTTCCTCAGGAACACCAATCAATCTTAGGTTTGGTCGTTTAACATAATTCTTGACTCCTTAGAGGCTTTGTTCATATTTTCTTTTTTTTTTCTTTGTCTTTGTTGGATTGGGTTAATTTGAAGACCTTGTCTTTGAGCTCTGAATTTCTTTCTTCTGCTTGTTCAGTTCCATTGCTGAGACTTTCCAGAGCATTTTGCGTTTCTATAAGTGTGTCCATTGTTTCCTGAAGTTTTGATTGTTTTTTATTTATGCTATTTCCTTGAATATTTTTCCCTTCACTTGTATCATTTTTTGGATTTCCTTACATTGGGCTTTGCCTTTCTCTGGTGCCTCCCTGATTAGCTTAATAACTAACCTTCTGAATTCTTTTTCAGGTAAATCAGGGATTTCTTCTTGGTTTGGGTCCATTGCTGATAAGCTAGTGTGATTTTTTGAAGGTATTAAAGAACATTGTTTTGTCATATAACCAGAGTTGGTTTTCTGGTTCCTTCTCATATGGGTAGGCTCTGTCAGAGGAAAGGTCTAGGGCTGAAGGCTGTTAGTCAGATTCTTTTGTCCCACAGGGTGTTCCCTTGATTTAGTACTCTCCCCCTTTTCCTATGGATGTGGCTTCTTGAGAGCCAAGCTGTAGTGATTGTTATCTCTCTTCTGGATCTAGCCGCCCAGCAAGTCCAGGCTCTGGACTGCTACTGGGGGTTGTCTGCACAGCGTCCTGTGATGTGAACCCTCTGTGGGTCTCTCAGCTGTGTATACCAGCACAGTATTTGGGGTGCCTCTTGGGTCCCACAGGAACAGTCCGCTTCCTTCAGGGGGTCTGTGGGTCTTCTCAGGTTTCCTGATTTATTCCTGCAGTTGTTCTGGAGCGAAAATTCTCACTGCAAGCCTCCACACACTGCTCTGTCTGTCCCAAGTTGGAGCTGCAGTCTAGTCCTGCCTCCCGTCCACCATGATCCCCTCAGTCCTCAGAGACTTTTTATTACTCCTAATTCTCTTTTAATTTAGCTTTTACTTGGCTATTGCAGTCTATTAGTACTCACTAAGTCATCCTTATTTTCGACAGTTCTTTACTATGCATGCAAGTCTTTTCTGGTACCAGGCAGTGAGCTCTGTGTCTCCAGCACTTACTGTTCATATTCTTATGATAGGTTGGCATAGGAAAGAGGAGAAGAGAGGCAACCTTTAAGGAGTAAGGAGGAGAGAGTTTGTTAGAGCAATAAATGAATGTTCTTATGGATTCTTGTAGTTTATAAAGTTATTTGGAAGACCAGCTTGAGTTTGCCGCTTACTCTTAGTGGCACTCAAGTGTAGCTGTAAAGACTGGGATCTGTTTTTAAGTGCCTAGAAAACTCTGTGTTTATGGAATCTGCATCTGTTGGTGAAGTTTAGCTCATTCATCTTAGACCTCAAACAGCCCTGAAGAACTTAATGCTTACATCTGGTTAAATTCTCAGTGTGTAGTTTGTACGTTTTTCCACAGCTTTAAGTAATGATAGAGAAGAAAAGAATAGAGAATGAATCTCAGAGAAATGAAAGCAACTTAGGAACAGAAACAGAGAAACAGTAAGAAATGCATTTTTCAGAGACTGGGCCAAAGGATTCATCATGGAGTTTTAACTTCTAGCAGAAAGTTGAGGAAAAGGAATAAGACTCTTTTCTGAACCATACAAAGCCCCGCAGCTCCTGTCTTCTGGCTGACATAGCACCATCTTTACCCATCACACCTGTGGCCTGGAAGGTAGCCTCTCTGTACCTGAATTTCTTCATCTGTAAAATGGGATTAAAAAAATCACTGCCCTCATCTATGTGAGGATCACGTGAAGGCCAAATGAAATTACAAGCCTGAGACATCTTTAAATGTTGAAAGAAGATTACAAACATTGGGTAATCATCCTCTCCTATGTGTATCATTAGACAACCTTGCTTTGGATTATTTGTTTTGTTGGCCATTCTTAGATCAAATCGTAGGTGTTGATCAAGTTTTCTTTGCTCCAGAACTTTGATTACCATATATTGACTCGCCTCCCCCTCTAAAAATAAGTTTCCTAAATCTATTTTCTGTATCTCTGTGTATACCCACTTGCTATCCACTCTTCCTTTGTAAAAAAAAAAACAAAAACAAAATGTCAGTATTCACACTTCACACTTCAACAAGAAAAAGCTTGTTCTCTCTTCTATTAATAAAAGTGCTATTTTCTTGCCTTCAGATTAATACCATTTACTGTTTAGGTTCTTATTGATCTCCTGGCTCCTTTTACCTTAAATCTTTGATTTTTAAGCAGATGCAGGCTAGCATACTTTTTTTAATAGAGTGTAATGTCCATAGCCCTTACCATTCTGCCTTTCCCATTTTTTCCCTTTGTCATTTTTCCAAGGGCATAATACCCTCCTGCTGTATAACACTTGGCTACTCAGGGTACCCCACTATGAGAACAATAGGCTGACCTTTTCCAGTCTACTTCAGAACATCTTTGTTCTGTACCCTGTCTCTGAGGATTTTGCCTCTGGGTCATAATAAGTTTATTAATCTTCAGAGACTTAATCCTCCTTATGAGCTGGTGTATATCCATTTTAATAGGAGTCTTCTGGAGAAAAGACTGTAAGAGAATGAAATTTGCTTAGTTAGTGGAAGTTACCCCACAGAAGGTGGTAAGCACACAGCCCCTGGAAGTGTTTCTGATCAGGAAGTTAAAAGATTCCTGATCCCTTCCAGTTCTGAAAAATTCATGAGTGACTCTAATGGTGGGAGTTTGAAGCACTTTGGTAAGCCAGTTCCAGCGTCTCCGCACACCGTCTGTTTGTGGCTCCATTCACCCTGCCTCCATGATACAGACGATTCTTTCCCAGTAGTTGCCACTAGCCCATCACTAAGACTGTCTAAGAGCATTTTCTTGGCAAACCACCATTCTGCATGAAAGGAGAGTCTAGGATTGGGGAAAGTGGATTCAACAGCTTATACAGCCAGAGTATATTAATTGTGAGCTTTGCACCTTGGTAATAATTATGTATACAATAAACAAAATCACATGGTTGCTAAGCAACACCTTTCCCTCATTCTTGACCCCAGTGGAGGTATGAGATATTCGACCTCTGGACTTAAAAAATCTTAAATTCTGCTCTGCTTGCAGACATGCTTTAGTGGCCCTGGCAGTAGCAGCCTCTTATTTCTGCCCTGTCCTTACCTCCCTTGGCTTGAATCTTGCCTTCCATATCTCCATGAACCCAGCAGCCTGGATGTTCTTTCAGGATAACTAATGTCAGACTAGGTACTCTTCAGGCTCCTGTGGGGGTCCCCTGTGCACTGAAGTCTCACACCAGGAGCAGCTTCACCTAAGCCTAAGGTGGATGCACATCTAGTCTTCCTCTAGAGGAGAGGCTTTTCCTCTGTAGAATGATGAGGGCGCAACAGATCCTGGGTCTAATGTGAATAATAACATATTTATCTCATAACAAAATGTGACTTGTTGAAGAGTTCCACATTTGGGATATGTTTTCTGTGTGTGTAGAAATTGAGATGATTTGGAGACTATTTCTTTGCTAATAGTAACGATTGTATTATTACTTACAGCAGCGGTCCCCAACCTTTTTGGCACCAGGGACTAGCTTTGTGGAAGACAGTTTTTCCATGGATGGGGGTAGAGTGGGGGTAGTTTCAGGATGAAACTGTTCTGCCTCAGATCCTCAGGCATGCGTTAGATAGAGTGCACAACCTAGATCCCTTGCATGCACAGTTCACGATAGGGTTCACTCTCCTATAACAATCTGATGCTGCCACTGATCTGACAGGAGGTGGAGCTCAGGTGGTACTGCTCGCTCACCTGCCCTTCACCTCCTGCTGTGTGGCCCAGTACCTAACAGGCCACGGACTGTTACCTCTCCATGTGTCCATGGCCTGGGACTTGGGGACCTCTTCCTTTCAATTAAAAATAAATTGTCCTTTTACTCTCATGAGAAAGAGAGTTCTTACTAAATTTACCTCCCTTTTCATAGAGAATTTTTTCTCCTTCAGGTTTTTTTTAATTGAAAGGAAGAGCTTTTTATCGAGAAAAATCAATACCTTTTAGGGTACTAAAATTGTTTTATATTCATTTCCAGTCTTTCCTAAGGCTTTGTAATCATTTGTGGTAGCCTCTAATATATAAATAAATTATAGCATTTTACCTTTCATCTTTTACCTGAATTATAACCATTTAAATAGATATGATAGCTGTTTTCTTGAGCAGTCTAGGATTTTCTGGTTCTTCTTGAACCTGGGACTTAATAACATAATAGGCAAAGGAGAGAGAAGGAGATAGGTAGTGGAATATTAACACGAAGTTATTTTCTGCTTAAGGAATGAATGAAGGACATATATTACAACTGTGACATTCAGTCATTTCTTTTTCTTTCTAGAAGGTAGTAAATTTATAAGAGTGGTAAGCCAAGTATAATGGCTCACGCCTGTAATCCCAGCACTTTGGGAGGCTGAGGCAGGTGAATCATTTGAGATCGGAAGGTCAAGACCAGCCTGGCCAACATGGTGAAATTCCATCTCTACTAAAAATACAAAAATTTGCCAGGTGTGGTGGTGGGCACTTGTAATCCCAGCTACTCAGGAGGCTGAGTCAGGAGAATTGCTTAAACCTAGGAGGCAGAGGTTGCAGTGAGCTGAGATTGTGTCACTGCACTCCAGCCTGGGCAACAGAGCATGACTCCGTCTCAAAAAAGAAGAAAGTGGTGGGAAGGGATGCTGTTTGCTTTAACTGTCAGGTTGGAGGAGGGAATCACTTTAAATGGACTTGGAGAAAACATAAATGAATTTCCGTTTTCTTCATTGAACATGTTCTCTTATTTTGTTTCCCCTCTGCCTCTCTCTGAATCTACCCTAGTTGATATATTTTCCTATGCTCCAGTTTTGTTCTCCTGAGGGCTCTTCCATCCACTGTGGCATGAAGGGTAAAAGCCACAAAGATCTTTTCTTTGGCCGTGTCATCTCTTCATTCCCTGTTGGCTTACCCTGTATGTGTTTTCTATTTGCAGGTCTGTGGCTGTCCTCTCTATTGGAAAGCCCCCATGTTCAGGGCTGCAGGGGGAGAGAAGACAGGATTTGTGACAGCACAGTCATTCATTGCCATGTGGAGAAAGTAAGTATGTGAGCAGTCTCTCTGGAGCTAGGCAAAGAATTGTGTGACCCTCATGACATGCTTTCTAAAGGTCACCTATTTTACTCATTTATACATTTTCCCTTTACTCTTTATATCAACAAGGAAAATTCAATGATTTACAACCATTTATACTCACATACAAGTTCTTTGCCACAAGCCTTTATCTAACCTCTTTAAAAAACAGTAAAGCAGATCTGCAGAAATCTTTCTTTAAAAACTATTTGATAGTTTATTAGTTTTACTTGGTTTTTCTTGTTTTTTTTTTTGTTTTTTTTTTTGTTTTTTTTTTTTTGAGACAGAATGTCACTTTTTTGCCCAGGCTAGTGTGCAGAGACCTAATCATAGCTCACTGCAGCCCCAAACTCTTGGGCTCAAGTGATAATCCTACCTCAGCCTCCTAAGTAGCTGGGACTACAGGCAGGCACCACCACACCTGGCTAATTTTTATAGAGACTGGATCTCACTCTGTTGCCCAGGCTGGTCATAAACTCCTGGCCTTAAGCAATCCTCCCAGCTCGGCTGCCCAAAGTGCTGAGATTATAGGTGTGAACCCCACACCCAGCCACTTTTACTTGTTAAATTTGGGTCTCAGGATTTGAATCTGGCAGCAGTGAAATAAGCAAAAAGGAACTCCCCTTTATGGGGGGCAAATCAGATGTGTCACATGGGAAATACATTTTCATTCCCATAGATCCAATTTAGAATTATATATAGTTGATTTGTTAGAAATACTGAATTCTAATAGATTTTAATCATTACCTTTTGAAAGCTCCAGTTAAGGAACTGAAGGACTAGTATATTTATCAAGCTTTTCCTGGATTCTAACATTCTGACAAATTTTCTTGAATTCAAACCCAACATCTTTCTTCTTTATCTCTTTTTTCTCCCTTCTTTCTTCTTTAGGAGTTATTTTTTGGTATATTTATACATCTTAGCTAAGTATCACAGCTTGCCCCTTCTGCCTCTTTTAACTGATCAGCACCCTTGTTATGCATGTTCTTCTCGCCTTTTCTGAGCTAAATATCCTTCCTGGTAAACTATTGGGAAATGCTACTCACCTATTGTTATTATTATTTAACATCAACCTATAATAGCAGCAGATTGAACAGACAGATTCTTTCTAATTTCTTCATTTCAGCTAAAAGCCCTTAATAGGATAATGCTTGAGAATATAGTAGGTGATTAATAAATGTATTCTTATTTTTAAAAATCTAGCAGCAGGTCAAGTTCAAGTTCTTCATACATCACATTAGAACTAAAGAGTCTATGTTGGTGGAGGGTATTCTCATAAGTGAGAACTGAACAATGAGAACACATGGACACAGGGAGGGGAACAGCACACACTGGGGCCTGTTGGGGTGGGGTGAGGGAAGGGAGAGCATTAGGAAAAATAGCTAATGCATATTGGGCTTAATACCTAGGTGATGGGTTGATAGGTGCAGCACACCGCCACAGCACGTGTTTATCTATGTAACAGACGTGCACATCCTGCGCATGTACCTTGGAACTTAAAAATAAAAAAATTTTTTTAAAAAGAGTGTATGTTGGTGGATAGATCATAGCCACCACCACAATAGCTGTATTTTATTCAGATGAATTGTTTAAATTTTATCTGTAAGGAAGACATTTCTGCAAAACGCAAAAAGCGGGGGAAAGACATGAAGTACAAGTCTCCATTTTGGTTAACTGCAGGAAAATTGCTTATGAAGTTATATAGCATGAGCAACTATCCCTGTCTTTTTTTCATCAGAAAAATTCTATGAATAGATAAGTGTGTCTCTAAATTAAAGTGTTATTTTACAGTCAGATATTAAAATGGTTTGAGTGCCCTCTAGTGGAAACTCCTCTTTGAGCTCTTAAAATGTCTTTTAAAAGCCAGGGTGCTTGAAGGGAGCCCCAAGTGTGGCTATTTTGGGAGACTAAGCAGCTAAACATGGTGGTGTGAGTTACCACGTTGACCTTGGAGAAGACGTGTTTAGTTTTGTAATTTTTTTTTTTTGTAACATTTGCATAAAGCAATGTGGGCTCAAGTATAGTATATTAAAACTTTCAAATAAAAAAATTGCTAACAGGTAATTATACAGAATTAAAACATTTTGGAAAATACATATATATGCTGATTTGCTCCAGTAGCTCTACATAATCTTAAAAAAAAAAAGAGTCAAATATAAAAGTCATAAGAATATAGGGAAATGGCCGGGCGTGGTGGCTCACGCCTGTAATCCCAGCACTCTGGGAGGCCAAGGTGGGCAGATCCCGAGGTCAGGAGATCGAGACCATCCTGGCTAACACAGTGAAACCCCATCTCTACTAAAAATGCAAAAAATTAGCCAGGCAAGATGGCGGGCACCTGTAGTCCCAGCTACTCAGGAGGCTGAGGCAGGAGAATCGCGGGAACCCAGGAGGCGGAGCTTGCAGTGAGCCGAGATCGCGCCTCTGCACTCCAGCCTGGGTGACAGAACGAGACTCCATCTCAAAAAAAAACAGAATATAGGGAAATAATTTCTCTCATGTCAGACTGCTCATGGGGTGGAGGCCTCAGTATCTCTCCTCCAAAGGGCTCTGTTCCACTTCCTTTCCCTGTGCCGCTGCCCATTTCATGTCTATACTCTGACATATATTCTTCTTATAGTCAGGACATTTTTAGGAGAAAGACATTGCTCCATAGCATTTCTTTTTGAGGTCCTAGAGTATCAGCTTTTGGGCAGAACTCATCTCAAATGGAATCAATAATATTGCTTCAGCTTTATTATGCTTTACTTTCTTTTACCTTTTCATATCAATGTATCATTTGTCCATTAACAAAATAACATTTTGTCCTAAAAGTTCTGAAAGATGCTAGTTTAGAATAGCTATGCTTACCTTCATTCTTTAGCTTTCATGACTTTTATCATCTTTTCTCCTGCCATAGAGTTGACCAGCCAGTAACACTGGCAGAAAATTGTAATTCACCTTTTCTTTCTATTTCACAGCAAAAGACCATTTCTGATTTCACTTTGTCCTCTCAGAGTAGCTCTCATCTGTCATGTCTCTGCTGTTTTTATATCTTACTATTCTGTTTTATATATATAAGTAGTTCTTTTGAAAGACCTCACTGTTTTTCTATTGTGATCATCCCACCCATTTTCTAATCCTGAGAGGTGGCTCCTATTAGCATCTATTGCGTGAATCTTTTTCTGAAACATGTGTTTATTTAACTTTAGGAGCCTTAAGCATGTTGAGGAATGTTATGGAGAATAAGTATAAAAATCATAGTATAGCTCTAATAAGCACAAATGAAGTATACATCTGTTTGATCAAAAACATTTTCTTATTTTTCTTCCTTAATCACTTGTTGAATGCTAACTATATGCCAGGTATTGTGTCTGGTCTTGAGGGCGGTTGGGATACAAAGAAAGTAAGACAGTTTTATACCCTGTAAGGAGCTTACAGTCTAGTGAAAGAGTTACACCAAGCCATGTGTGCTGGCTTGCACCTGTAATCCTAGCTACTTGGGAGGATCGCTTGAGCCTAGGAGTTTGAGGCTGCAGTAAGCTATGATCATGAGACTGCACCACAGCCTTGACAACAGAATGAGACCCTGTCTCAAAAAAAAAAAAAAAAAAAAAAAAGACAAGGATGTTAAGATGGCCAAGAAGACACAGCCAGGGAGAGCTTCTCTTTCCTACCAAGAGAAACCAAAATATTGAGTAAACCAGCATACTTTGAACAGACCTTTTAAGAGAAAGCACTGAGAGTCAGTGGAGAGATGATGCAGTCACTGAGGCTGAAGAGGGAGGAAACTGAGAACCCTGCATGGGCTCTGAATGGCTCCTAAGGAAGGGGTGAAAGAAGTAACTGCAGAGCAGGCCACTGTCACTGTGGACATCTGGGATTCTAGCTGCAAGAGATCCCACAGCCACCATGGACGTTTGAGTTGGCAGGGAAAACTGCTTGGAGAGCTGGCAGAGACAGAGCTCGAGGCTACACAGAGCCCATGGGGTTTTGCATGGGAACAGCTGCAACAAAACACAACCATAGGCACCTATCCCCCAAGGCTCTCCATATTCCTCTAAGAGGCTCTAACCTTTGTTGACTGCCAGACCTGGAGAGAGCAGGGCTGTCTTTCCCACAGGACCAGGGCGTATCTGATCCATGCACTCCCCTGTCCACCAGCCCCTCCCAGGGCTCCTGTCTGGCTTCTCCCATAGGAGCAGGCACACAGCACAGCCTCCACTCCCCTGCGAGAGCGCTTTTGCCAGTGGCCCCCAGTGGAGCGCTTTTACTGGTGGCCTGGGAGCACCTTGGCTCACCCAGCACAGCTGGTGCTCGACCTCAGGGAGCCAGAGAACTAAGCTACAGGCCTGGTCCCAGGCCCCCAGGGTTAGAGCACACAGTCCAGGAGTGCCAAGCTGAGACTTGTGGTTGGAACTCAAGTGGCGGAAGAGCCCTTACTCTCAGAGCACTGGGAAAAGTGAGGTATGGATTAATGGGCTGGCACAGGAACTGGGCCACAACCTCTACCCAAGGGAGCCTGGCAGTCTGGAACACCTAATAGCCCAGTGATCTGGGTGCAGAAGTCTTGTGACAAACTAGCTGGTTGGGCCAAATTCTGGGCAGTAACCAGGAGACCTGTCAAGGAAGCACAAGCTGGGAAGTTCTCACTGCTATCTGCTGGCCAAAAAAACCTAGGCTGTGGGCACCACACCAGCTGCACGGCCAAGGCAGCATCACCCTACCCAGGGATCCCTCACCCTTGACCTACTGCATGAACAGACCACCCACAGACATACCCCTAACCTGCAGTCTACCTGGTAGCCCTTACTATTAAATGCCATCTCCCAGGTTACAGCTTGAATTACAGCACCAAAAAATTCCAGCATGAATTGCCTGAGAAAACCCAGTACAGGATTCTGGCCACAAATAAAGATCCCATACAGGCCAGGCACAGTGACTCATACCTGTAATCCCAGCACTTTGGGAGGCCGAGGCAGTAAGATTGCATGAGCCTAGGAGTTCAAGACCAGCCTAGGTAACATGGCAAGACTCTGTCTCTACAAAAAAATTAGCCAGGCATGATGGTATGAACCTGTGGTTCCAGCTGCTTGGGAGGCTGAGGCAGGAGGATCACTTGAGCCCAGAAGGTTGAGGCTGCAGTGAGCTGTGTTCACGCCATTGTACTCCAGCCTTGGTGACAGAGCCAGGCTTTGTCTCAAGAAAGACAGAAAACTGTAATCCCAGCACGTTGGGAGGCCGAGGCAGGTGGATCACCTGAGGGTCAGGAGTTTGAGACCAGCCTGGCCAACATGGTGAAACCCCATCTCTACTAAAAATACAAAAAATTAGCCGGGCATAGTGATGGGCACCTATAATCCCAGCTACTCCGGAGGCTGAAGCGGGAGAATCATTTGAACCTGGGAGGCAGAGGTTGCAGTGAGCCGAGGTTGCGCTGTTGCACTCCAGCCTAGGCAACAAGAGTGAAACTCCATCTCAAAAAAAAAAAAAAGAAATCCAGAAGAGATTCCATACAGAGCCTTGGCCCTCTGAAAGCATGCAGAAATAAAGCCAATTGGCTATACTCAGCTTGCACCACAGTCAAACCCTCAAGGGAAATAAAGTAAAAACAAAAAAGCTCCATCCAAAGGACAAAGGACAGCAACATCAAAAGATAAAGGAACACCTGCCCTCACAGATGAGAAGGAACCAGCACAAGAACTCTGACAATTCTAAAACCCAGAGTGTGTTCTTACCTCCAAATGATCTCACTAGCTCCCCAGCAATGGTTGTTAATCAAATTAAAGCAGCTGAAATGACAGAATTCAGAATCTGGATGGTAAGAAAGCTCAATGAAATACAGGAGAAAGTTGAAACTCAATCCAGGGAAAACAGTAAAATGATCCAAGAGTTGAAAGATGACACAGCCATTTTAAGAAAGAACCAAACTGAACTTCTAGAATTGAAAAATTTACTACGGGAATTCCATAATACAACTAGAAGCATTAATAACAACAGATCAATCTGAGGAAAGAGTCTCAGAGCTCAAAGACCACTCCTTTGAATCAATGCAGGCAGACAAAAATAAAAAAGAATTTTAAAAAATGAAAACTCTCAGAAATATGGGATTATGTAAAGAGACCAAACCTATAACTCATTGGCATTCCTGAGAGAGAAGGAGCGAGAGTACGCAACTTGGAAAACGTATGAGGATATAGTCCACGGAAATTTCCCCAGTCTCACTAAAGAGGTGGACATGGCTGAACTCCATGGAGCAGTTTGGAGATTTCTCAAAGAACAGAGTTTACATTTCAATCCAGTAGTTCTATTACTGGGTATATACCCAAAGAAAAATAAGTCATTCTGCCAAAAAGACTTATGCACCCATATGTTCAATGAAGCACTGTTCACAATTGCAAAGACATGGAATCAACATACATGCCCATCAATGGTGGACTGGATAAAGAAAATGTGGTACAGGTACACCATGGACTACTAAGCAGCCGTAAAAAAGAATGAAGTCTTGTTCTTTGTAGCAACATGGATGCAGCTGGAGACCATTATCCTAAGCAAATTCGCAGAAACAGAAAACCAAATACCATATGTTCTCACTTGTAAGTGGGAGCTAAACATCAAGTACACATGGACATAAAGATGAGAACAGGCCGGGCGTGGTGGCTCACGCCTGTAATCCCAGCACTTTCGGAGGCCGAGGTGAGTGGATCACGAGGTCAGGAGATCGATACCATCCTGGCTAACACAGTGAAACCCCGTCTCTACTAAAAATACAAAAAAAAATTTAGGCAGGTGTGGTGGCGGGTGCCTGTAGTCCCAGCTACTTGGGAGGCTGAGGCAGGAGAATGGCGTGAACCCAGAAGGCAGAGCTTGCAGTGAGCTGAGATTGCGCCACTGCACTCCAGCGTAGGCAACAGAGCGAGACTCCGTCTCAAAAAAAAAAAAAAGATGAGAACAGTAGACACTGGGGAATACAAGAAAGGGTAGGGATGGAGGGAGCAAGGGCTGAAAAACTAGCTATTGGTACTATGCTCACTACCTGAGAGATGGATTCGTTCATACTCCAGACCTCTACATCACTGAGTATACCTTTGTAACAAACCCGTACATGTACCCCTGTACCTATAATAAAAGTTGAAAAAAAAAAGTTATTCCAATAAGGTTATGCTATTGTGGAACAGCCATGACAGAAATAATAAGCACATGGAAGGACACAGGAGGCCAGCAAGAGTTCCTGGAAGGTGAAGTAAGGGAAAAGGGTATTGTGGTAAGGACGGTAGCATTTACAAATGCCTGGTGTGAGAAGGCATGGAACATTTGTGCAACCACAAGTGCAGGAATGGTAAGAGAAGGGGACATGAGCAGGTAGGATCAGATTCTGGAGGCCCTTCTATGTCAGGTCAAGAAGCTAGGACTTTAGGCCAGGCGCCGTGGCTCACGCCTGTAATCCCAGCACTTTGGGAAGCCGAGGCAGGCGGATCACAAGGTCAGGAGATCAAGAACATCCTGGCCAACATGGTGAAACCCCCGTCTCTACTAAAAATACAAAAACTAGCCAGGCGTGGTGGCATGCGCCTATAGTCCCAGCTACTCTGGAGGCTGAGGCAGGAGAATTGGTTGAACCCAGGAGGTGGAGGCTGCAGTGAGCTGAGATTGTGCCACTGCACTCCAGCCTGGGTGAAAAGAGCAAAACTCCGTCTCAAAAAAAAAAAAAAAGCTGGGACTTTAGCCTACTTGACAGAAGAATTTTAATTTGGACAATGACGTGATCAAATATGTTACTCAGAAATATCAAGCAACAAACAAGAGCCTAAGCATGGATATTGGCAGTGGGAGACAGAAAGAGGCAAATTTGGTAGAAATGAAACAACATGGTAGTTGATAGGTGTCGGGGTAAAAGGAAGGGAGAAGTTCATGACGACTCCCAAGTTTCTAGCTTGAACCATTGGGTGCTTGGAATACTAGATGAGGTTACTGGAGTCCTGAGGAATGTTTCCTGAAAATGCTTTAGACAGCTGTTCCTTCCTGTTTCCGTTTTACCATCAAGGTCAAGGCCTTATTACTTCATGCTGAGACCCCTGGAAGGGAAGAGGGTCTAATAGACTTCAGTACTCATCCAACCTTATAGACAGCTCATCATTCTAAAACATCCTTTGATTATGTAAATTCCTTACTTGATTGTTGATCTGAGTGGCCTTCAGATCAAACTGAAATTACTAACTATTGATGTTATTGTCATTGTTTGTTCAGAGGAACTAATCTTCCTAAGCAGTTGTTTCTTTTATAGGTTGCTGAATAACCATCATGATGATGCCTCTAAATTCATCTGTCTTCTAGCAAAGCCCAACTGCAGCTCTCTAGAACAGGAGGATTTCATCCCTCTACTTCAGGTAATTTTCATCTCCTTTTGAAAATGGGTTCTAATTTTGGAGTTTCAGCAGTTTTGTTTAAAATTTACAACTATAACATGTCAATTGAGCTACACAGATCTAGATATCAGATTCTAGAAGAGTGGTTTTCAAACTTGTTTTAGCAGTAAGATCCTCTCGTTAAATGAAATCTCGTTAAATGAAATCTCGTTAAATGAAATCTAAAACAGAACCCATAGTAGTAAAAGAGCTACTCCTTCAGGGCTACTCCCACTGAAGCAGAGGAGAGGGGCCACTCATCCTCCCCCTTGCCCACCCACAGCAATCACTGAAGCACCTTCTGAAATGATAGAATGCAAGAAGATAACTTCTCTGTTAGCGTAGAACATAGCTAAGAACCTGGTAGAAAGAAAGAAAAGGTCATGATGTAACCAGGATCACTCTCACGAACTCTGGGGTCTTCACTCACTGCCTCCTGACCCATTATTTAAGTACAGTTTTTAAATGCTTGGTTTCCTGATTCTTCAACCCAAGATATATTTGAAACAGAAAATTAGAATAGGAGAAGGGAAAGAGGATAACTAGAATCAAGTGCATGGAGAGCTGCAAAAAACAGACTACACCACCAGACTACAAAGGTAGTGAGGAGAGTAAGAAACACTAAGAGAAAAAAAAGACCCAGAAGCTCTAAATGTACTCTAGTGTGGGAGTAATTTAGGATAATGGCAGTAGTCCCAATCCCATTACCAGATTTCAGCTGAGATTAGTAATTTATTTTAGTAGCATAGACTCTATATGTACTTATCTAGAAAACTCATTTATAGGGAGCAGCTTTCACTGATGGAACCAGATAAAACAATGGCACTGTACTTCTCATTTTTCCTTTTCTGTGTATGAAATTTTAAACTCTGTGTGTTGTATATCCATATATTATACATGTAAAAAAAGGATAAGTCTCAGACCTGAATAAACGTCAGATCTATCAGAAGTATAAGTTTCTGGATTTGAATTTCTAACTTTAGCCTTCGTTTACCAGGTTGGCGGATATTTTTAACCTCAGACCTTCCTGAGGTTTCTCAGCCTGGAGCTGTGCCACAGTTCTGAGGTCTTACACGGTACCAAAGCATTAGGGTTGGGAGTTACTGCTGAGACATCAGCCATCTTTGGCTAGCAGATTCCCTTCAGATCCAGAGGTCTTTGCTGCTTCTGTGCCACGTGTCAAGCCCCAGAACCTTTGGTGAAGATACCCATGGCCCGTCTGCCTAGATGCACACACAGCTGTTTTCTTTTAAGGTTTTAGCTGCACCCCTAGGGTGTTGCCAGGCAGCAGGGTCCCTTTGCTCCTATCACCCACAGACTTCTCTTTCTTTTTCCTGACACTAAGAGGTCTTCTACTCTGCAGAAATCTCCTGCTGCCATGTTCCCTTATG
The DNA here is from genome assembly GCF_000001405.40 of Homo sapiens. Taxonomy (NCBI): domain Eukaryota; kingdom Metazoa; phylum Chordata; class Mammalia; order Primates; family Hominidae; genus Homo; species Homo sapiens. The sequence goes on from NC_000003.12 coordinate 136,050,771, forward strand.
CTTTCCTATCTCTGCCTTCAATTCTCCTTGCTTGTATTGTCTGCTTCCCTTTCAAGTAGGGGTGAGCTCCCTACTCACTACTTCAGGGCAGAGAAGAGAAGTGACCTCAAAATCTTCATGGCTTTTATGGCACTGTGCGTATTGTAGGCTTAAATGCAGGGTCCACAGTCATTTGGCCTAGTTGACCTTTGTTAAGGTTTTAGAGAGAGAGAGATGTCTAACAGAAAGAGCCCACCTGGGGAGTGTTTCTATCTAGGCCTTCCCATGGGAATCAGTTACATATCAGTATTGCACCTGTTTCTACTATAGCATTCTTCATAGCCTGAGATATTGCTTGTTAATATTCTTGTTTTCGTATCTAAATATTTGGTTTTTCTAAGCAGATCACAAATTCTTTGAAGCTAAGATAAGCTTTTCCTGCCTGTTGAATGTGCATCATTATTTTAGGTGTTACAGTAAATCCTTGTTAGCTCTTAGTATGGATACCTAAAGAAGGGCATAAAATACATGGAAATAGTTGAGGTTTTTTTAAGTTGTATTCATGGCTGCCATGTTTTGTTGTTGTTTGTTTTTTTGGAGACGGAGTCTCGCTCTTGTCGCCCAGGCTGGAGTGCAATGGTGCGATCTTGGCTCACTGCAGCCTCCGCCTCCTGGGTTCAATTGATTGTCCTGCCTCAGCCTCCCAAGTAGCAGGGATTACAGGCACCCACCACCACACCCGGGTAATTTTTGTGTTTTTAGTAGAGACTGGGTTTCACCATGTTGGCCAGGTTGGTCTCGAACTCCTGACCTCCGGTGATCCACCTGCCTCAGCCTCCCAAAGTGCTGGGATTACAGGCATGAGCCACCACACCTGGCCATGCCATGATTTTTTAAAAAGATTTTTGCTGAAATATAATCACACAAAACACCCAAATCACAGGTGTCCTAGTCAATGAATTTTCACAATGTGGGCATATCCGTATAACTAGCACACAGATCCAAAAACAGTATTACCAGCACCTGCAAAGCCTGTCATGCTCCATCCCAGTCACTGCCACCCAACAATAACCACTACCCTGACTAATAACACCATAGTACATAGACTTTTAATTATAGTAACAATCTTCCATGTTTAAAATGTGAAGTTTGGTTCTGATTTTATTTTATGCTCAGGGCCCTTGGGCTTGTCTAATTTGCATAATGGCTTTGATTATCCTTAGACTCACCTGCTACATGGTTTTGTTCCCCTAAAAAAAATACTCATGAGAATGAAGATTCTTAATAGTTTTTGGCATTTAATTAAGACCATTTTACCTGATAATATCCAACATTAAATATTCCTATGTTTTGTGAAATCTCAAATCTTCAATATTTGAACTGCATTGTAATAAAACATTAGGTTTTATTACCAGTTCTCTACTGCTCTCCATCCTCACTCTCTCAATCCATTCTTGGCCTTGCTCTGACCCTACAAAGTGCGTCTTTGGGGCTCTCTTGCTGACTAGCTTTTGGTTGGATCTGGGCAGTGGGAAGCATTGCCAGTAAATGGGAGGACAGAGGAAAGAAAAGCTGGCATTTCTTCCCTGCTCTCTGCCTCGGCACAGTAACTATGTCTCTCTACAATACAGCTTCTGCTGGACAGCCCCTTGTCTGTGGTCCTAGTGCCTACTAGGCTCTCCTCCTCCCCTTGTTCCTTTGGCCCTCAGGACTATAACAGTATCCTCCTGTCAGTAGTCTCTGGGTGCCTCATTATTCCCTTGTTTGCTCCCTTCATCCTGCTCACAACTCCACATGTAATCTTTTCGTGAAAGCTTCATACAGTGAATTCTTTTTCCTGTGGGGACCCTATGCTGACTGATGCAGTTCTGAATTTTATCAGAGCTTTAATAAAAGCTTTGACAGGAATGTAAATTAAGTTTAGACTAAGAAAATTAGAAACAGACAACAACAAAATCATAATTATGAGTTAACAGACATTTATACTTCCCTTAAATCTAAGGAGAAATCTTATTTGTATTTAAGAAGTGGACTTGTGGAGTCTTCTGGTAAAAGAGACAAACTAAATAGAGACATTATCCTCCCATTCTTTCCCAAGCCCTTCTGAAGTTAAAGTGTAGAAATTAAAAAGGAATAAATCCACGGAAGCCAATGAAATGGTAGAGAAAATCAACGTACAAGAAATCTTAACATATTTCTTTAAGATAGAAAGTGACCACATGTCTTGTGGGACTGTGGATGGAGCTGGAGGCCATTATCCTTAGCAAACTAATGCAGGAACAGAAAACCAAATACCACATGTTCTCACTTATAAGTGGGAGCTAAATGGTGAGAACTTATGAAAACAAACAAGGAGACAACAGACACTGCGGTCTACTTGAGGGTGGAAGGTGGAAAGAGGGAGAGGAGCAGAAAAGATAACTATTGGGTACTGGGCTTAATACCTGTACCTGTAGTGAAATAATCTGTACCACAAAGCCCTGTGACATGAGTTTACCCATGTAACAAACCTTCACATTTACTCCCAAACCTAAAATAAAAGTTTAAAAAAGATTCTGTGATCTTAAAATTGTAAATAAATAGTTTAATAATAAATGGATTTATATGGATCAAAAAAAAAGAAAAAAAAATAAGTGACCAGAAGTAGGCTAAGAAAACCACAACCCAGAATCAGGAGCTGTGTGTGGGCTCAAGTGGTGAAGTGAGCTCCTGTGCTCATCAAGGCCCAGAGCAGTTGTAAATTCAGGACTGACTGACCCAATGAGAGATACTGGAAATGGGGATTCACTGAAGGTCGGTATACACAACAATCACTAGTTGACTCCTTTCCTGGTTCACAAATATAAAGTGCAGCCTGACATTTATTCACAAGCATAAACACACTAACAAGACAATAAAGCATGCTAAGGCTTCTAATGTGACAGCCACAGATTAAAATTCTCCTTATTTCTCTTTATTCTGGCAGTTGGAGATCCCGGGAGGTCTCACCAGTTTACTCTAAAATAATGCCTGTCAATCAACACACCCACCCTAAATGCACAGAACCCCGAGGCAGATTTGGTACTCAAGAAAGATACCTGTTGAAAAATAGACCTACTTATATTTCCACAGAGGAAAATTATATCAAATTATATCAACTACCTTGTCCTTCTTAAACATGAATGGACAACCAGGTATATGAGGAAAATGATCATCATTAAAGAAAAATAAAGGTTAAAAAAACACATACACAGAAAAAGTAGCCCAGAAAAGAAACAAAACTAATTCAGGAAACAGAAGAAATGAGAATTTTTTTGGGGGGGAAATAAACGTGGTGTTTTATTTTCTGGATTATAAAGTGAACAAATACTTAAATACTATTATTTCTTTACCCAGTGCTTTTTATTTCTAAGCACTTTTATTTTAAAAATGTGAATTATATAATTCCCCCTACACACATACACATACACCTATAAGCACATTAAATACTACTTTGCCATGACAGCTCGGTATACTTCACAATTCTTTTTTTTTTTTTTTTTTTTTTTTGAGTTGGAGGCTCGCCCTGTCGCCAGGCTGGAGTGCAGTGGCACGATCTTGGCTCACTGCAACCTCCGCCTCCCGGGTTCAAGCAATTCTCCTTCCTCAGCCTCCCAGGTAGCTGGGATTACAGGCACGCGCCACCACACCCAGCTAATTTTTGTATTATTAGTAGAGATGGGGTTTCATCATGTTGGCCAGGATGGTCTGGATCTCTTGACCTCGTGATCCGCCCACCTCGGCCTCCCAAAGTGCTGAGATTACAGGCATGAGCCACCGCGTCCAGCCTACTTCACAATTCTTAACGCTATTCTATGTGGAATACAAAATGCCTTTTTATCTGAATTAACATGCATTTAAAAATATTTAGTATATGTGAAAATAAAGGAATTATAAATCAGTAGGAAAGATGTTCAGGTAAAGGCATCATCAGTCAGCTCAGTAGATGTTGTCTACATTTATTTTCTACCTTTGTAAAACAAGAACCTGCTAACAGTCTTAGGTAAATGGTAAAGTAACATATTTTTGCCCTGATGCCATTGGTCAGAATGCCATGAGATAGCTGCTGTGTGTTTAGTCTCAATTTCCTGTTTGCAAAGAAATGCATTAATTCAGTTTTCTACTCACTATATAATTCGGTTGTAGGGATATAGATATCTCATTTGAGTTCTCTGAGTTTTTTATCTTTATATCTAAAAATTTAATCTGAAAATAGTAAAAGCAGAAAACACTGATTTAAAACCTTAAAATGCTACTGCTCAGTGCATGTAATAAAAGTTAATGTTTATAAACATTTCAATATTTTAAAGTATATTTCCTTAACTTCAAGAATTTTGACTTTGCTTGCTACAAGGCTTTTTTCCTCAAAGATTCCTTTTAGGCTTACTTTGGTGTTCAGGATCTCCAGTTATAAATATAGAAGAGATGACTGTGCAAGATAAAATTAAAAAGCCAGACATACTTTCTATCAAGCTGCGTAAAAAGAAACATGAAGTACAAATGGATCACAGACCTGAGTCTGTTGTGTTGGTGAAAGGAATCAACATCTTTACATTGCTCAATTTTTTGATCAACTCTAAGAGTTTAGTTGCTACCTCAGGTCCACAGGTAGGACTTCCTCTGACCCTCTTATCCCCTGTTGCTCTCCGAGGTGCCATAATGCAAATGCTTAAGGCACAAAGTGTAAATGTGAAGACACAGCTCTTTCTGGATACAGAGACCAGTTTAGTTTGGAGATTACAGGTTCTATCGTGCCTCATTCTCTGCATTCACTGACCATGCTGCTCAAATCTTCACAGAGCGGGTCTTTCTCTGCAGTACTGTATCCACACGAGCCAACTGCTGTATTTAACACCTGCCTGCCAATGGACAAAGTACTTGATACAGAGGTTGTTCATAAGGAGCTTACTAACTGTGGTTTGCACCCTAAGACTCTGGAGCAACTTAGAGAAATACCACTACTTGGGAAATCATCTTTATGGAATGTGGTGATGAGAATTTTTTAAAAACAAATTGCACATACTGATATAAATAAATGATTGGGGAGAAGAAACAAATCTATGCAGAATTGCAAACAGTTTAGTAGACACTGCAGTCTTAAAGAGGGGAGCGTAAATCACCATTCCTTAAGAGTAGGCTATGCATAGTGATTTCAGGGTGTGGGGAGTAACTTTACAGTGGAGGAGCCTGACAGATACTACCTCAGTCTGATGATCAAGGCCAACATCAGCAGTCATCAATCACGTTGTTAGTATGTACCTTTGGCAAGATATGGTGCAAAGGACATGTTACTTCTCTGGCCTTTCTCCCAAAAATCCATAAACCCAGTCTAATCATGAGGAAAACATCAGGCAGATTCCAGTAATGAAATATCCTACATAATACCTGAGTAGTACTCATCAGAACTGTCAAGGTCATCAAAAGTAAGGAAAGTCTAAGAAACTGTCACAGCCAAAAGAAGTCTAAGGAGACATAACTAAATAGAATATGATGACCTGGATAGAACACTGGAATAGAAAGAAGACATCAGGTAAAAATTAAGGAAATGTGAATAAAGTATGGACTTTAAAAATAATGTGTCAATATCAGTTTAATTTTAACAAGTGGACCATATAGTAAGTGTAAGGTGTTAATAATTGAGGAATCTGGGCGCAGGGTATATGGGAACTCTCAGTGCTGTTTTCTTAATTTTTTTATAAACCTAAAACTATTCTAAAAAAAAAAAACCAGTTATTTTAAAAAGTACTATATTAAGGAAGGTTATATACAATAAGAACCGTAAAACAAAACCTTTATCTTACACCGTATATAAAAATCAACTGAAAATGGGTTAAAGACTTAAATGTAATACCTGAAACTGTAAAGAAAACATAGGGGTAAGGCTGCGTGACACTCGTCTTAGCATTGATTTTTTTTTTGGATATGAACCCAAAAGCACAAAGGAAAAAATAGACAAATGGAATTGCATCAAAGTAAAAAACTTCTGCACAGTCAAGGAAATAATCAACAGAGTGAAAAGAAAATCTACAGAATGGTAGAAAATATTTGCAAACCATATATCTGGCAAGGTGTTAATATCCAAAATTTGTAAGGAACTCAAAACAACTCAATAGCAAGAAAATAACCTTATTTAAAAATGGGCAAAGGCAACAGGTATATGAAAAAATACTCAGCATCACTAATCATCAGAGAAATGAAAATTAAAGCCATAAAGTGATATCATTTCACCTTCTCCCCAGTTAAAATGGCTTGTATTAAAAAGACAGGCAATAACATGCTGGTGAGGATGCAGAGAAAGAGGACCCCCCCCACACACACCGTTGGTGGGAATGTAAATTAATACAGCTACTATGGAGAATAGCTGGAGGCATCATGCTACTCAAAAAAACTAAAAATAGAACTTCCATATGATCCGGAAATATCCAAAAGAAAGGAAATAAGTATATCTGCACTCTGTGTTTATTGCAACACTATTCACAATAGCCAGAATATGGAACCCCCCAAGTGCCAATCAATGGATGAAGAAAATACAGTGTATATATACACAATGGAATATTAGTCATAAAAAAGAATGAAATCCTGTCATTTGCAGCAATATGGATAGAACTGGAGGCCATTATGTTAAATGAGCAAAGCACAGAAAGATAAATATCACATGTTCTCATTCATATGCAGGAGTTTAAAAAATGGATCTTGTGAAGATAGAAAGTAGATTGGTGGTTAACAGAGACCAGGAAGGGGGAAAGGGGAGGGAGAAGATGAAGGGAAAAAGAGAATATAAATGTATTTATTACCACTGAACTGTACACTTAAAATGGTAAATGTGGTAAATTTTATATTTATATTTTACCTCAATACATTTTTAAATGGTGAAGAATCTGAATAGACATTGCATAAAAGGAGACAAACAATGGCCAAAAAGTATATGAAAAATGCTCAAAATCACTATCAGAGAAAAGCAAATTAAAACCACAATGAAAGATCATGTCACACCTGTTAGAATGGTTATTATCAAAAAGACGAAAGATAACAAGTGTTGGAGAGGATGTAGAGAAAAGGGAATCCTTGCACACTGATGGTGAGAATGTAAATTAGTATAGCCATTATGAAGAACAGTTTGGAGTTTCCTCAAAAAATTAAAAAGAGAACTACCATATGATCCTACAGTCCTACTACTGGGTGTATATCCAAAGGAAATGAAATCAGTATGTTGAAGAAATATCTACACTGCCAGGTTCATTGCAGCATTATTCACAATAGCCAAAATACAGAATCAACCTAAGTATCAGTGAATGGAGGCATAACAAAAATGTGAACTAGGTATTGAAGGAACATACCTCGAAATCATAAGAGCCATATATGACAAGCATCATACTGAATGATCAACTACAATGGTATTGGAAGTTCTAGTCAGGGCAGTCAGGCAAGAGAAAGAAATAAAGGGCATCAGGAAGTCACACTATCCCTGTTGGGAGACGACATGATCCTATATTTCAAAAACCCCCCAGTCTCAGCCCAAAAGCTTCTTAAGCTGATAAACAACTTCAGCAAAGTCTCAGGATACAAAATCAGTGTGTAGAAATCACTAGCATTCTTGTATGCCAAAAACAAGCCGAGAGCCAAATCAGGAATGAACTCCCATTCACAATTGCCACAAAAAGAATAAAATATCTAGGAATAGCTAACTAGGGAGGTGAAAGATCTCTACAAGGAGAACTACAAACCACTGCTCAAATAAATCAGAGATGACACAGACAAATGGAAAAACATTCCATGCTCATGGGTAGCAAGAATTAATATCACTAAAATGGCCATATTGTCCAAAGCAATTTATAGATTCAGTGTTAAACTACCATTGACATTCTTTACAGAAATAGGAAATAGACTACTTTAAAATTAATATGGAACGAAAAAAGAGCCATAATAGCCAAGGCAATCCTAAGCAAAAAGAACAAAGCTGAAGGCATCATGCTACCCATCTTCGAACAATGCTACAAGGCTACACAGTGTGGTACCAGTACAAAAACAGATACATAGACCAATGGAACAGAATAGAGAACCCAGAAATAAGACTGCACAGCTACAACTGTCTGATCTTTGACAAACCTGACAAAAGCAATTGGGAAAGGATTCCCTATTCAATAAATGGTGCTGGGATAACTGGCTAGCCACATGCAGATTAAAACTAGATGCCTTTCTTATACCATATACAAAAATTAACTCAAGATGGATTAAAACGTAAATGTAAAACGCAAAACTATAAAATCCCTGGAAGACAACCTAGGCAATACCATTCAGGACGTAGGCACAGGCAAAGCTTTCATGACAAAGACACCAAGAGCAATTGTAACGGGCAAAAATTGACAAATGGGATCTAATTAAACTAAAGAGCTTCTGCACAGCAAAAGAAACTATCAACAGACTAAACAGACAGCCTACAGAATGGGAGAAAATTTTTACAAACTATGCATCCAACAAAGGTCTAATATCCAGCATCTATAAGGAACTTAAATAATTTACAAGAAAAAAAAACATAAAAAAGTGAGCAAAATACATGAACAAATATTTTTCAAAAGAAGACGTGCATGTGGCCAACGATCATATGAAAAAAAACTCGACATCACTGATGATTAGAGAAATGCAAGTCAAAATCACAATGAGATACCATCTCACACCAGTCAGAATGTCTGTTGGTAAAAAGTCAAAAGATAAGATACCGGCAAGGTTGTGAACAAAAGGGAATGCTTATACATTGTTGGTGGGAGTGTAAATTAGTTCAATCATTATGGAAGACAGTGTGGCAATTCCTCAAAGACCTAAAGATAGAAATACCATTTGACCCAGCAGCCCCATTACTGGGTATGTATACAAAGGAATATAAATCATTCTCTTATGAAGAGACATGCCATGTATGTTCATTGCAGCACTGTTCACAATAGCAAAGACATGGTGGAATCAACCTAAATGCCCATCAATGATAGACCAGATAAAGAAAATGTGATATATATACCCTATGGAATACTATGCAGCCATAAAAAAGAAAGAGATCATGCCTTTGCAGGTACATGGATGGAGCTGGAGGCTGTTACCCTTAGCAAACCTAACACAAAAACAGAAAACCAAATACCACATGTTCTCACTTATAAGTGGGAGCTAAATGATGAGAACACATGGACACATAGAGGGAAACAACAGACACTGGGTCCTGTTGAAGGTTGGAGGGGGTAGGAGGAAGGAGAGGATCAGGAAAAATAACTAATAGTTAATGGGCCTAATACCTGGGTGATGAAATAATCTGTACAACCAAACCCTCTTGACGCAAGTTTACCTATGTAACAAGTCAGCACATGAGCACCCGAACTTAAAACTTAAAAAGATAATACGGTATATATACACAATGAAATACCAGTCAGCTTTAAACAAAGAAGGAAACTCTGTTATTTGCAGCAACATGGATGAATTTGGATGACATTATGTTAAGTGAAGGAAGCCAGGCACAGAAAGACAAATACTACGTGATCTCACTTATATGTAAATCTAAAAATGGTAAACTCATAGAAGTAAAGAATAGAATGGTAATTACCAAATAATATGGTTTAGCTCTGTGTCCCCACCCAAATCTCATGTTGAATTGTAATTCCCAGTGTTGAAGGTGGGGCCTGGTGGGAGATGATTGGATTATGGGGGTGGTTTCTAATGGTTTAGCACCATCCTCCTAGTGCTGTCTCATACAGTTCTCATGAGATCTGATTGTTTGAAAGTGTGTAGCACCTCCCCCTTGTTCTCTGTCTCTCCCCTGCTTGCTATGTGAAGATATGCTTGCTTCCCCTTCGCCTTTCGCCATGATTGTAAGTTTCCTGAGGGCTCCCCAGGCATGCCTCCTGTACAGTCTGCAGAACTGTGGGTCAATTAAACCTGTTTTCTTCATAAATTACCCAGTCTCAGGTAGTTCTTTAGAGCAATGTGAGACTGGACTAATAACCAAAGCTGGGAGGATGTCAATCAAAGGATACAAAATTTCAGCTAAATAGGAATAATTTCAAGAGATCTATCATACAACATGGTTACTACTGTTAATAACAATGTATCCTATTCTTGAAAATTGCTAAGACAGTAGATTTTGTGTTTTCACTACAAAATAATGAGGTAATACATATGTTAATAACTCAATTTAGCCATTCCACAATAAATACATATTTTGAAACAACACACTGTAAATGATAAATTGTACAATTTTATTTGTCAATTTAAATAAATGTAAAAAAGAATAAAAAAACAAGAATAAACTGTATGAAAACAGAATGCTGATACAAGAAAAAGCTGTTAGAATTTTAAAATGTAGGTACCAAAAGCTCAGCATAAGACCTGGAAACTAAAGTTGAGGATATCTTTCAGAGAGAAAGAGAGAGAGAAAAAGAAGATGGATATAGAGGACCACTTCAGGAATTTTAATATCTAACTAATTGGAGAGTGGGGAAGAAAGAAGGGGAAAAGTGGAGAGAAATCATCAAATAAAATAATACAGAATCATTTTGCAGAGCTAAAATATATAAGTCTTTGGTTAAAAAGAGCCACTGAGGCCAGGCACAGTGGCTCACACCTGTAATCCCAACACTTTGGGAAGCCAAGGCGGGCGGATCACTTGAGGTCAGGAGTTTGAGACCAGCCTGGCCAACATGGTGAAACCACATCTCTACTAACAGTACAAAAATTAGCCGGGTGTGGTGGCACGTACCTACAGTCCCAGCTAATCGGGAGGCTGAGGCAGAAGAATTGCTTGAACTTGGGAGGCAGAGGTTGCCGTGAGCTGAGATTGCGCCAGTGCACTCCACCCTGGGTGACAGAGCAAGACTTTCTCAAAAAGCAAGCGAGGCCGGGCACAGTGGCTCACGCCTGTAATCCCAGTGCTTTGGGAGGCTGAGGCAGGTGGCTCACGAGGTCAGGAGATCGAGACCATCCTGGCTAACACAGTGAAACCCTGTCTCTACTAAAAATACAAAAACATTGCCAGGCGTGGTGGCGGGTGCCTATAGTCCCAGCTACTCGGGAAGCTGAGGCAGGAGAATGGCATGAACCCGGGACCTGGGAGGTGGAGCTTGCAGTGAGCCGAGATCACGCCACTGCACTCCAGCCTGGGCGACAGAGCAAGACTCTATCTCAAAAAAAAAAAAAAAAAAAACACTGAGTCCTGACAATTATGAATTTCTTTAAGACACATGCATAAACATGTCCTTGAAGTTTTGGAAAAATGTAGATAAAGAGACTAGGATGGTATTAGATTCTCATTGGCATCCCTCAGGAAATGGATTTGAACTTAGATTTCTGTATCTTGCTAACCTAGTAATTAGGAATGAGGTTCACATAAACCTGATTCCTGGACATTCATGGACTGAGAAAGTTTATCTCCTTTATAAGTTACCTCTTTGCTTCTTAAATGGTTACTTGCATATATACTGCAGCAAAGTAAGTAAACCAAGAAAGAGGAATACATGAGACCTAAGACACAGTGGATTCAATCCAGAGAAGTAATGAAGGGCAGCATCAGGATAACTGAAGAGCAGCCAGTTCAGAAGAGAGAAGGTGGTAAAATTCCTCCAAGCAGGTCTTCTCCATGATGGGGGAGAGGGAGGCAAGGAGCAACTCCATGCAATACAGTTACATTTGAGAATAAGGGGGCTGGGCACAGTGGCTCACGCCTGTAATCCTAGCACTTTGGGAGGCCAAGGTGTGCAGATCATGAGGAGATCGAGACCATCCTGGCTAACACTGTGAAACCCCGTCTCCACTAAAAATACAAAAAATTAGCCAGGCGTGGTGGTGGGCGCCTATAGTCCCAGCTACTCAGGAGGCTAGGGCAGGAGAATGGCGTGAACCTGGGAGGCGGAGCTTGCAGTGAGCCAAGATCATGCCACTGCACTCCAGCCTGGGTGACAGAGTGAGACTCCATCTCAAAAAAAAAAAAAAAAGAATAAGGAAACAAGGCTATGATGAAGCCTGTGTCAATAAGTTAAACAAATGGAAGAACATTCCATGCTCATGGGTAGGAAGAATCAATATCATGAAAATGGCCATATTGCCCATGGTAATTTATAGATTCAATGACATCCCCATCAAGCTGCCAATGACTTTCTTCACAGAACTGGAAACAACTACTTTAAAGTTCGTATGGAACCAAAAAAGAGCTAGCATTGCCAAGTCAATCCTAAGCCAAAAGAACAAAGCTGGAGGCATCACGCTACCTGACTTCAAACTATACTACAAGGCTACAATAACCAAAACAGCATGGTGCTGGTACCAAAACAGAGATATAGACCAATGGAATAGAACAGAGCCCTCAGAAATAATGCCGCATATCTACAACCATCTGATCTTTGACAAACTTGACAAAAACAAGCAATGGGGAAAGGATTCCCTATTTAATAAATGGTGCTGGGAAAACTGGCTAGCCATATGTAGAAAGCTGAAACTGGATCCCTTCCTTACACCTTATACCAAAAATTAATTCAAGATGGATTAAAGACTTCAATGTTAGACCTAAAACCATAAAAACCTTAGAAGAAAACCTAGGCAATACCATTCAGGACATAGGCATGGGCAAGGACTTCATGATTAAAACACCAAAAGCAATGGCAACAAAAGCCAAAATTGACAAATGGGATCTTTTTAAAGTAAAGAGCTTCTGCACAGCAAAAGAAACTACCATCAGAGTGAACAGGCAACCTATAGAATGGGAGAAAATTTTTGCAACCTACTCATCTGACAAAGGGCTAATATCTAGAATCTACAATGAACTCCAACAAATTTACAAGAAAAACAACCCCATCAAAAAGTGGACGAAGGATATGAACAGACACTTCTCGAAAGAAGACATTTATGCAGCCAAAAGACACATGAAAAAATGCTCATCATCACTGGCCATCAGAGAAATGCAAATCAAAACCACAATGAGATACCATCTCACACCAGTTAGAATGGCAATCATTAAAAAGTCAGGAAACAACAGGTGCTGGAGAGGATGTGGAGAAATAGGAACACTTTTACACTGTTGGTGGGACTGTAAACTAGTTCAACCATTGTGGAAGTCAGTGTGGCGATTCCTCAGGGATCTAGAACTAGAAATACCATTTGACCCAGCCATCCCATTACTGGGTATATACCCAAAGGATTATAAATCATGCTGCTATAAAGACACACGCACATGTATGTTTATTGCGGCACTATTCACAATAGCAAAGACTTGGAACCAACCCAAATGTCCAGCAACGATAGACTGGATTAAGAAAATGTGGCACATATACACCATGGAATACTATGCAGCCATAAAAAATGATGAGTTCATGTCCTTTGTAGGGACATGGATGAAGCTGGAAACCATCATTCTGAGCAAACTATCAAAAGGACAAAAAACCAAACACCGCATGTTCTCACTCATAGGTGGGAATTGAACAATGAGAACACATGGACACAGGAAGGGGAACATCACACTCTGGGGACTGTTGTGGGGTGGGGGGAGGGGGGAGGGATAGCATTTGGAGATACACCTAATGCTAAATGACGAGTTACTGGGTGCAGCACACCAGCATGGCACATGTATACATATGTAACTAACCTGCACGTTGCGCACATGTACCCTAAAACTTAAAGTATAAAAAAAAAATAAGACTCTGGAGGGGTGCATGGGTTCTATACTAATGTGTTTTTCAAATGTGTTTCAGGGTGTTTCTCTTGTTGTGGATATGTCAGGAAATGGTTGTGTTCACCTTTCCAGCTTAAGGAAACTCGTCAAAGCTAATGAAAATTGTTTCCATAATTTTTGTGTAAATAAAAATGATTTCTAATTTCATGAAAAAAAGTAAATTAAAAACAATTAGAAATGCCAGGAAGAATGAAAAAACTATATAAGACAGCCACGATCTAAACAAGAAGCAGAATAAAATATGGTATGATTATGAACAGCTGATGCAGTTAGAAAAGACAGTTTAACCTCAATGTCAGAAACAATCTCCTTTGAACATTCCAAGACCCTGATGCTGGACCTACACATAATGAAATACGTTCCTCATAGATTGCCTGACCTGACATTCAACCATATTTATATAATCAAAATATCACAAAAACATTTTAGTTTATAGCATCTAAAATCACTGTGTGGATAATCTATAGAAAATTTTATTGTGGTTGTAGAACAGTATGAAAAAAACCTGCACAACATAAAAGTCAAAATATTGCCAATAAAATATGAAGGTAAAAGGGAGAAGAGAGAATAAGGATGGGTTGATATTATCCTATGTAAAAGGAAAGTAAGGAACTATGATGAATGAAAATTAGATGGATAAATACAAGTTTTGCAGCTTACAAAGATAATCAACCAAAGAACTGAACATCATAACCTCAAATATTGGGATAGGGGAGTAAAGTAGGACAGTACAAATGAGCTAAATCCACATGTTTCCTAGCAAAGAATCAATATTTTCTAAAGTTGATAAAGTACTAATTATAATGTAGTTTTTAATTACATTTTTATTAAATATATGTTTAGTTATAGAGATAACCAGCAAAAGACCTAAAAGTGTAAATGATTGGAAAGAAGTGGGGCTAAAGATGGAAGGGTGGGGTAGGTTAGTAGAATGTTTGTTTATATAAATGCTTGTATATGCTTTTGCTTTTATACTGTGTGTATATATAAATTTTTTACGTTTTTATTATGGAGAATTTTGAAATGCATACATACTGGTATAGCAAAGCCTTATGTACCCCTCACCTAGTCCCAGTAATGATCAGAAATTAAGAAGGCAGAGAATAAAAAACCAATAGCACTTTTAATAAATTGAAATTTTGGTTATGGGAAAATATTAACAAAAACCAACAGCTGACTAATTTGATTAAGAAAAAAGGGAGAATACACTAATATGCAAAATAAGAAATAACAAGGAGGATCTCGCTCTGTTTCCCAGCTGGAATGCAGTGGCACCATCACAGCTCAGTGCAGCCTCAACTATGTGGGCTCAAGCAATTCTCCCACCTTAGCCTCCCAAGTAGTTGGGACAACAGATGTGCACCACCACACCCAGCTAATTTTTACATTTTTTATAGAGACAAGGTCTTGCTATGTTGCCTAGGCTGGTCTTGAACTCCTGGGCTCAAGTGACCCTCCCACCTTGGCCTTGTAAGTGCTGGAATTGCAGGTGAATCACTGCACCTAGCCAGAAGAAACTTTTAAAATCAGAAAAGGCTACTTTGCAGACACCTAGGAAAATAAATGTGAAATCCTAGATGAAATGGACAGTTTCCTAGGAAAATACATAGGACCCAAATTGACTCCATTTGATTTAGAAAGGTAAACAGACTAGCTTTTATAGAATAAATACAGATATTTATTACAAAACTGCACAAAAAAGCACAAAGCCCAGGTAGTTTTACAGGGGAATTCTGCCAAACCTTCAACAACCAGGTAGTTCAAATGCTCCATAAATTATTTCAGAGTATTGAAAAGGAAGGAAAATTTCAAACTCCTTTTATGAAGCAAGTATAACACTGATACCTAAATCAGGAAAAGACCATCCAGAGAATAAAACTGCAAACAAATATAGCTTCAAGATGAATGATAAAAGGTAATAAAACATTACCAAACAATATACCATGACCAAGTGGGATTTATTCCAGGAAGGCAAGATTGTTTTAATATTAGGATATTTATTGTGTTAAGCTGTTCTTGCATTGCTGTAAAGAAATAACAGATACTAGGTAATTTATAAAGAGAAGAGGTTTAAGTGGCTTACAGTTCTGCAGGCTTTACAGGAAGTACGGTGCTGGCATCTGCTTGGCCTACGGTGAAGCCTCGGAGTTTTCAATCATGGCAGAAGGACAAGGGGGAAGCCAGCATCTCACTTGGCGAGAGCAGGAGCAAGGTGTGGGGGAGTTGCTGCACACTTTTAAACAACCAGATCTCATGAGAACTCACTATCTCGAGGACCGCACCAAGAGGACAATGCTAGATCGTTCAAGAGAAATCCACCCTATGATCCAGTCACCTTCCACCAGGCCCCCATTTGCAACACTGAGGATTACAATTCAACATAAGATTTGCCAGGGAAATAGATCCAAACCATATCATTTATTAATGTCGTATGTTATATCTAAGGAAAAAAAATTTCTCTGTATTTTAGATACTTTCTTAACATGATGAAATACATATACCTTAGTGTTAAAGCCAATATCTTATTTAATGGGAAAACACTAGAGGCACTTCAACAAAGATCAGGAACAAGGCAAGGATGCCCACTATCTCCACTACTATTCAGCATTTTACTGTAGTAATTGTATAAGAGAAAACAATTAGAAGCATAAGATTGGTTAAAGAAGTAAAAGTATCTTGTTGCAGATGACAGTAAAGTTTGAAAATTCAGAAAAATTAGTAATAAAACTAACTCAATAAAATATTAAAGTAGGAGGAAATAAAATTAACAGAAAAATCAATAGATTTGCCACTTCTGACCAAGAAGGACTAACAGGGACTGGATTTACCTTCCACTTGCAACAAATGGAAAGTAACAGACAGGAAATATAAAACAATGGGTTTTCAAGATGGTGCACATCAGGCAACAAACGAGTGATTCATTCCTGAGAGACAGAAACAAAGTGAGTCTTAGGATTGAGAGAGCGTACCACCTTGAGAAAGTTTTCTAGTCATAGTGCAAGAATGGGAAACCCAGGCTGAGTTAAGTGGACTCCTTGAGTTTAGGAGACAGAGCCTAAGGGTCTAAGAGAACCAAGGTGACTAGAATTCTCTGGACAGAGTACCAAAGAGGAGAGAACTGCATGGAGAACAATCCTCAGAGATCTTCAGAAGTTCCTCCATGAGTATTCAGCAGAGTACTGATCAGCAAATAGATGAGGAAACTAACCAAAGCTGAACAATATATGGAATCAACCTAAGTATTAGTGAATGAAGGCATAAAGAAAATGTACACAATGAAATACTATTCTAGTAGTAATGGGCACCTTTCACACCCAGATTTGGTTTCAAATACCATTTTCCAATGAAAGGAGCCAGGGCTTCTTAGACAAAAGGTTCGTATACCAGAGCTGGGGCAAGGAAAATACAAGATAAACATGGGTCATCTTATGCCAGAAAATATGAAAGTCCCCATAAAAACACAGGGGCATATCAAGAGAACACAGGTGGCCAGGCTCATGCCTGTGATCCCAACATTTTGGGAGGCGAAGGCAGGCAGATCGCTTGAGCCCAGGAGTTCGAGACCAGCCAGGGCAACATGGTGAAACCCCATCTCTACTAAAAAACAAAAACGGCATGGTGGCACACACCTGTAGTTCCAGCTACTCAGGGGGCTGAGGAAGGAGGATCACTTGAACCTGGAAGGTAGAGGTTTCAGTGAGCCAAGATGGAGTCACTACACTCCATTCTGGGTGACAGAGTAAGACCCTGTCTCATTTATAAAAAGAGAACACAGGAGCCAACCTGAAGGAGCTCCTAATGGCCAAAGCTACATCAATTTGAGCAACAAAATGATGATAGTATAGGATTATAACCCATAGAATGAAATAAATACCCATGAGTCTGCGCTGTTAAAAAAAAGTAAATAGGCCGGGCATGGTGGCACACGCCTGTAATCCCAGCTACTCGGAAGGCTGAGGCAGGAGAACTGCATGAACCCAGGAGGTGGAGGTTGTAGTGAGCTGAGATCGCACCACTGCTGCCCTCCAGCCTGGATGACAGAGCAAGACTCCGTCTCAAAAAAATAAAAGAAATAAATAGGAGAGAAGAGACAGCTCTTCCTTATAGAAGATTTCCAGTTAAGAAATGTAGACAGAATAGAAACAAAATCACTATTAAGTAAACACTACAGTGTAAATGTTGCAGGCATAATCTAACAATAGATGCTAAAATGAATGAGAGAACTTTTGAGGAGAAATAGGATATTGACACTCTCAAAAGCGTCTGCCTCCATGATATTTATCTATTATTAAGAGAAAATAGCAACTTTACAGTGGAGAACGCAGCAGACACCACTTGAACTAAGTGTGATTAAAGTTAACATCACCAAATGAAGACATACCAACATCACATACCCTCTGTATTACGTATGCCCAGTGATGCACTGAAAAGGACTCATCACTTCTGTGGTTCTCCTGCCAAAAATGTGTAACCTTAATCATGACCAGACATCAAACAAAACCAAATGGAGAGACAGTCTACAGAATAACTGACCAAAACTCATTAAAAGCATCAAAATCGTAAGGAAAGACTAACGAACTTTCACAGATTGGAAGAGACCAGTGAGACACAAAAGCTAAATGCAGTGTAAGATCCTGGAACAGAAAAAGACATTAGTGGAAAAACTAGTGAGATTTGAGTAGTTTCATATCTTATCCATGTTCATTTTCTGGTTTTTATCACTATACTATTGTTTGTGACTTGTTACCATTAAGGGAAGCTGGGAGAGGAGCATAGGAAATTTTTCTATAATAATTTTTGTAAGTATAAGATTATTTCCAAATAAAAAGTTAGCCAGGCATGGTGGCTCATGCCTGTAATCCCAGCACTTTGGGAGGCCTAGGGGAGTGGATCACTTGACACCAGTAGTTCAAGACCAGCCTGGCCAGCATGGTGAAACCTTGTCTCTACTAAAAATACAAAAATTAACCTGGTGTGGTGCGACATACCTGTAGTCCCAGCTACTCAAGAGGCTGAGGGATGAGAATCCCTTGAACTTGGAGAGGCAGAGGTTGTCATAAGCTGAGATCGTAGCACTGTACTCCAGCCTGGGAGGCGGAGCGAGACTCTGTCTCAAAAAATAAAAATTATGTAATATGTATAATAATAAGCCTAAAAAAAGTTAAAGAAATAAGTCCATTGGTTTGAGACTATGTATTGGTATTATAGCTAACTGCTCTGAAGAAACAGAAGAGATATACTTGATGTCTGTCTGTTGATGACAAGCCAGTTAATAGACTATATCTGTAATGGCATAGCTATTTCCTCTGGTTAATTAATATTGTGATTATCTCTATTAGATCCTCTGGGCTCATTCAGAATGCTTTAAAAATCTAATTAGAAAATAAAAACAGTATTTTCAGGTTTTAATATTCCAATAGTCTTCAATGAGAACAAGATTAAAGATTTAAAAATAAATAAAATTCTAATGTGAGAAATGATTTATCCACACAATTATGATAAAATCTGATGGGCATTAACTGGCTTGCACAGCTTAACAAAGATTCAAACTACTTGACTACATGGCTGCTTTTTTTTTCCAAAAAGAATTTTCCATGTTTTTAGATTATGAAAGAGGATCATTTTCATTGGCTTGCATCTACTGTCCACGACATCCTTTCTGTGTAAATACACTTTACATAATACCTCGACAATAATCTGTGGGATGAATTGCCTTGATGTGCTGTTGATGTGTTAGAATTACAGTACATACCTCGGAGACATTTGATTCACAAATTACCTAACGTAGCTAAAATCAAACTTCAACTTTTTTTGAAGTATGCTGTGTATACAGAAAAGCACACATAAGTATGCTTATAATGAAACGAATTTAATAAAGAATTAAATTTTAAGTGCATTATTCATTATTGTAAAATAGCAAGTTTGCTCAACTGGCAACATACAGGAAGGAAAAACTTCCATAGGCATAATTTTTGTATGTTTGTTAATTTAGTTTTGGTTTTGATCTTTTTCAGGATGTGGTGGATACCCACCCTGGTCTCACGTTCCTGAAAGATGCTCCAGAATTCCACTCCCGCTACATCACCACGGTAGGCTGAGTCATCTTTTTTCTTAATATAACTCCATAAGTCACCTTTTTATTACCATCTGCTATCCAGAATTTCAAGTATCTATGCAAAAGGTAACATGGGTTATAATGATTATTTCAAGTGGAAGGAAGCTAAAATAAAATTGAATTCATAATTTCTTCATTTTTATCTATTTTCCTTCTTGTTTGTGCCCAATACTTACAAAATTAAAGTAATATATTCCTTCTATCTGGTCTTATGAGGCATATCTTTTTCTGTGTTATGAATATTGATATCCAGTTGATATTTAGCATTTCCAAATAAGACTGAAAAGAATTTTCAACAGTCTGTCCCTGTCCCAGAAAAAAAGATTGGTCTCTAGTACCTCAAAGTTAGAACTGGACATGATAATGAGAAAATAGCTTGTGTGTAATCAGAAAACGATGTAAGAATTTAAAACAACATGATCACAATCTCATTTTGTGAGGAGCTCGCACTCCCTGTTTCTCAGGCACAGCCTCATTTGGTCAGTCCCAGTTAGGTCAGGAATTATAAGTGAGCACACACAGGCCCACAGGGCACGGAGTAGCCATTTCATGCACTCTGCTCTAGCTCCCACATTATCTTTGGAGACATTCCACCGACCAGCCCCAGGGCCATTCACCAGACACATTCTCAAGTGAGATGGCCCTGGCATGTAGCTCAGATTCCTCAGCTAAACAGGGCCGTCTCCTCTGAGGACCACCCTCCTATACTTAGGGTACAGTTTGTTAGCCAAAGATATGTTAGGTCCTGCCGAGTTACAAAATACTACTGTTTTCTTTTTCTCCTGTAGGAACTTTATTTTTCATTCAGTGCTTTTGCATTGGCTCTCTTATGTCAGTATAAAACTTTGTAAGATTTTATTTGAGCCAGAAGGTGTCACTGTTATCTAAGACAATCTCAGAAGTTATTTTTTCCTGTTAACCGTGACACTCTACTAAATTACCTCTACCACAATCAACCTGGCCTGTCGCCCTGATATCAAACTTGGTTTATTTTTAATTGGTCTCCCTGTTACCACTCTAATTGCCCCATAGTCTAGCCTCCACAGAGCAAACAATTGTCCTTTTAAAAAATCAGCCAGATCATGTCACTCCTCTGCTCAAACCCTGCAGTAGTTTCCCAGCTCACATAGAATAAAAGCCAAGTCCTTGCCAAGATTCTCCATAATCCTCCCATACCCTGGCAACCCCTATTCTCTCATCTTATCTCCTACCTCCCACTCATTTTCTTACTCTGCTTCAGCCACCATGAGCAAACCAAACCCACTTCTGCCTCACATGCTTTGTTCTTCCTCTTTCCTTTGCTTGGAATGTTCTTCCTACAGATTTCCACATTGTCACTCCCTCACTTCATCCAGATATCTGCTCGGTTCCCTTATTTAGTGAGGCCCTCCCTGATCACTCTCTGTTTTTGTAACCCTTCTTCCTCTGCCCCCTCCCCCTACACTCTATTCCTTTGTCCTGCTTCATTTTTCTTCTTAGCTCCTATCATCTGATATTTAATTTTTTGTTTGTCCATCTCCTATCATCTGATAAAATTTAATTTTTTGTTTGTCCATCTCCTGTCATCTGATATTTAATTTTTTGTTTGTCCATCTCCGTCTCTATAATATAAGCTCCATACAAGCAGGAACTTTGTCTATGTCCTCAGTACCTAGAATATTCCCTGGCATATAATAGACAGTCAATATGTACTGAGTGAATACATGAAATTATCCATGTTTAAGAATTCTAGGCCAGGCACAGTGACTCATACCTGTAATCCCAGCACTTTGGGAGCCCGAGGCAGACAGATTACTTGAGGCGAGACATTCAAGACCAGCTTGGCCAACATGGTGAAACCCCGTCTCTACTAAAAATATAAAAATTAGCCAGGTGTGGTGGTGCACACCTGTAGTCCCAGCTACTCAGGAGGCTGAGGCACGGGAATCACTTGAACCCAGGAGGTGGAGGTTGCAGTGAGCTGAGATTCTTGCCCCTGCACTCCAGCCTGGGAGGCAGAGCAAGGATCTGTCTCAAAAGAAAAGAATTCTACGCTAGCTCTGGCTGCAGTCCCAAAGAGAATTATTGGGTTCTGAATATTGACTATTCTGAAAACTCAGGGCATATTAACAGCATAATTTAGATTCTTAAGAGTTAGAAAAGATCTTAGAAATAAACTAGTCCAAACTGTTGGAATTAAACTAGTCCAAACTGTTGGCATGTATTCTTAGATATTAAAGAACAAAAGAGTAAAATGGAAATAAGTTTTCTTTATGGTTCTAGTTTGATATTTCTTTTTTTTCTTTCATGATCTTAATGAACGCATAGTTTGATATTTTTTGAAGTACTTGGACATTCGATGGTATTTGGTCACCTAGCAAGTAGTCCTTAGGAAGTTTTTTGGTTTTTGTTTGTTTGGGTTTTTTTTGAGACGGAGTCTCACTCTGTCACTCAGGCTGCAGTGCAGTGGCACGGTCTCGGCTCACTGCAAGCTCCACCTCTCGGGTTCACGCCATTCTCCTGCCTCAGCCTCCCAAGTAGCTGGGACTACAGGCGCCCACCACCACGCCCGGCTAATTTTTTGTATTTTTAGTAGAGACGGGGTTTCACCATGTTAGCCAGGATGGTCTCGATCTCCTGACCTCATGATCCGCCTGCCACGGCCTCCCAAAGTGCTGGGATTACAGGCATGAGCCACCGCACCCAGCCATCCCCAGGAAGTTTTATGATTTTAGAGTGAAAAGCCATGAAACCATTTTGTTCACATATAATTCACATTTTCTGAGAAATAGCGTCATGTTAATAATAGTTGAACAAAATGAACTACACTGGCGAATTAATAGAGTACAGTTAATTATCTCTGCTGTAATATTTTCATGGCATTTGTATGTAACTTTACATTTGTTAAATTTCACTTTGTTATTAACATTGTGCTGCTTTATCTCCAATGCACAAAAGTGAATCCATTACTCAGAACTAGCCATTTAAGTATAAAATACTTGTGATAAAATGATGATAATATGGCAACTCAAAACAGCACCATAACATAAATAGTAAACAAGACCTAATTGGGAACATTTCACGTGAATATGTACTGAGATAAGTGAATAACTGCCATTGTGATAAACTCACAAAAAGGGCAAATAAAAAGTATAAAAACGATTATCTGGAAATAGAATTGTATTAGACTGGTTATCTTCTCCTCAGTGCCTTTTCTGTTATGAAACTTGGTCAAATAATGGCATGAAGTCATTGAAACTGTTGCATTATTTCAGAGTACAGTGAGTTTTTCTAGAACAAATGTAAAATAAGGCCTTCTAGTATGAAATTAATTTTGTTGTTAGACATAAAAGTGACCAAATTAAAAAGACATCGTTCTCTACCCTGCTCACAGCAAAAACAGTTAAGATCACACTATTTCTAAGAAACATATAAAGATCAGCCTCAGAATTAATGACAGATATCTCAGAAAAAGCAAAATCAGTTACCATGTGACTCTATTGAATGTTATATAATCTTCGTGGCATACAGTATAGAAGAACAATTAATATGTTTGCATGCTAGTGTTACTCAGTTCTTTCAGTTTGCATTTGGAAGAAACCACTGACATAGAGTGTGATCCAAGTATTAGCTTATGTGAGGTACATATATGATGAAGGAAAGTTAGAAAACTTTTATTTTCTATGTATCATTGAAAATCTATGTTACAGGAAAGGCTGTTTGTTTAGTTAATTATTTTGTCAGCTGTTTTTAGACTGGAAAGACAGACCATCAGCTATTTGTACAGCAAAGAAGGACATCATTACCCAAAAAAAGAGATTGAACCTAAAGTCAGTCTGTATTCTTATTTCCAAAAAGATTTAGAAGTTGAGAAATAAGCCTTTGATATTGAATGAAAATGAAGATTAGAAATACCAGCAAATCATAGCCGTTGAGTGCAGTTTTGCATGCTGTGCAAAAATTGCCAGTGAATAAAAGGTTTTGCTTATCCAAACCAACATATGCCAACTTTTGAGGAAAGAAGTGCTAACTTGAGTTTTTAAAATAAGCGATGAGATTTAAAATACTTCTTTATGACACTGGTGCTGGCAGTAGAGATATTTCTGTGGCTTGCTCCAATGGTGTGTCTTAGTGATATATTCAGTATCTTGATTGGCCAGAATCCACCACTGTAGGCTGAAATGCCAGGATTTTCCTTGTGGAGGGCAAGGTACTGATTTTCCTAAGATGACTAAGCTATAGTGGAGACTGCTCACACTAAGAGCTTACCAACTCTTCCCCCTTGAAAACTTTTCCTCTTAAGAGAGAAAAAAAAATTTTTGTTAGATATATTTTTTAAAGTCCTAACTCTACAGAAGACCATAAGGAAATACTTTTCTGAGCCATGTTAACCAAAGAGTGAATTAGAAATCTGTTCACCACTCCTGCCAAGTGAGAGCCAGGCTTCCAGCATTGGAGTTTGTTCTTCTGTACACATACATAGTAAAAATTATTTGTAACTTCTATGTCTGTATTTAATTCATTTTTCAAAAACTATATGACAGAGCCATCAAACATTTCCATTCCTGGTGACCTATACTTGTGAATTAGAGATTTCTAATTCAATAGATACCAAGAAGAAAGGAAACTGACTTACAATTTAACTTATATATCAAGTTGACTAAAGATCCCTTGGTGAAAAATGGTCAGATTTCATTTATTTCACTAGCAGAAAATAGTTATTCTAATTATGATTTATTGTAAAATTTTATTTGATATTTTAAATGATGATGAATTTTATTTACCTAGAAGAGAGCAGTTAGAAAAACAATAATTAGTGTAGAGTCAGCAGCTACATGCTTCACCACTAGATGGTGCTCCTGCCTCAGCCATCTAAAGTGCTGAATCAGTGATGTGGAAACCAACAAATGTGCTGATGAAGTGTGGCCACTGAATAAGGAGATTTAGGCTATGGAAAAATGGAATACAAATACATTGTCTTATAGTATTAGATAAGTAGGTTAGCACAGGCTAAAAATAGGAAATGCCTAACAGTCAAACTGTTTGCAGATTTTAAAAATTCAAAAAGAAGAGGAGAAAAATAAGCACGAATGGATACAGATTATAAAGTTTTATAATTTTTAACACAGTAATTTCATAAATAATATAAAGTATTTGAGTATATAAATATAAATTTTAGATAGAAAACTCATACTTTAAGATAAATTTACATTCAGAATCAAGAAATAAGGACAAAAATCTTCAATAGAAAAATGTGGTTTAATAATATATATTGAAATTGACTTTAACTTGAGAGAGGGGACATGGAATTATGATAAATCAAATTCTTAATGTTTATTTTCGTACATAAATTTTCTGTGCTAAAAATCCTCCATCGTTTTTACATGAACTTCCGCCAAGCTAGTGCTAAGAATACAGTATTGAGTAAGACATGTTCTCTGTCCTCAGTGACCTCAGAGTCTGAGTGGTTGGGGCCAGTAGAGAAATTAGGCACTGCCTAGTCCCAGCTCCCACCTAATTCAGGAATCCTGTCAACTTCTTCCTAAATACTTGTGGTGAAAAGATGAAAAGAAACCCAGCCACTTCATACAAACTCATTGCTTTATAGGGCTAATTTTAGGAAAGTCTTCCTTATATTGAAGCATTTCAGTATAAATGCATTTCTGTCTAGCAGTTGTAATTCTTCCCTTTGGTGAAACACAGAACAAGTCAGCTTCTTCTTCCGCCCAATAGCCACTCAGATCTTGATCACATCTACACTCTAGTCTTATTTTTTCTCAAGATTAAACATTACTACATTAGTAGCATCTTTCACAATCATTTTGAATATAGTTACACTTACCTGTTTTGTGGTTTTTGCACATTATATATGATTCTATCTATAAATAATAGACAAAAATACTGATATATGTGAAATACTAATTAGAGACCTTTCTTGGGTTGACATTCATCTGCTATGCAAAACTCTGAGTAGAGTTCTTCAAATAGTTATGAAGCCAACCCGTATTTCTCTAACACAAAGATAATACAAAAATCTTTGTTATGTAACTTTCAAACCTCATTATTTTATCAAGCAGTTATGGACCACCTGATATATAGAAAGCACCGTGGCTGGGCGCGGTGGCTCACGCCTGTAATCCCAGCACTTTGGGAGGCCGAGGCGGGTGGATCACAAGGTCAGGAGATGGAGACCATCCTGGCTAACACAGTGAAACCCCGTCTCAACTAAAAAACAAAAAATTAGCCGGGCATGGTGGCGGGCACCTGTAGTGCCAGCTACTTGGGAGGCTGAGGCAGGAGAATGGCGTGAACCCGGGAGGTGGAGCTTGCAGTGAGCCGAGATTGTGCCACTGCACTCCAGCCTGGGCGACAGGGTGAGACTCCGTCTCAGAAAGAAAAAAAAAAAAAAAGCACCATATAAGTTACTGGAATACAAGTCAAGAAAGACCTGGTCTCTTAGTGTTTGGAGGTGATGATGGTCAGGTGCACCAGCGTTTGGAATGTAACCACAGGGACAGCTAAAGGAGGCTCAGGTGGCAGTGGGAGCACAGAAGGCAGAGCTCTAGTCAGTCCCTGTCCTGGGGCCTCCCATGGAGCGTGGCACTTGAGCTCAATTCTGTAGGGTCAGAGGGGTTAGCACTGATAGCAGGGGTGGGGTAGTGAGCGCTGGACAGCTGAAATCTAGACCTTCATCCTGATGCTAGTTTTTCCCTGTTTAGAACAGTTGAAGAATCACTCTCTCTGCTGAAGAATCCAGAAAAGAAAGGTGGTTTAGTCCCTCATTAGGCCTACTATTGAGAAAGATGTCCAAATATCTTGCCTTATTTGTTCTTCTCGCACCAAAATATCTTGAAAAAGAGATCTAATTTCTTCCATGATAAAACCACCAAAGATACAGGATTTCTGTATTATTAGACTATCAAAATAAAAGCAGAATGCACCCCCCCACCCACCCAAAAAAATAAAGCTGCTCAAATTGCTCTTTTTACCACTGCTTCCTTTGGGAGAAGAAAAATAATCAGTGAAAGGGAAATGAAGTGGGTAGGAATGACTGCAGGTAAAATTGTTAAGAATGCACTGTGACCTCCTACCTCCAGGATTGCAGCTTCCATCTTCCTTCTCTGGTCTTCTCCTACACCACAGCACACACATCCTCAATCTAGACACATTTGCTTCTTATCTCCTCTTCTCCCATTCTATCCAAGGTTTTCTCCAGAGTTGCAATTCTGCTAAACCCATTAAAACACCAGCTAATAACAAAGATGTTCATGCCCAAATAAAAGTTAGGATATAAATTATCCCAGATGTATTTGAATTTCCATAGAGTCTAGAAGACCGAGAGTCTTCAAGACTCAAGTGAATAAGGCTATAATAACCAGAATAAGGCCCTCTTGAATCATACCACCTTGATAGCCACCCTTCTGACCAGTTAATCAATCATTAGGCCAACCCAGGAGATACTTCCCACCTCATATGCCTTCCCAAAACATTGAGCCCCATAAGCATTACTTGAATCAGGCATCACTGTATAAATTAGAGGTAAACAAAAGAAGTGATGTGAAGGCAGTTGGGAAGTGAAGACTTGTGAGCAGAGAATTTTTTTTATTCTTCTTGGAAGTACAGAGGCAAATCCAAAATATATAGATGTAGATTTAAAAATACAGTGCTGATTTTTACTAGGAATTACACTTAACATAATCAAAAAGCTAAAAGTTAAATTGGTCCCAAGTATGTTCATAAAATGGCCTTTGAGAAAGTAGTGGAGATCTTTAATGTTTTTATTTGGTTTTATTTTCCTTTTGGAACCAGGTTATTCAGAGAATATTCTACACAGTCAACAGATCTTGGAGTGGAAAAATTACTTCGACAGAGATAAGAAAAAGCAACTTTTTGCAAGTATGCCTTTCATTAGAATTCATGTGTAATGAGCAATTTAGATAATTTTCTTACTTTATTTAACAAATATTTGAGCGCTTACTCTATTCAAAGCACTGTCACTACTTTCAGTCATTAAGCATTTATCAAATACCTGTCGTGGGATGCTGGAATGTTTTGGGTGAGGGGGTAAAAATGAAGAGAATAATAAGGGATCTCTGCCTGAAGGCATGCACTCTGGAGCAAAAGAGTGAAGTGTACAGACACTAAACCTGACTTGATAAATTCCATAGACATGGATAAAACGTACAGAGGCGGCTTCACAATAGATAAGCCTGGAGGGGTGGGCTGGGGCTAGGTTGGGAAGGGTCTTGGAAAGGCCTTGGAAGATTTTAAACTTGATCCTTTCAGCAATGACTCTGTATCCAGCACCTGCTAGAGAAAAGTACTAAAAATTCCTTTTAAGAAAGAATACATTTCATTCAATTATTTTATTCATATTACCAAATGAGAGAGAAAGTATTGACCACTAGTGGGAGCCTTTTACCGAAGTAATCTTCATGCCTGATTGTTTAAGCTTCTGTAAACATAAAGTGAAATTGTTCACACTTGGAAGAAAATGAAATGTTTTATTTTTAAGAATCATACTAAATGGAATTTAGGCTAATAATACAACCTTACTTACTCTTTATTTTTTCCTATCTTCATCTGAGACAGAGTAATGAAGACTTGGCAAAATTAGCAGTCCATGATGGATATACAAACATTTTTTTATTCTAAAATGAACAGTCATCATCACAGTCAGTGTTGATATTTATTGAACACCTGATGCCTGCCTGGGCTCTCAGTAGGTAATATGGGATGGGTTAAAATGGCAGTAATTCCATAATACCTCAAGAGTAATGATGATAATCCCCCACTTTCCTGAAGCACATTATAGGTTGTAGTTTCTGAATCATTTTTATAATCCATAATTTTTTTTTTTTTTTTTTTTGAGACAGAGTCTTGCTCTCTTGCCCAGGCTGGAGTGCAGTGGTGCGATCTGGGTTCACCACAATGTCCGCCTTCTGGATTCAAGTGATTCTTCTGCCTTAGCCTCCTGAGTAGCTGGGACTACAGGCGTGTGCCACCATGCCCAGCTCATTTTTGTATTTTTAGTAGAAATGGGATTTCACTGTGTTGGCCAGGCTGGTCTCCAACTCCTGACCTCATGATCCACCTGCCTCAGCCTCCCGAAGTCCTGGGATTACAAGCGTGAGCCACCATGCCTGGCCTAATCCATATTTTTTCTTTTTTGGCTTTTAAAATTAATCCTTTTTTTTTTTTTTACCAGTGATAAAATTTGAGGCCCAAATATACTTAAATGATTTGTATAAGATCACACAAAAGTAAGTTGCTGAACTGGAAAAAGAACTCAAGTGTTCTGCTTCCTAGAGCATGATTTATTTTCTCCTCGCTTTCCTTCCCTGCCCCTTTCCTTAGTCTTCCTCTTCGTACTTAAACAATACTCATAAAACATTCAAATAATATGAGCACATCTAGAGTAATAAACAGAAGTCACTATTCTTCACTCTACCATTTTACCCCCTTTCCCCAGAGGGGGACCCATATCATCTGTGGTTTTATTCTCTTATATACATGTAGTATATAGTTTTGTTTTGTATGGCTGCTATTTTGAGGGTTTTCAAAAAATATATGGGTTCATACTATTCTCTTAACTTGGTTTTTTCACTTAACAGTGTCTCAGGGTTTTTTTCATTTCCATTCATATAAGTCTATCTCATTCTTTCAACTACTGCATAATCAATTCCATGGCTAAAGTGTAATTAATTACATATTCCTCTATTGATGTCCAAATCGTTTTCAGATTTCCTCTATTACAGTGATGCAGTGAACATCCTTGTATGGGGTATGAGTAAGAATGTCTGTAGAATAGACCACTGGAGGGAAAATCCTGGATCAAATAGTATGTGCATTTTTAATTTGGTGGATTCTGCCAAGTTACCCTCCAAAAAGCCTGCACTACTTTCACTTATATACTCACCAACAAAAGTTGCTGTCGTCTTCATTTTATGCCAATCCAGTGGGTAAAAATAATAGCGCTTTGCTTCTAAATATGTGCTTTATTGAAAGTGTTCTGCTTCTTACATATCAAAGGACATTTTATAAAACAAAGTAATATGAGCAAGTTTGGAAGACAGAAGAAAAACCATATTTTATCACCCTTATACAACTAGTATCATTTTTGTCTGTATTCATCTAGTCTTATTCATATGTATATATGCATTTTTAGGATTTTATGTAGTTCTTAGTGGGTACAATCTTGTATCCTATATTTTGTACTTACCATATCATGGTCTTCAGTGTAAACTTTATAATTTTTACTAGCTGCATAATTTTCTATCCAGCAGATTTACCATAACTTAATAATAATTTATGTTGTTGTTAGTTTGCCAGAGCACTTTGGTTTTCCAGTGTTTATATTTTAAAAAATAATTTTTTGTCAGAATACTAACATTTGTGTTATGAAATAGTCCTCTTTGTCCCTCATGTGTTTCTTTTTTCTTTTTTTTTTCTTTGAGACGGAGTTTTGCCCTGTCGCCCAGGTTGGAGCACAGTGGCGCGATCTCGGCTCACTGCAACCTCTGCCTCCCGGTTTCAAGCAATTTTCTGCCTCAGCCTCCCAAGTAGCTGGGATTACAGGCGCCTGCCACCACACCCAGCTAATATTTGTATTTATAGTAGAGACGGGGTTTCACCATCTTGGCCAGGCTGGTCTTGAACTCCTGACCTCATGATCCACCTGCCTCAGCCTCCCAAAGTGCTGGGATTACAGGCATGAGCAACCACACCCAGCCCGCTTATGTTTTTCACCTTGCATTCCATATTAATATTGATACCTGTTTATTTTTGTTAACATTTAACCGTGTATGTTTGTCCATCTTTTTTTTAACCTTCCTTATTTTTTTTAGATGTATCCCTTATAGATGCATATAGGTAGATCTGTTTTGGGGGCATGGTTTTGATACTTAATCAAAAAAATATTTTAATAGGGAGATGTATCACTTATCTTTATTGTGACTATTCATATATCTGATTTTATTTCTGCCATTTCATTTTTTTATATTTCTTACATTCTTTTGTGCTTTTATTTTTCTTTCTGAATCTTTCACTTCTGAATATGTCTTTATTTATCTGCCCACTTACATAATAATTTGGCTGACAACAGAATTGTGGGTTCAGTATCATTGATTCTGGATTTTGCCGTAGGGGAGTACAGTGAGTCAGGGAAGACCCAGGTTTACTTCCAGCTCAGGGCCCTGCATCTCTACCTGCCATGCCTATGCCAGGCCACCATGTATCATCACTATTGTATATATGAGTAACCTTTGTGATATAAACTTAATTTTATTACAAAATGAAACCCTATATGTTGATGCCTACCCCTCTTAATGTTGCTCACATAACTTTGAAAATTAAAAACAGTATTTGTTTCTGGCCAAATAATTAAGACTATGATCTAATTGTTCTTTTCATGCCAGTCTCTGACCTCTGACCAACTATAGTCCCCAAGGTAATGGTACTTCCCTTCCCCTGCTTTTACATCCTCCACAGCATCCAGCCCTTCACTGAGCATATTACAGAGCTCAGTAAATGCTTATAGATTGATTGGTTGATTAAAGGTAGGATGAGGTTGCCTATTAAAGGGTTTCTGATTTGGTACCAGAAAAAAATTTTAAATTCAGTTTAAAACAGAAATTCGCTAGACTCTGCACAGTGGCCAAAGCTGCTTTTTCATAATGTTTAAATTCTTCTTTTCATATAATTTCAGACCCTAGCACTTTTGGAAGAAGAGGAAGATATAAACCAAATTACAGATTACTTCTCCTATGAACATTTCTATGTTATTTATTGTAAATTCTGGGAACTAGATACTGATCACGACCTCTACATCAGCCAGGCCGATCTGTCTCGATACAATGACCAGGGTAAGTGATTCTGTAGATGCTAAGACTTAACCATTTTAAAGAGTTATATAAATTATCACTACTCATTATGAGAAATTCCCGTTTGCTAAATTCTAAACCTAATCAAGTCCTCTTTACAGGCCAATAATTTTTAAGAGGGGATGAGTGAAGATAATATAATTTTTTATTAAATTAATAAAAGGCCAGATGTAGGAGAAGGAGTTTGGAAGTAAGTAACCAATCACAGTCTTAGTTTTGATAAAGCGATGAGTCTTTATACTGGTGTGTATTTTCTGATGATGAATTGAATAAGATCCACACCTGTTTAAATCTGTTTGAAAGAGAATATGTATACACCTTTATAACCCTTCCCACTTAACAATATTTCTGTAAAAAGCCAAGCATGAAAATAATGTTTTTAACTTGCCAAGTTTTATTTTCAAGGACTCACAAAAATTTACTTTTGGAAATTTTGTTCCAGAAAGATACGTCTCTGCAGATGAATTTTGCGTGCTTTCTTTTGTCAGAAAACAAAAAATTACATATCACATGATAATACCCTTTTTACTTCATTTTTGCCAGCGGTAAATCTAGAACCTGTTGCCTACTGATTTAATATCCTTGGTTTTTTTGAGACAGCGTCTCACTTTGTCACCTAGGCTGGAATGCAGAAGCATGAACACGGCTCACTGTAACCTCAACCTCCTGGGCTCAAGCCATCCTACCACCTCAGCCCCTAAGTAGCTGGGACTACAGGCACATGCCACCATACCTGGCTAATTTTTTTGTATTTTTTTGTAAAGATGGTGGTATGGTTTGGCTATGTTCCCACCCAAATCTCATCTTGAATTGTAGCTCCCATAATCCCCACCTGTTGTGGCAGGGACCTGGTGGCAGGTAATTGAATCATGGGAGTGGGTCTTTCCCATGTAGTTCTCATGATAGTGAATAAGTCTCATGAGAGCTGATGGTTTTATAAAGGGGAGTTCCTCTGCACATGCTCTCTTGCCTGCCACCCTGTAACATGTGCTGTTGCTTCTCCTTTGCCTTCCGCCATGATTGTGAGGCCTTCTCAGCCATGTGGAACTATGAGTCCATTAAACTCTTCCCATTATAAATTACCCAGTCTCAGGTATGTCTTTACTAGCAGCATGAGAACAGACTAATATAGTAAATTGGTACCAGTAGCATGGGGCGCTGCTGTAAAGATACCCGAAAATGTGGAAGGGACTTTGGAACTAGGTAATAGGCAGAGGTTGGAACAGTTTGGAGGGCTCAGATAAAGACAGGAACATGTGGGAAAGTTTGGAACTTCCTAGAGACTTGAATGGCTTTAACCAAAATGCTGATAGTGATATGGACAATAAAATCCAGGCTGAAGTGATCTCAGGTGGAGATGAGGAACTTGTTGGGAACTGGAGTAAAGGTCACTCTTGCTATGCAAAGAGACTTGGCATTTTGCCCCTGCCCTAGAGATCTGTGGAACTTTGAACTTGAAAGAGATGATTTGGGGTATGTGGTGGAAGAAATTCCTAAGCAGCAAAGCATTCAAGAAGTGACAGTGCATAAAAGTTTGGAAAATTTGCTGCCTGATAATGCAGTAGAAAATAAAAACCCATTTTCCGGGGAGAAATTCAAGCCCACTGCAGAAATTTGCATAAATAATGGGGAGTCAAATGCTAATCACCAAAACAATGGGGAAAATGTCTCCAGGGCATGTCAGAGACCATCATGACAGCCCCTCCCATCACAGGCCTGGAGGCCTAGGAGGGAAAAATGGTTTTCTGGGCCAGGCCTGGGGCCCCCCCTGCTCTATGCAGCCTCTGAACATGGTGACCTGCATCCCAGCTGTTTCAGCTCCAGCCATGGCTTAAAGGGGCCAACATACAGCTCAGGCCGTTGCTTCAGAGAATGCAAACCCCAGCCCTTGGTGGCGTCCACGTGGTGTTGGTTCTGTGGGTACACAGAAGTCAAGTATTGAGATTTGGGAACCTCCACCTAGATTTCAGAGGATGTATAAAAACACCTGGATGTCCAGGCAGAAATTTGCTGCAGGGGCAGAGCCCTCATGGAGAACCTCTGCTAGGGCAGTGTGGAAGGGAAATGTGGGGTTGAAGCCCCCACAGAGTCCCTACTGGGACACTGCCTAGTGGAGCTATGAGAAGAGGGCCACAATGCTCCAGGCCCCAGAATGGTAGATCCACCAATAGTTTGCACCATGCACCTGGAAAAGCCACAGATACTCAATGCCAGCCCATGAAAGCAGCAAGGAAGGGAGCTGTACCCTACAAAGGCACAGGGGTGGACCTGCCCAAGGCCATGGGAACCTGCCTCTTGCATCAGTGTGCCATGGATATGAGACAGAGTCAAAGGAGATCATTTTGGAACTTTAAGGTTTAATGACTGCAGTATTGGATTTCAGACTTGCATCGGGCCTGTAGCCCCTTTGTTTTGACTGATTTCTCCCATTTGGAACAGGTGTATTTACCCAATGCCTGTATCCCTGTTGTATCTAGGAAGTAACTAACTTGCTTTTGATTTTACAGGCTCATAGGTGGAAGGAAGTTGGGTTG
This sequence comes from Homo sapiens, assembly GCF_000001405.40. Taxonomy (NCBI): domain Eukaryota; kingdom Metazoa; phylum Chordata; class Mammalia; order Primates; family Hominidae; genus Homo; species Homo sapiens. The sequence continues at coordinate 136,084,974 of NC_000003.12, forward strand.
TCTCAGATGAGACTTTGGACTGTGGACTTTTGAGTTAATGCTAAAATGAGTTAAGACTTTGGGGGGACTGTTGCGAAGGCATGATTGGTTTTGAAGTGTGGGGATCTGAGATATGGGAGGAGCCATGGTTGGAACAATATGGTTTGGCTGTGTCCCCACCCAAATCTCTTATTGAATTGTAGCTCCCATAATCCCCAAGTGAAATGGGAGGGACCAGGTAGGAGTTAATTGAGTCATGGGGGCGGGTCTTTCCTGTGCTGCTCTCATGATAGTGAGTAAGTCTCATGAGAGCTCATGGTTTTAGAAAGGGGAGTTCCCCCACACACACCCCTGCTGCCATGTAAGATGTGCCTTTGCTTCTCCTTTGCCTTCCACCATGATTGTGAGGCCTCCCCAGCCATGTGGAACTGTGAGTCCATTAAACCTCTTTCCTTTATAAATTACCCAGTCTCAGGTATGTCGTTATTAGCAGCGTGAGAACAGACTAATACAGATGGGGTTTCGCCTTGTTGCCCAGGCTGGTCTCGAACTCTTGGGTTCAAGTGATCCACTCGCTTTGGCCTGCCAAAGTGCTAGGATTACAGGCATGATCCACCACACCTGGCCTGATTTAATATTAACTAAGCACTAAGATACATTGATTCATTCTTCTCTCATAAGATTGTCCCTGTTCTGTCCTTAAATGCCTTCTCAGGCACTGTTGATTTTTAAATGATACTTTAGCTTATTAGATATAGCAGAGTATGAATCTTAAATAAATGCATTGAATTTTGTTTTTGTTTTTTGGTATGGCTGTTACTAATGGTATGCATCTTAAGAAAAGGCTCATCAGGCAGGGGGCAGTGGCTCATGCCTGCAATACCAGCACTTTGGGAGGCCAAAGCGAGTGGATCACTTGAACCCAAGAGTTCGAGACCAGCCTGGGCAACATGGTGAAACCCTGTCTCTACAAAAAATACAAAAATTAAAAATTAAAAAATGTCTTTCAAATGACAAAAATACAAATATTAGTCAGATGTGGTAGCACATGCCTGTAGTCCCAGCTACTCAGGAGGCTGAGATGGGAGGATCTCCTGAACCTGGGGAAGTTGAGGATGCAGTGAGCCATGATGGTGCTGCTACACTCCAGCCTGAGCGACAGGGAGACCCTGTCTCAAAGAAAAAAAAAAAGGTTTGTTGTATATGATGTCAGGTTTCATAGAGCTTTGCGTATTTAAGAAATAAAGTTGGCCAGGCGCGGTGGCTCACGCCTGTAATCCCAGCACTTTGGGAGGCCAAGGCAGGTGGATTACTAGGTCAGGAGTTCAAGACCAGCCTGAACAACATGGTGAAACCCCATCTCTACTAAAAATACAAAAATTAGCCGGGTGTGGTGGTGCGTGCCTGTAATCCTAGCTACTCGGGAGGCTGAGGCAGGAGAACCGCTTGAACCCAGGAGGCAGAGGTTGCAGTAAGCCGAGATCACACCACTGTACTCCAGCCTGGGCGACAGAGCGAGAAGGGGCCACTGAATACTCCATAATTATCCACTCACCAGACTGTCCCTAATGAGACAACATAGAATAACATGATCTTCAATTTTAGGAAGCTAAACCTTCCCAAGCTAAAAAATGCCTTTAAAAAAAGATTTTGGCTTTACAATTAAATATCCTTGCCTTTCCTATATAGCCCTCTTTTTTTCTATCTAGTACAAATTAACCCCATAAACCAATGTTCAGCAAAATATAGAAGGTCTTTATATAAGCTTTGGTGTGTGGCCAGGCACGGCTGTTCCAATACACATATTCCCAACTTTCTTTGGCCAAACCAATTTACCTTTATGCTAACTGTACCTAACTATGTGCAGAAGAATTCGATGCTGATAGCTGCTAAGTCCCTAATGACCTTATTGATGATCCTGAAATTTTAGTGTGCATGCCATTGCCTGGGGCATCTGTTAAAGAACAGGCTGGGCATGGTGGCTCACGCCTGTATTCCTAGCACTTTGGGAGGCTGAGGTGGGCAGATCACCTGAGGTTGTGAGTTCAAGACCAGCCTGCCCAACATGGAGAAACCCCATCGCTAATAAAAATACAAAAAAATTAGCCAGGTATGGTGGCGCATGCCTGTAATCCCAGCTACTTGGGAAGCTGAGGCAGGAGAATCACTTGAATCCGGGAGGCGGAGGTTGCAGTGAGCCGAGATCACGCCATTGCACTCCAGCCTGGGCAACAGGAGCAAAACTCTGTCTCAAAAATAAATAAATAAATGAAAGAACAGGTCTCTAGTCGTGTCTCTCTCTCTCTCTCTCTCTCTCTCTCTCTCTCTCTCTCTCTCTCTCTCTCTCACCAACATGCTAACTTAAGCCACGATTATCTATGTGAATAAAACTTCCTGATGGAATTTCTAAAAATCTTATGTTATATCATGTTAAACCCTGGGCTTTTATAAAATGGGAATATAAGAAAAGTATGTTTGTAGTGTGTTTGAGTAGCTTTTAAAAAAACTACTTGAAAGCATTCTCCATTGTTTTAACTTCGTTTTGTTTTATTTTACATTGTTTTAGGAGCTTACACAATCAGTTCTCCCTTGAATTTAAGGATAAAACTTGTCTTGTTTATAGGAAAATTGGTCTCATTGGATAAGATCAAAACAAATCCTATATATTTTTGTCCTAGCTGTCAGGATGTTCAGACCTAACTTAGCATTCAACTATATTAATACTTCCCAGATGTCAGCCACATTCATTTGCCTGTTATTTTTTAAAATTATATTAAAATTATGCGTAAATAAAAATGTACTCACATTCTCATCATGGACGATGGTTACGGTTTAGCTTGTAGCTAGTGAAAAGCAAATTTGTGAAAAGTATTGCCTTTATGGAGCATGTTTCTAACTAGCTTTGCAATTTTTTTTTTATCTACATTTAGCTTCATCAAGCAGGATTATTGAAAGGATATTCTCTGGTGCAGTAACAAGGTAAGAAAACGTTTAATGCTGTGTTTAAAAATGAACTACAAGTAATACCATAACCATCTCATTTTAGCAAAGCTTCCTGAATAATTTGGCAGTGCTATTGGACCAAATAATATCCTATAAAACATAGTTATGGCTTAATACAAGACAGTAATTCTTTTTTAAAAAAATAATTTCAACTTTTCTGATTCAGGGGGTACACGTGCAGGTCTGTCACATGGGAACACTGGGTGATGATGAGATTTGGTGTATGGAGGATCCTGTCACACAGGCAGTGAGCACAACACCCAACAGGCAGTCCCTCAGCCCTCACTGTGCTCACTCCCTACCCACTTCAGCAGTCCCCAGTGTCCATTGTTCCCATCTTTATGTCCATGTGTACTCAGTATTAGCTTCCACTTACAAGTGAGAACATACGGTATTTGGTTTTCTGTTCCTGTGTTAATTCGCTTAGGATGATGGCCTTCAGCTGCCTCCATGTTGCTGCAGGGACATGATTTCATAATTTTTATGGCTGCATAGTATTCAATGGTATATATGTACCACATTTTCTTTATCCAGTCTACTGTTGGTAGGCATCTAGGTTGATTCCATGTCTTTGCTATTGTGAATAGTGCTGGATAAACATACAAGTACCTGTATCTTTGTGGTAGAATGATTTATTTTCCTTTGGGTATATACCCAGTAATGGGATTGCTGGGTCGAATGGTAGTTCTGTTTTAAGTTCTCTGAGAAATCAACTGCTCTCCACCACAGCTGGACCCATTTACATTCCCACTAACAGTGTATAAGTATTCCCTTTTCTCCACAGCCTCACCAGCATGTGTTACATTTTGACGTTTTAGTAGTTGACATTCTGGCTGTTGTGAGATGGTATCTTGTTGTGGTTTTGATTTGCATTTCTCTAATGATGAATGATGTTGAGATTGTTTCATGTTTGTTGGCTGCCTGTATGTCTTCTTTTGAGAAGTGTCCGTTCATGTCCTTTGCCCATTTTTAAATGGGGTTGTTTTTTGCTTGTTGATTTAAGTTCGATATAGAGTCTGGATATTAGACCTCTGTTGGATACATAGTTTAAGAATATTTTCTCCCATTCTGTAGGTAGGTAGTTAAATCTGTTGATAGTTTCTTTTGCTGTGCAAAAGCTCTTTAGTTTAATTAGGTCCCAATCATCAATTTTTGGTTGTGTTGCAGTTGCTTTTGAGGACTTAGCCATAAATTATTTGCCTAGGCTAATGTCAAGAAGGGTATTTCCTAGGGTTTTTTCTAGAATTGTTATAGTTTCAGGTCTGATATTTAAGTCTTTAATCCATTGTGAATTAATTTTTTATATGGTAAAAAGTAAGGGTCTGGTTTCATTCTTCTGCATATAGCTAATCAATTATCCCAGCACTGTTTATTGAATAGGGAGTCTTTTTCCCGTTGTTTGTTTTTATCGACTTTGTCAAATATCAGATGGTTGTAGGTGTGCAGCTTTATTTCTGGGCTCTCTCTTCTGCTCCATTGGTCTGTGTGTCTGTTTTTGTACCAGTACCATGCTGTTTTGGATACAGTAGCCTTATAGTGTAGTTTGAAGTCAGGTACTATGATACCTCTCGCTTGGTTGTTTTTGCTTAAGATTGCTTTAGCTATTGGGACTTTGTTTTTGGTTCCATATGAATTTTAGAATGGTGTTGTTTTTTTTTTTTTCTTAAAAAAAAACTAGTCTGTGAAAAACGACATTAGTTTAATAAGAATAACATTGAATCTGTAGATTGCTTTGGGGAGTATGGCTATTTTAACGATATTGAATCTTCCTATCCATGACCATGGAATGTTTTTCCATTGGTTTGTGTTATCTCTGATTTCTTTCAGCAGAGTGTTGTAGTCCTCCCTGTAGAGATTTTTCACCTCCTTGGTTAGCTGTATTCCTAGGTATTTTATTTTGTGTGTGTGTGGCTATTGTAAATGGGATTGCATTCTTGATTTGGCTTTCAGCTTGAATGCTATTGGTGTATTGAAATGTTACTGATTTTTATACATTGATTTTGTATCCCGAAACTTTAATGAAATTATTATTAGTTCTGAAAGCGTTTTGGCTTAGTTTTCAGGCTTTTCTAGGTATAGAATCATGTTGTCAGCAAAGAGAGATAATTTGACTTTTCCTATTTGGATGTGTTTTATTTCTTTCTCTTGCTTGATTGCTCTGGCTAAGACTTCCAGTACTATGTTGAATAGAGTGGTGAGAGTGGTCATCCTTGTCTTGTTCTTGTTCTTAAGGGGATTGCTTCTAGCTTTTGTCCATTCAGTATAATGCTAGCTATGTGTTTGTCATAACGGCTCTTATTATTTTGAGGTATCTTCCATTGATGCCTAACATGAGTATTAATCCTATATCTAAATACAGGTAACAGCATTTTATCCCAGTGATTATTTGCATTCATATTAAAAGCCAGATTTCTTTTCTTCATATTTGCAAATGCCTTCTGGTTTCACCCTCTAGACCTTTGAAAATAAGATAGGCTGTGGAAGGGTTGCCCTTTATGAGGCATTTAGCATTATAATTTAAAAAATTTTAACTGACATACTACTTTATTTCTTAGCCTATCATCCTGATAAATGGTTCTGAGTAATTGCTCAGGAAATTTTATAACCATGTGTTTTCTTTAGGGGAAAAACAATACAGAAAGAGGGAAGAATGAGCTATGCAGATTTTGTTTGGTTTTTGATCTCTGAAGAAGACAAAAGGAATCCTACCAGGTATGATTTCTAAGTTTCCTTTGCCAAGATGTTAAACACATGCACAAAGCTTGAAAAAGTCATGGTGTATATTATACCTAGTGAGGCCAACTCAACGTGGCAATACTAAGATGAATTAGACTTAGTTTCTGCCGTCTCGGAGCTCTCCGTCTCAGGAGATTGGCACTGAATCCATGTTCATGGCATATCAAGAGAAGTGCTGTTACCCACAGAAACAAAGGTGAAGTGACATGTAAGCTGATGACAAGTAGGGCTAGTAAGCATTCATGTGGAATATGGGAATAGATGCTATGAATTACTTGTTTTATCATCTTACTGGTTGAATGGTAAACCATTACTATTAGAGAGGGAAAGCAAATTGTGGATGACTAGTATATAAGAACACATCCTCAGTCTGCCAGTTGAAATCATCTATGCTTTTCCTTGGCACTCCCAGACATAGCTTGATTGGAGTTATTAATTTACACATTTCTTTCTTTCCATGTCTTGTTTAGGCAAAAAATCTAGATGCCTCGCTTCTTATCCCTACTTTGTGTAACACAACGCACTGTAGTTTGTGCTCAGTACCAAGGGATGGAGGGGTTATAGACCTTGATGGTACTTGCAGGTACAGCTAACTCAACTATCTTAATATTGATTCGAAAAGTTATCTAAATGTTGTATATGTCCAGGTATGGTGGCTCACATCTGTAATGCCAGAACTTTGGGAAGCCAAGGCAGGAGGGATTGCTTGAGGCCTGGAGTTTGAAATCAGCCTGGGAAACATAACGAGACTCCATCTCTACAGATAAATGTTTTAAATAGCTGGGAATGGTGATGCACACCTGTAGTCCTAGCTACTCGAGAAGCTGAGGCAGGAGGATCACTTGAGGGCAGGAGTTTGAGGCTGTAGTGAGCTAGGATCATGCCATTATACTCCATCCTGGGTATAGTGAGCAGGACACCAACTCTAAAAAAATAAATGTTGAATATATTGTTTAGAAGATGTTGAAATAAAAATAAGCCATTTCTTGGAGAGCTTGTTAGATTATTTTTAAATAACTTTGTTTTCCATTTCAAAAGTAATAATTTATTTAGAAAACATGAATGAGCAGAAGAAAAATAAATTTTAATACCAGTAATTTTAATACCCAGAAAAAAATATTAAAAGTTCATATATATGCTACTCTTTTTCATATACCAGCAGAGTAGAGTATCTCTTATCTGAAATTCTTGAGATCAGAAGTGTTTCAGATTTTGGATTTTTTTCAGATTTTGAACTGTTTGTTACACTTACCAGTGAGCATCCCAAATCTGAAATCCAAAATTCTCCAGTGAGTATTTCCTTTGAGTATGAGTTTTGAGTGTCTTGTTGGTACTCAAAAAGTTTTGGATTTTCAGCTGGGTTGCAGTGGCTCACACCTGTAATTTCAGCACTTTGGGAGGCCGAGGTGGGCAGATCACCTGAGATCAGGAGTTTGAGACCAGCCTGGCCAACATGATGAAACCCTGTCTCTACTAAAAATGTAAAAAATTAGCCAGGCGTGGTGATACATGCCTATAATCCCAGCTACATGGGAGGCTGAGGCAGGAGAATTGCTTGAACCCAGGAGGCAGAGGTTGCAGTGAGCTGAGATCGCACCATTGCACTACAGCCTGGGTGACAAGAGCAAAACTCCATCACCAAAAAAATATATATATTAAAGATCTAAATGAAATGAAGACATCCCATGTTCATGGATCATTGTTAAGATGGCAGTAATTCCCAAACTGATCTACAGATTCCTAACAAAATATTAGTTAGTTTGAGTCAAAAGCTTTTTTTGTTTTTCGATGGTTTTTATTTTTTTTCCAGAAATGGAAAAGCTGAATATTAAATTCCTATGGAAATACAAAGGGACCACAGTAACCAAAACAATGCTGAAAAAGTACAGAAAAAATGTAGGACTCATATTTCCCTATTCCAAAATATTTCACTACAAAGTGAAAGTAAACAACTCTGTGTGGTACTCGTATCATGATGGACATAAAAATAAACAAAATTGAATTGAGAGTTCAGAAATATATCCTCACATTTAGGGCTAATTGATTTGCAACAAGGATGCTGGATGCCAGGACGATCCAATGGGGAAAAAAAACAGTGTTTTTAATAAATAGTGCCGGAACAACTGGATATCATACAAAATAATATTAGGTTGGTGCAAAAGTAATTGTGGTTTTTGCAATTTCTTTTGGTGGCCAAAACTGCAATTACTTTTGTACCAACCTTACCTTTGGACCCCTAGTTCACATACTACAAAAATTAAGTCAAATGGATCACAGCCCAAAATGTATGAGCTAATGCTATAAAAAATTCAGAAGAAAATAGAGGAGTAAATTTTCACGACCTTGGCTAGGCAGTTTCTTAGATGTGACACCAAAAGCATAAGTATCAAAAGAAAAAGTCAATGAATTGGACTTCATCAAAATTTTAAATTTTTGGCTGGATGTGATGACTCATGCCAGTATTCCCAGTACTTTGGGAGGCCAAGGCAGGTGGATTGCCCAAGCTCAGGAATTCAATACCAGCCTGGGCAACATGGTGAAACCCCGTCTCTACCAGAAATACGAAATGTAACCAGGCACAGCGGCACGCGCCTGTGGTCCCAGCTACTTGGGAGGCTGAGGTGGGAGGATCACTTGAGCCTGGGAGGCAGAGGTTGCAGTGAGTTGAGATCACGTCACTGTACTCCAACCTGGGTGACAGAGTAAGACCTCATCTCAAAAAAAAGAAAAAATTAATACTTTTGTGCATCAAAAGATATGATCAAGAAAGTAAAAAGACAACCCACAGCATGGAAGAAGATATTTGCAGATGATATATATGATAAGGAACTTGTATCTAGAACATATAAACAACACTTACAACTCAATAATAGACTGACCAGTTTAAAAAATGGACAAAGGATCTGATTAGATGTTTCTCCAAAGAAGATATATGCATGGCCAATAAGCACATGAAAAGATGCTTGACATCATTAGTCATCAGAGAAGTGCAAATCAAAACCACAATGAGATACCACTTCACACTAGGATAGTTATCAAAGAGTCAGATAATAACAGGTGCTGCCAAGCAGGTGGAAAAATCGGAACCCTCATACATTACAATAGGAATGTAAAATGGTGCAGCCGTTACAGAAAAGTCTGACATTTCCTCAAATGGTTAAACATATCATATGACCTAGCAATTCCACTCCTTAGGTATATACTCAAGATATATGAAAACATGTCCACACAAAAACTTGTACACCCATTTTCATAGCAGCGTCATTCACAATAGCCAAAAGTTGGGATCAGCCCAAGATAAACAAATGTGATCTATTCATATAACCAAGTATTATACAGCAGTAAAGAGAAATGAAATACTGATACATACTACACACGACTGGATCTTGAAAACCTTATGTAAAGTAAAAGATGCCAGTCACAAGACACCACATACTGTATGAATTCATTTATATGAGTTGTCCAGAATAGACAAATGTATAGAAACAGGAAATAGGTTAATGGATGCCTAATCCGTGGAGAGCCTGTGGTGAAATGAGGAATGAGTGCTAATGGGTATGGAGTCTCTTTTTGTAGGTGATGAAAGTGTCCCTATATTAATTGTAGTGATGGTTATACAACTCTGTGAATGTTAAAAACCCTTGAATTGTACATTTTAAAAGGAACAATTATATGATATGTGAAATATATTTTGGTAAGCCTGTTTAAAAAAAAGACTTAGAATACTAGAAAGTATGTTCTGTAAACAAAATGGAATTAATGTAGAAATCAATATGAGAAAGACAACTGGAAAATCTCCACACACTTGGGTATTAAACAACACACTTCTAAATAATCTATGGATTAAAAAGGATGACTCAAGGGGAATTAGATATTCACGAAGTAATAAAGGAATGCTACAAATAACGTATACATACACAGATATGGTGACCTCAATGAAATGGACCAATTTCCTTTAAAGTCACAAATTAATAAAACTCACCTAAAAAGAAATACATAACCTGAATAGTCAGATGTCTATTAAAGAAAATTGAATTCACAGTTTAGAACCTCCTGAAAAAGAAATCTCCCAGCCCTGATAATTTAATTGTATTCTTACAGTCATTTGAAGAAGAAATAATACTGAATTCTGCACCACATTTTCCAGAAAACAGAAAGGGAAGGAATAATTCCCAACTCATTTTATAAACAAAACCAGACAAACACATACCAGAGAATAAAACTACAGACTGACATCCCTCTTGAATATAGACCCAAAATCAGTAACAAAATACTAGTAAGTCAAGGCTTAGTTCCTCAAACTTTCAGGTCCCTCTTCCAGAATCTGCAGATGCCCCAAGGGAAAGATGGTCCCAAATGCTAGGTGCCCCTCTCTGGATTTTCTTCTAGATCTGGATACCATAATTCTTCACTGCCCTGTTAATTCTCCAGCATCTTTGAACTGTTTTTTTTTTCTATGGGGGGAGGTCCCCTCAGTTTCCTCAGTGGAAGGCATGATCCCACTTAGGTAATCATTAGCAGAAGTGGAGCTCTTCAGATCAGTTTTTCACATCATGAGATCCATAACTGGATTCTCATAGAATGTTACCAACAAAGGTTTTTTGAGTCAAAAGCTTTCTTAGACCTCCTTTGGTGCTCCTTTTCTACCTTGCATGTTGCCTTTCTCCTAACAGCTCACATATTGAGATTCCATTCTTTGCCAGTGACTAGTATTTTATATGTAATGGCTTATTTAATCCTCATATCACTATGAGTTGAGGTGTCAGTGGTCCCATTTTTCAGTTGATGAAACAGAAGCTCTAAGAGACTGTGCAGCTAGTAAGTGTCCTAGCTTGGATTCAGACTCAGGTTTGTATCTCTCCCAAACCTGGACTCTACCACTATATGGCCTGTCATCCAGATGCCATTCATTTGCATGTCTACCTTCTTTCCAAGTAGGCTGTAGACTCCCTAAAAGAGAGTTCTTTTTGTGTCATGAAATTGCTTGTTGCTTAAGAGAATCAAAATTAGGCCAATTATATAAGAAAATAACTACTGATTTTGCCCATTGATACTTGTTTCCTTGGTTTCTAGTGGCACTTACTAGGTACCCTGCATGTTATTCTCAGTGGTTCACATTGCTTTACTAAAGCAGAGTGTGAGCAGAAAATAGTGTCCACCATTTTGGCAAAAATGTCAGTACAGATGCTCCTCCACTTACAGTAGGGCTACATCCTGGTAAACTCAGCATCACTTGAAAATATAAGTCAAAAATTATTTAATACACCTAACCTACTGAACATTATACCTTAGTCTAGCCAGCCTTAAATATGCTCAGAACACATCTTAGCCTACATTTGGGCAAAATCATCTAGCACAAAGCCTACTTTATAATAAAGTATTGAGTATCTCATATAATTTATTGAATACTGTACTGAAAGTGAAAACAGAATGATTGTATTGGTACTTAAAGTGCAGTTTCTAATGAGTGCATGTGGCTTTCACCCCATTGTAAAGTCAAAAAATTCTAAGTCAAACCATCATAAGTCAGGGACTGTCTATAGAATGAAAATCAAACTCTTATTTAAGAAAATGGAACAGGCACCACTTTGCAGAAATGGGGTTTCTGGCTTATGAATTACATGGGTTGAAAAAATGAATTTCCTAAAAAAAGTAATACATTCACTAAGGTGTGATTAATCCTGCGTGAAATGCTGCGTACGAAATTAGGATCTAGAGTCTTTCCTATGCCTGGTAACAGAGGTAGATATGGGAAGAATCTGGGTAGATTGTTTTCTGTGGACAAACTCTTGCAAACCCTCTTTTAGTATGTCCTTTAATCTCTCTGTCCTGGTTTTTATCATATTCTGCTTCTACCTTAGTCATCTGGCTAGATATCATCTCCAGGAGCTATTTCATTCACCTTTGTTATGCCTAAGGGCACTAGGCCAGTGCTTTTCACAGTAGTAAATAATAAAATATGTATATTGAATATGCAACAGAATATACATTTAATTACTGCCTAAGCAATAATGGAGTTTCCAGTAACTTTCTTCTTGAGTAGCATACAGGAGTTTATATTAGGGGTAAGAAATCACTTGCTCAGCACTTAATTTCATTCAGTCCAAGGAAAGGACAAGAAGTAATCTTAGCTCATGGCTGTAGTCCCAGCTACTTGGGAGGCTGAGGCACAAGAATCGCTTGAACCCGGGGGTTGGGGAGGAGGTGAGGAAGGTTGCAGTGAGCTGCGATCATGTCACTGCACTCCAGCCTGGGTGACAGAGCGAGACTTTGTCTCACACACACACAAAAAATGTAATTTTGTTTATGTCTACAATATTAGAAATATAATTTGTCATTAATATCATTATGCTTTGAAAAACCAAATATTGGTGGTAAATATAGCAGAAATCTAACACTAGTGCTCTCTGGTCAGTTATTCCTTCTGTGTTTTCTGTTTTCCAATTTTCCTACAATAAATAGTCAATACTTTTAGGCTCTGAGAAGATCAGTTACCTTTGGTAAGAAAAAAAAAAAAAGAATCTGCAATGAAAGAAACTTTAGAGAGTATCCAGTACTTTCAATAAGAAAATACCCTCTGAACATGTCCTGCATGTATTATCCATCCAGCCCCTGCTGCTAAACTTTTCAGGGACAAGTAACTATCCACTGAGGCAGCCTGTTCATTTTTCTCTTTCGTTCATTGATCCTTATAGTCTCCAATATTCAGAGAATTATATCTGTTTGATCTACCACATCTTTCAGATATTTAAAAGCAGTTATGTGCTTTTGGCAAATATTCAGGCAGTATATCTATCTTTGCATTCTAGCTTTCTTTCTCTCTTACGGGCTATTAACAAAGAACTGAAGGGTATGCTTTAGCTTTATTTATTGTAAAGAGAAGATTGTCTTAGTTCTTAATTGAAAATGCAAGTAATTAAATTATTTCAGTTTCTATTTCACAGTAAAATAAGTTGTCTTTCACTTCAGTCCTGTTAAATCCTTGGTCAAAATCAAGATTTACTTTATTCCCTTTTGCCTGATTTTGGTTCTCTTAAGATAATTAATGAGGAATTTCAAGACACAAAGAGATCTTAGAGGCCAGAGGCCACTCCCCTGCCCCTTTTGTACTGAAACCATTATTACTTAAAAAAAAAAGTCCCAACAGTGTAACAACCAGATATTATTACATGTATTGCAGCCCTCTGCTTATGAGATGTAACTCTTCAAGGTTTTCCCCACAATCAGGAATAGTTTGACAGTGGGGCAGCATTCTGCCCCTTTTATATTCTGAGAGTAGATATGATATGACTGAACCTCACCATAGCCAACCTATTACCTCACATTCATTAGGTTCAATGAATGTCCCCCTTTGTTCTTTAATAATAATGTTAAACATCAAGTTGGTACAATTTTTAAAATATATTTCTCAAAAAGACTTTGCCCACTCTGGGCAACATAGGAAGACCTGATCTCTACAAAAAGTTTTTAAAAAATTAGCCAGGTGTGGTGGTACATGCCTCTGGTCCCAGCTAGTCTGGAGGCTGAGGCAAGAGTCTCACTTGAGCCCAAGAGGTTGAGGCTGCAGTGAGCCATGATTGCAGTACTGCACTCCAGCCTGGGTAACAGAATGAGAGCCTATCTCAAAAACAAATAGTAAAAAACTTTTCAAGTATTACATGTTCAATTTTTTGCAATAATGTAAACTATATCTTTCTCAGAAAAGGTACACACAGATCTTAATGTGACTTACTTGAAAACAGTCAACAGTTACAACTTAGTTATTTTCACTTTTCTCTCCCCAAAGGAGATTTTCTTTTAACCATTAAAGGTGTGGTTCTTAATATGGTTTCAGGCCTACAAGTGGGAATTTGAACAGCGGTCTCCTAGAACCTTCTCTTGAAAAGTTTTACTTTGCCATGAATTTGTGGTTCTTTAGAAAAACATTGTTCCCTATTACCAATTAATGTTGTTGGCTTCATAAAGGAAATGAGAAATAATAACAAAGTATTGGAAACTGGAAAGCAAATAAACATAGCAGACTGCCTGAATCCTAAGCCAGCTGAGGGAAAAACCAAGAAGCAACCAGATATACCCAGCAAAACCTGCAGACATTCAGGATTTGGGGATACTAGGAACCTTGGAAGTGGGGGTGGGGTAAAGGTAAAGCCAAAACAGGAGAGTTTATAGAAAGTTTGTTTAAATGAACAGTTGATCTTCAGGTCATGTCCTCTACCCTAGCATAAAACTGGTGCTTTATTCCCTGGAGAACATAAAACAGAGGGTCTCCGGACTGGGGAGCATTGGGCACAGTTGAGATGTGAATGTGATCTTGAAAACAGATAAAATGAGTGTATGCATACTGAATGCTGAGACGCCCAGTCTTCATTCCTCACTCAGCTAACAGAATGCTGCCTACCTGCCCTGAACCTCCAAGCAAGAAACTGAAATGCTTTTCTGGGGAACTGACCTGCCCAAGAATAAAGACCTGAAGATTCGACACTGGGTCATCCCCAAGGAAAAAAACCAGCCCATTCATTTTACAGTAAAGCCCAGAGTCAACAAACCCACAGATCAGAACCTCCAATCAGCTTTTTAGCACCTACTCTCAAATATGAGCAGAGAACAGAGGATCACTAGATACCTGAGTAAAGCCTCTTGCACAAAAGATAAAGGCCAGACAAATAGAGGGGGAAAGATAACTTGGATGAAACAGACTTTCAGAGAAAATAAAACATTACAAGAAAAAAAACACAGTGATTAATATCCTCAGAGAGACTATGAGAAGAAATTAGAGTACAGGACATGAACAGAATGATACTTTCTATGAAAGGAACATTCAGGAAACCAAAAAGCTCTTTGAGTAATCAAAACTACAATAGCAGAAATAAAAAAACAATGTTTAGAAGATAAAGCTGTGTAACCCTCCCAGAAAGAAACCCCCTCCCCCAAAAAAGATGAAACAATAGGAAATAGAGACAAGATACGAAAATTGGAGAAACAGATCAAAAAAATTTTAATATAACTGGAAAATGAAATATGGTACAGGCCACATAGGTAATTTTAAAATTTAGCCACAATGGAAAAATTTAAAAATAGGTAAAATTAATTTTGTTGTATATCTGTTTTGTATTTGCACTGAGAAAACATCTCAAATTTGATTAGCCACATTTCAGATGCTCAAAAGGCCACATGCGGCTAGTAGCTATACCATTACTGGGCTATGTAGATCTCAATAACAGTTCTTAAAAAAAAAAAAAAAAGAGAAGGAGGGAAAGGGCAGGGAAGAGAGATACAAACATTTTCAAGGACTGAAGGATTCAGTTTCCAAACTGAATAGGCTCTCAGAAAAGCCCAGCCAAATAGATGAGCTAGATCTCAACCAAGGCCATCATGATATTTCAAACTACTAAGGACTCAGAGAAACCTCTGCGGGCTTCTAAGAGGCAAAAAACAAAATGGGTTACAGTCAAAGGAATAGATACCAATAAAGCTTTAGACTTCTCATCAATACTGGATAAACAATGGATCAATACTTTTTAAAGTATGAGGGAAAAGGCCAGGCGCAGGAGCTCACAACTAAAATTCCAGCACTTTGGGAGGCCAAGACAGGAGGATCCCTTGAGGCCAGGAGTTCGAGACCAGTGTGGGCAATATAGTGAGACCCTGTCTCTACCAAAAAAAAAAGAACTTTTATTATTATTATTATTAAAAATTAGCCAGGCTAGGCGCCGTGGCTCACGCCTGTAATCCCAGCACTTTGGGAGGCCTAGGCGGGCAGATCACCTGAGGTCAGAAATTCGAGACCAGCCTGGTCAATATGGTGAAACCCCGTCTCTCCTTAAAAAAAAAAAAAAAATTAGTTGAGCATGGCGGCAGGCACCTGTCATCCCAGCTACTTAGGAGGCTGAGGCAGAAGAATCACTTGAACCCGGGAGGCAGAGGTTGCGGTGCCAAGATCACACCACTGCACTCCAGCCTGGGCAATAGAGTGATAGAGTGAGATGCCATCTGAAAAAAAAATTTAGCTAGGCATCGTGGCATGCACCTGTAGTTCCAGCTACTTGGGAAGATTGCTTGAGGCCAGGAGTTCAAGGCTGCAGTGAGCCATGTTGTGCCTCTACTCCAGCCTGGGCAGCAGAGTGAGACCCCATCTCTAAAGTTAAAACAAAAAATCTGAAGGCAAAACACCACAAACCTCTAATTCTATAACTAGCCAAAATACCAACCATATTAGAGGGTAGAAAAAAGGCATTTTCAAAGACCCAAGATCTCAAAAAATGTACCTGCCATGCTCTTTCATTCAAGAAGCTACTAGAGAATGCGCAGAGTAACAAAATAATGAGGAAACAAAGAATGAGGAAAATGCAAGAAACAAGAATTAGGAGAAAGGCGAAAGGAATCCCTGGATGAAACTGAGCGAGGCCTAGAGACTAAGCAGCCCAGATTAGAGTAGGTCAGAAGCAACCAAGGAAGACTTCATCAAGAACATGCAATTGACAGAGCACCTCATGGAACTGAGTGTGGATTTAGACAACTGGCAGAATTTGGGGGTTGAATTAGTAGCAAGTACACAGAAAACTAAGCAAATAGATAAAAGAAAAATATAAAATTATAAATTCTGAATGTTGAGCAAGTTAACTGTGTTAAGAGGATGAGAAGGGCGTGTAGGTAAAGTGGTGACAAATTACAGAAGAACTAAAGTTCAACTTTCATAATGTGAAATCTACTTTTTGTTTGGTTGGTTGGTTGTTTAGTTGGTTTTTATCTTGAGGCGGGAGTCTCGTTCTTTCACCCAGGCTGGAGTGCAGCAGCGCAGTCTTGGCTCACTGCACCCTCCACCTCCCAGGTTCAAACAATCCTCCCACCTCAGCCGCCCAAGTAGCTGAGATTACAGGCATGCACCACCATGCGCAGCTAGTTTTTTGTATTTTTAGTAGAGATAGGGTTTCACCATGTTGGCCAGGCTGATCTCAAACTCCTGACCTGAAGTGATCTGCCCACCTCAGTCTCCCAAAGTGCTGGGATTACAGGCATGAGCCACCGTGCCCAGCCTCTAATAATAGTTCTGAAAATAAATACAAGAAAGGAGCGATATAGACGTGTTATCTGAAAATAGGAAGGTAAAAAGCAAAATGGGGTTGAACACGGTTGATTCTGGGTGGAAAAATAAAGGGAAGAAGGGGTCCGCCATTTTCTCTAACAAACTTTGTAAAACTATATCTAAGCCTGAAGTGTATGTAATATGTAACTTTTACTTTAAAAGAAACATACTAAATCTGGATAAATAAAAGGTCTTTACCAGGCCCATGATAATGATTGTCCTTATCATCTAGCATTGAGTATTGGTTCCGCTGCATGGATGTGGATGGAGACGGTGTACTCTCCATGTATGAGCTGGAGTACTTCTATGAGGAGCAGTGTGAACGGATGGAAGCCATGGGAATTGAGCCCTTGCCATTCCATGATTTACTGTGCCAGATGCTTGACCTAGTGAAGCCAGCTGTTGATGGTGAGACCAAGCAATGGGACAGATGCACTGTTCACCTATGTATCAGAGGAGGGCAAAGAATCCTAGATTGTCCTAAATTATTTAACATTTCAGAGTCTTGATAGAAGACTTCCTAGGACAGAAGTGTTTAAAGTTTCTCCTTGACTATTAGTGTAGCAACTTTTTTTTTTTTTTTTTTTTTTGAGATGCAGTCTCGCTTTGTCTGCCAGGCTGGAGTACAATGGTGTGATCTCAGCTCACTGCAACCTCCGCCTCCTGGGTTCAAGTGATTCTCCTGCCTCAGCCTCCCAAGTAGCTGGGACTACAGGCAACCACCACCATGCCCAGCTAATTTTTGTATTTTTAGTAGAGATGGGGTTTCACCATGTTGGCCAGGCTGGTCTCGAACTCCTGACCTCAGGTGATCCACCCACCTCGGTCTCCCAAAGTGCTGGGGTTACAGGCGTGAGTCACCATGCCCAGGCTTAGTGTAGCAATTGATGGCAAGTCTGCTATTTAAGAAATAGGATTTTACACCAGGCACAGTGGTGTATGCCTGTAGTCCCTGCTACTAAGGATGCTGAGGTGGGAGGATTGCATTATGATTGTTCCTGTGAGTAGCCACTGCACTCCAGCCTAGGCAACACAGCGAGACTGTATCTCTTTTTTAAAAAGAAAATGAAAGCGGGGTTTGGGGGATGAAAGAAGATTTTTCCTTAGACACAGAAAGCACATGAGGAGAGATGGGAGGGACTGCTTGATGGGCACAGAGTTTCCTTTTGGGGTGATGATATTATTACAGAACTAGATAGTGGTAATGGTTGTACAACATTGTGAGTGTACTAAAAGCCACTGAATTATGCACTTTAAAATTGTTTAAATGGTGAACTTTATTAGTGAATTTTACCTCAATAAAAGAAATGGGTTTGAGAAATTGATACCCTTGAAAAAAGAAATGAGATTTAAATTTTTTTATTCTGAAAATAGGACTTTTATAATAAACATATACCTATACTTTTAGATGTCAGGGAAAGTTTTTTCCTCTTGCCAAAACAGCTCTTGATGAAATTTACCAGATTTGTTTATTTTTATGTAGGCAAAATAACTCTAAGAGATCTGAAGAGGTGCAGAATGGCTCACATCTTCTATGACACTTTCTTTAATCTGGAGAAATACTTAGACCATGAACAGAGAGATCCCTTTGCGGTCCAGAAGGTAACAGTATAATTTTAACTTTTATTTGAGGGCTGCAGTGTCAGGGGCTGTGTGTGCTACATATTAACATGGTCTCTGCATGCTGGAATTTCGGTAAAGAGGTAACATTTGTAACATTTCATTAAAGACTAAAAAGAGACAATAAAGGACCTCTAGAGCACATGTCTCTCCACAGCCGATCGTCAGGTCTAAGTAACCTGCATCTGTGTAAGCACTTTCCACTGAGCGGACTCTATAGCTCATCTACTGATACACACACTGGAAACAAAAGAGTAGTTTTGAAAAAAAAATTGTCCTTCTAACTTTTAAAAATATATCAATAGGCACATCTGTATTAGAAACTATATTGGCCTTGATTCACTTGTACCATTCATTTCCAGGATTCCATGGTAAGTAGCTTTCCCCATCACGGTAAAAACTAGAGTTCTCCATGATAGAAAACCTTCAAATAATATAACGCCTTTTCACGTGTTAATGATTGCCGTTCATGGCTATCAGTTTTGAATGCATTCTACATCTGAATAAAGCTGAATATCCTTCCCCAGACACACAAACCTGTGGACCCTCAGAAAACCCTATACATACGATCCATGTTAAAAATAAAAACAATGTCACCCCTTGTTCTTACCATTCCTCTAAGAAGTAAAAATTATGTTAAGAACAGACTGTTGCAGTTGAGTAACAGTAAACTATAAGAAGCTTTTGCATTCTTTTTTCTTCTGCATGTTCCATAACTGTTTGACCTAAATAGTAGTAAGAATATGATCACCTTCTAAATAAGATAAATAAGAATTTATCGCCTTCCAAAAACAAATATTCTGCAGCTGACCTCAGCATATCAAGTTGCATTATCGCTGGCTTAAAGTCTGTTATGGTTCATTGAATTTAACATGCTCCATAATTTTATATTTGTTTCTTTCTTTGTGTGTGTGTGTGTGTGTGTGTGTGTGACAGAGTTTCGCTCTTGTTGCCCAGGCTGGAGTGCAATGGTGTGATCTCGGCTCACCGCAACCTCCGCCTCCCGGGTTCAAGTGATTCTCCTGCCTCAGTCTCCTGAGTAACTGGGATTACAGGCATGCACCACCACACCCAGCTAATTTTGTATTTTTTGTACAGACAAGGTTTCTCCATATTGGTCAGGCTGGTCTCGAACTCCCGACCTTAGGTGATCTGCCCACCTAGGCCTCCCAAAGTGCTGGGATTACAGGCGTGAGCTGGCTGTGCCCAGCCTGTTTTATAGTTCTCTAAGCAAAAACAAAACCCCAAACATTGCCAGTTGTAAGCCTATAATGCATTGCAATTTTATAAATGTTAGAAGGATAGAGATGGGGTCTTAAAAGGAGTTAAATATAGTAATTAATAGTGGTCATTGTTTAGGAACTTAACATTATTCTTGGCATAACTAACTCTAGACCCTAGGGCAATACTAACTCATGTTCGGCTTGGAAAGACATTTTATCTGAAACATAAAATTTCAAGAAAATTCACAAAAGTGTGTGGTCTTTTCCCTCTTCACTTATTTTCTTTGTGTTACCATTTTTACTCTAAAAAAATTACCTTTAAATTTTACTTTTTTTAATAAATGGTATAATTATTGATATTTGTTCTGATCTACAAAGAACATTATTAGTCAGTGCTTAATAAATTCTGGGCACTGTGTTGAAGAGATACTGGATATATGGAGATGGCAGAGATACAAGAACAAAAGGTGGCAACCAAAGTATCTACATTAGGAAAAAGGAAGTGATATGGAGAGAAGGGCTGTTTCCAGGAAGCTATCACAGACAGCGTGGTATCTGAGTTGGCTTTTAAAGAACAAAAATTTGCCAGCGAATGGGGGCTTGGGGAAGGTACATTTCAGGCGGGCCTGTGGCAAACCACAAGTCACTCCAGGTGGCTGCTGTGCAAAGTGCCAGAGGAGAGGGGACCAGAGAAATGTCTCTGATTACAAGGCTAAAGAGTAGACTTACCAGGTGCTATGGCTTGTGCTTGTAATCCCAGCTACTTAGGAAGCTAAGACGGGAGGATCACTTGAGGCCAGGGGTTCAAGACCAGCCTGGGCAACATAGTGAGCCCCTGTGTCTACAAAAAAATTTTAAAATTAGCAGGGCATGGTGGTATGCCTGCATTCTCAACTACTTAGTAGGTGGAATGCCTGTAGTCTCAGCTACTCAGTAGGCTGAGGCAGGAGAATCACTTGAGCCCAGATTCTGAGGTTAGCAGTAAGCTATTGGTGCACCACTGCACTCCAGACTAGGCAACAGAGTGAGACCCTATCTCTTTTAAAAAAAAGAGTTGGAATCAGCCAGCCACGGTGGCTCACACCTGTAATCCCAGCACTTTGGGACGCTGAGGCGGGCAGATCACCTGAGGTCAGGAGTTCGAGACCAGCCTGGCCAACATGGCGAAACCCTGTCTCTACAAAATACAAAAATTAGCTGGACGTGGTGGTACTTGCCTGTAGTCCCAGCTACTTGGGAGGCTGAGGCAGGAGAATTGCTTGAACCCAGGAGGCAGAGGCTGCAGTGAGCCGAGATCGTGCCACTATACTCCAGCCTGGGTGACAGAGTGAGATTCTATCTCAAAAAGAAAAAAAAAGAAAAAAGAAAAAAATGGAATCTATACCTAAAAAACCTGGCTGCTAAACAGTTATAATTTTGCCATTTGAGGTGTAGAAAATTACCTTAGGAGTTTTACCTTAGCACCTCTTTTAAACCTGTTGAAATGAAACATTTTTCAGGTAGGATTTTTTCAGCAGTATACATTTGTGTGATGATCTATCTCCAATTCTTTGTCTTTGATTTTTTTTATTTCTCGTGGCTGTCTTCTTTCCAATCAGGATGTTGAGAACGATGGGCCTGAGCCCTCAGACTGGGACCGGTTTGCCGCTGAGGAGTATGAGACGCTTGTTGCAGAGGAATCTGCCCAAGCACAATTCCAGGAAGGGTGAGTAAGTTTCCCTATGTCTTATAGAATTTTTAACAGGAATGCGCATGTCCAGAGTATTAAAACCCCCTTACAAAATCCTTTTCTGTTTTTTCCATTTTTGAATAGCATAAAAATGTGATTTAGCCAACTTTAGTTAAATGATTATTTTTTCCAGCAATCTTCACTCATTTCCTGACAGAGTCTTCTCATGTCCATTTCCTTTAATGAGTCTCATCTTTCACTGGAAACCGAGATCACTGAACAATCAAACTACTGTTTTAGTGATATTGATAAACCCTGTACATAAAGGAGGAGGCTAAAAGAACTAAAGCTCTGGCCGGGCACGGTGGCTCACGCCTGTAATCTCAGCACTTTGGGAGGCCGAGGCGGGTGGATAACCAGAGGTCGGGAGTTTGAAACCAGCCTGACCAACATGGAGAAACCCTGTCTCCACTAAAAATACAAAAAAATTAGCCGGGTATGGTGGTGCATGCCTGTAATCCCAGCTACTTGGAAGGCTGAGGCAGGAGAATCGGCTTTTACCCGGGAGGCAGAGGTTGCAGTGAGCCGAGATCATGCCATTGCACTCCAGCTTGGGCAACAAGAGCAAAACTCCGTCTCCAAAAAAAAAAAAAAAAAAAAAAAAAAAACTAAAGCTCCTTCAATAATAATAAAGATGATCATGTTTAGAACAAATCTTTATTATACATGGTTTTGTGCAGGAAGTAACTTCTACATGTATTTCTACTAGTCAGGGCATAATTCCATAAAGGGACCATGTTAAGAAATTTAATTATCCAAGAATTTGACTCCTTGGATCACTTCAGCAACTTTATAATTTGCTGGTTTTTTCCATCATCTTCTAGTAACTCCTTTTGTAATTCTTCTAATTCTTCCTTAGTCATAGCTTCTGTAAAGGCCTCAATTAATCTTTCTCATTAATGTAGTGTACTTTTTGAACAGGCACTATTCATATAATATTCAAAGAAACAAAAGAAATAGTAAAAAGTTTCCTACTACCCACTTCTCCTCCCCAGAAGCAACAAGTGTCATCATGTTCTTGCTTACTCTTCCAAAGAGCCTCTCTCTCCACCTATCTATGTATATTTAGAAAGATACATGAATTCTTTTTTTTTTTTTTTTTTTTTTTTGAGACAGTCTCAAATGTGGTCTCTGATGTGGTCCATTCAGGTCAGCCTCCTGAGGCATAGAGATAGAGGAAGAGCAGGTCTAGAGGGATAAACAGAAACTATCCAGCCCCATAGATAAAGTCAAATAGTCCTCAATATAGATTGTACCATTTTATACCTCTACCATTCATTAAATATTATCTTTTTTGAGGGTGCTGAACAAGCCATCAGCAAAGAGCTTTCTTTCACTGAGAGATTTCTTTAACCTGCTTAGCCACAAAACTAGGATTTCATTTTTATGGCAGTGACCTGGAAACCCTTAAAATCATTCATCGTGCACTCAGTATCTTAAGCCTGACTGCATCAGAATATAGGAAAATGGATTCACAAGCATGATTTAAAGGTTTTTTTGGCATTGAGCTTCCATACTAGGAATTAGGGTTAGCATACCAATCTTAAGAAGCAACAATGCTGCAGTTAAGAATATGTGTGGATTGGCCAGGCGCAGTCACTCATGGCTGTAATCCCAGCACTTTGGGAGGCTGAGGCAAACAGATCACTTGAGCCCAGGAGTTCGAGACCAGCCTGGGCAATGTGGCGAAACCCCATCTCTACAAAAAATACAAAAGTTAGCCAGGTGTGATGGTGTGTGCCTGTAGTCCCAGCTACTCAGGAGGCTGAGGTGGGAGGATCACTTGAGTATGGGAGGCAGAGGCTGCAGTGAGCTGAGATTATGCCATTGCACTCCAGCCTGGCCTGCAGAGCTAGCTAGACCCTGACACACACACACACAGCAAGTGTGGATGTTTATAATAGTGAAAATTTGGAGGCAATCTAGGTATCTAATGGGAAGATTAATAAAATTATACTACATGTACCCAGTACAGTTCCATTAAGCATTAAAATCATTTTGTGGATGTGTACTTCTGGACTTTAATTAGGAAAAACGGGATGAGGAAGAAGACTATGAAAGATCAAGTAAAATGTAATAGAAAAGAAACAAAAAAAGTATCCAAAAGAAAATTAGGTATAGGTAAGGAAAGCAAATGGGATCTTATTTATGTGTTTTAGACAAAAGAATATATGAAATAGTAAAGTATATTAAAAGACAATAGGAAAGCTTTTTTGAAATAAAAGAAAACCTGAATAGGAAAGGTCAGAAATCACGCCATATCCAGGAAATACTGATAATGAATAGTGATGGACCCCAGATTTGCATTGTGAATTTACTAGAACTCAAGGATGAATAAAGGTTTATCATTGGGTTTTTTTTTTCCAGTTTTAAAAATTCAAGTCACCAGACAACTGGTAAATAAATAAATAAATAAATCAGCATGCCTCAGTAAAATTGAATACTGAAAGACCATGAAACAATGTTTGCAACTTCCTCAGAGAAAGAAGCTCTATACCCAAGAATTTTAGACCAAGCCAAGATGGTATTCAAGCATAAAGATGCTGATAGATATTGTCAAACATACGAGAACTAGAGATTATATAGTACCCAGGAGCTCTTCTTTAAAAAGTACATAATCATAAAACCAAGAGACAAGCCAAAATAAAAAGCCGGAAATGAGCAGCCATGGTAGAAAAGAAATAATAGTGAGCATTCAATCCATTTAAATGTAGAAATGAGGCTAAACAACTATGGGCATTAAAAGAGAGCAGAACATAATATTCCATAAGAAAAAAATAGTGTAACTGAAGATGTAAAAATGAGGAAGTAAATATATGTGTAAGTTTCATTAGCAGGGTCTCAACAGATGCTCTCAAAAGCTGATAAGTTGGGGTTTAAGAAAATTATAATAAGCTGTTACAAAACTAAAGCCAGACTAACTATTCTAATTAAATCAGAAAACATGTACACACAAAAGAAAAACACAGACCATGCGGCATAAACTAAAGATGCCAGAACTAACGCAAATATTTCTAGATCAGTGAATGTAAAAGGAATAAAGTCACTTATCAAAATAAAAAGATTCAATTATTGAATGACAACAACAAAGGTTGAATATAAAAATAATTAAGACCCCCAAAAAAACTGTCTTGATAACATCAGATTTTTAAAGCAAAAACAAAAAAGGAGAAATTGAAACCTATTACTTGAAGACACAGTAAAGTATTCCCTTAAGATAGATAAAAATACCTTTGTGGTTTATGTTCATAGATCATTTACAAAATACATATTAGGCCACAAACAACACTTCAGTGGACTTCTAAAAACTAGCATTAATATAGTAATATAGACCAGCATTAGACTCAGCATCTGAGTTAAACTGAAAGTATGCTA
The DNA here is from genome assembly GCF_000001405.40 of Homo sapiens. Taxonomy (NCBI): domain Eukaryota; kingdom Metazoa; phylum Chordata; class Mammalia; order Primates; family Hominidae; genus Homo; species Homo sapiens. The sequence goes on from NC_000003.12 coordinate 136,109,722, forward strand.
TAGTTTTCAGTTTCAAACCACATAAAAGTAAGAAATACAGAATATCACTTAGAAGAGAAACTTTCAGCGGGCCACTAAAAGAAGGAAAGCAGATGGGATCAAAATGAAGGAGCCAGCAGCTTAGATTCTTCATAGTAGAATGTATAAAATAATTAGACAGGTAATGGGAGTAGCACTTAATGATCTCTACCTGAATTTGACTGAAACCAATAGCAAGAAGAAGACCAGAAGAAGATGTGTCTAGGTAGGTCAACTCCTGTATATCCCACCCTACCCCTAAAGGAAAGACAAAAGCCCTGACTATGGAGCTTGGAACAGAGAAAGCCCAGTCACTGAAATAGCTACACCTCAGCAACATATCACATCCCATCTCATTCTGTCCCCAACTCATATCCCTGTTCTCATTAAAAACCCCAACAACCCCACCGCCCCTTCCTAAGCAGCCAGTGAGAACAGAAGCAGCAGTCTGTTCTCAACTACTTAAAAGGTGGACAAATATCAAACAGTTAAGAAATATCAATGAAATACTCAACAAATGGAAGAACTTATACCCTTGGAAGGAGACACAATCAGAACAAGACATCAAAATGAGCATATTTACTATTTTCAAAGGAATAAGAGAGAATATCACACTCCTAAACCAACACTAGAACCAGTTTCTTAGAAATGAAAGTTTTATTAAAAAAAAAATGCAGCCATTGGACTGAATAATAGAATGGAAAAAACTGAAAAGTTTTTGATTTGGGATACTGGCGTAAGAAATCCTCTTTGGAAGCAATAGAAATAATAGCTTAATAATTCCGAGAATTTTAGTTGTTTGAGCAAATAAAAAGATACACAGGAGAAGGAATCAGCAATTTTTTTCTAACCAGTTATAAATACTTGAGGCTTTGTGGGCCTCTGCCACAACTAAGCAGCCATTGATAATATGTAAGCAAGTGTATGTGGCTATGTTCCAATAAAACTTTAGTAACAGACACTGAGCTATTCATTTCATATTATTTTCATGTCACAAATATTCTTTTGTTTTTCAAACTTAAAAATGTAAAACTATTTTTAGCTCACAGGCTGTACCAAAGCAGATGGCAAGATAGGTTTGGCCCACAGACTATAGTTGTCAACCTCTGTGAGTGAAATTTCAGAATACGAAAGATAGGAAAGGTCTGAAGATCTACCAGAAAGAAAAAAACATTATCCATAAAGTGTACACAAAAAGAAATGGAACAAAATTATTCAAGTACTGCAAAAAAAATAACTACAAACCTAAAATTCTGTTCTTACTCAAATGTGAGGGACAAATAAAGACATTTTCAGGCTTGTAAAAAGAGGTGCAAAAAGTATACCACAGAATATCTCTGAAACAAATATTAAATGATATTCTTCAGCAAGAAGGTAAATGGATCCTAGAGGAAACAGTGGGAGGAAAGAAGCAATTGTGAGCAATAAAAATAGTAAAAATTATTCTTAGGACTAAATAAGTATTGATCACAGATATATAAGAGAGAAAAAGGAATTGGAGTAATATCCTATGGTTCTTATTTGTATAAGAGTAGAGAAATATAGACATTGATAAAGTTGTATTTCTCCAACAATGGTTAAAGTATGTCTGTTAAAAATTTAAGATATTTTCACTAGAAGAATAAAAATAAAATGGAAAACTTTCATATCAGTTTCAGAAAAAGGTTATTAACTGAAAAAAATTGAGTAAAAACTCAAACTACTTGAAAGTACATTAATCAGCATTCTTCTGGTGGCAAGTTACCTAAACTCCGCTCAAAGTAGCAATAAGCCAAACTTCTTCATACATACAAACTAGAAAACTTAGAAGAAATTGATAAATTCCTGAAAACATACAACCTCCTAAGATTGAACCAGGAATAAACCGAAACACTGAACAGACCAGTAATGAGTTCTGAACTTGATCAGTAATTAAAAAAAAAAAACTACCAATCAGATAAAACCCTGGACTAGACAGATTCACAGCCAAATTCTTCCAGATGTATAAAGAAGAGCTGGTACCAATCCTGCTGAAATTATTTCAAAAAATCAAGGAGGGACTCCTCTCTAACTCATTCTGTGAGGATAGCATCATTCTGATACTAAAACCTGGCAGACACAATAAAAAAAACTTCAGGCCAATATCCTTGATGAACATACACACAAAAACCCACAACAAAATAGTAGCAAATTAAATTCAGCAGCACATCAAAAAGCTAATCCACCACAATCATGTAGGCTTTATTCCTGGGATACGAGGTTGGTTCAACATATGCAAACCAATAAATGCAATTCGTCACATGAATAGAACAAAAAACAAAAACCACATGGTCATCTTAATGGACACAGAAAAGGCTTTTGATAAAATTCAGCACCCCTTCATGTTAAAAACCCTCAACAAACTGGCATCTAAGGAACATACCTCAAAATAATAAGGGCCATCTATGACAAACCCACAGCCAGCGTCACAATGAATGGGCAAAAGCTGGAAGCATTCCCCTTGAGACCCAGAAGAAGATAAATATGCCCATTCTCACCACTGCTATTCAACATAGTGATGGAAGTCCTATCCAGAGCAATCAGGGAACAGAAAGAAAACTCATCAAAATAGGAAGAGAGAAAGTCAAGCTATCCGTCTTTGCAGATGATATAATTCTATACCTAGAAAACCCATAGTATCTACCCAAAGGCTCCTAGATCTGATAAACGACTTCAGTAAGGTTTCAGGATACAAAATCAGTGTACAAAAATCAGCAGCATTTCTATACACCAACAGCATTCAAGCTGAGAGCCAAATGAAGAGCACAATCCCATTTGCAATAGCCACAAAAAGAATAAGATACCTGGGAATAAGGGATGTGAAAGATCTCTCTACAACAGTAATTACAAATCACTGCCAAAAGAAATCACAGACAACATTAAAAAATGGAAAAACATTCTATGCTCATGGATAGCAAGAATCAATATTGTTAAAATGACCATGCTGCCCATTGTGCTCGTGGACAGGAAGAATCAATATTGTTAACATGGGCATACTACCCAAAGCAATCTACAGATTCAGTGCTATTCCTATCATACTACCAACATCATTTTTCAAAGAATTTGAAAAAAACTATTACAAAATTCATATGAAGCTGGGCGCGGTGGCTCATGCCTGTAATCCCAGCACTTTGGGAGGCTGAGGCAGGTGGATCACCTGAGGTCAGGAGTTCAAGACCAGCCTGGCCAACATGATAAAACCCCGTCTCTACTAAAACTACAAAAATGAGCCAGGTGTGGTGGCAGACACCTGTAATGCCAGCTACTCGGGAGGCTGAGGCAGGAAAATCGCTTGAGCCCAGGAGGTGGAGGTTGCAGTGAGCTGGGATCACACCACTGCACTCCAACCTGGGCAACAAAAGAAAAAAAAAATCATATGAAACAAAAAAAGCCCGAATAGCCAGAGCAACCCAAAGCAAAACAACAAAGCCAGGAGCATCACACTACCCAATTCAAACTATACTACAAGGCTGCAGTAACCAAAACAGCATGGTGCTGATACAAAAACAGACACACAGACTGCGTGGAACAAGATTATATGGAACACCAGTGGAACAGATTAGAGAACTCAAAAATGAAGCACACCTACAACCACCTGTTTTTTGACAAAGTTGATAGTAAGCAATGAGGAAAGAACTCCCTATTCAATAAATGGTGCTGGCTAATCATATGCATTAGATTGAAACTGGACCCCTTCCTTTCACCATATACAAAAGTCAATGCAAGATAGAATAAAGACTTAAATGTAAGGCTGGCCATGGTGACTCATGCTTGTAATCCCAGCACTTTTTGGGAGGCCAAGGCGGGAGGATCACTTGAGGCTAGGAGTTCGAGACTAGCCTGGTCAACATGGCAAAACCCTATCTCTACTAAAAATACCAAACAAAAACAAAACAGTGTGGTAGCACTTGCCTGTAATCTCAGCTACTCAGGAGGCTGAGGCACAAGAAGCACTTGAACCTGGGAAGTGAAGGTTGCAGTGAGTTGAGATCGCACCACTGCACTCCAGCCTGGGCAACAGAGCAAGACCCTGTGTCAGAAAAAAAAAAAAAGAGAGAGACTTAAATGTAAGACCTAAAACTAGAAGAAAACCTGGGAAATAACATTCTCGACATAGGCCTTGGCAAAGATTTCATGATGAAGTCTCCAAAAGCATCTGCAACAAAAACAAAAGTAGACAAGTGGGGCCTAATTAAAGAGCTTCTGGAATTGCTGGCAAGATGGCCAAATAGGAGTAGCTCCAGTCTGCAGCTCCCAGCCAGATCGACACAGAAGGCAGGTGATTTCTGCATTCCCCGCTGAGGTACCCAGTTCATCTCATTGGGACTGGTTGGACAGTAGGTGCAGCCCATGGAGGGTGACCCGAAGCAGGGTGGGGCATCGCCTCACCCAGGAAGCAGAAGGGATCAGGGAATTCTCTCCCCTACCCAAGGGAAGTCATGAGGGATTGTGCCTGAGGAATGGTACACTCCGGCCAGATACTGTGCTTTTCCCACAGTCTTCACTACCCACAGACCAGGAGATTCTCTCCAGTGCCTACACCACCAGGGCCCTGAGTTTCAAGCACAAAACTGGGCAGCCATTCAGGCAGACACCGAGCTTCAGGAGTTGTTGTTTTTTTTGTTTTGTTTTGTTTTTCCCCATACCCCAGTGGTGCTTGGAATGCCAGCAAGACAAAACCATTCACTCCCCTGGAAGGGGGCTCAACCCAGGGAGCCAAGTGGTCTGGCTCAGTGGGTCCCACCCCCACAGAACCCAGCAAACTAAGATCCACTGGCTTGAAATTCTTGCTGCCAGCACAACAGTCTGAGGTCAACCTGGAACACTCCAGCTTGATGCAGGGAGGGGGGTCCAGCATTGCTGAGGCTTGAGTATGTGGTTTTACCCTCACAGTGTAAACAAAGCACTGGGAAGTTTGAAGTGGGAGCGCACCGCAGCTCACCAAGGCTGCTGTGGCCAGACTGCCTCTCTAGATTGCTCCTCTCTGGGCAGGGCATCTCTGGAAAAAAAGGCAGCAACTACAGTCAGGGACTTAGAGATGAAACTCCCATTTCCCTGGGATAGAGCATGTGGGGGAAGGGGCAACTGTGGGCGCAGCTTCAAAAGACTTAAACATCCCTGCCTGATGGCTCTGAAGAGAGCAGCAGACCTCCCAGCACAACGTTTGAGACTGCCTCCTCAAGTGGGTCCCTGACCTCCAGGTATCCTGACTGGGAGACACCTCCCAGTAGGGGCCAACAGACACCTCATACAGGAGAGTTCTGGCTGGCATCTGGCGGGTGTCCATCTGGGACGAAGCTTCCAGAGGAAAGAATAGGCAGCAATCTTTGCTGTTCTGCAGCCTCCGCTGATGATACCCAAGCAAAGAGTCTAGAGTGGACCTCCAGCAAACTCCAGCACACCTGCAGCAGAGGGGCCTGACTGTTAGAAGGAAAACTAACAAACAGAAAAGAATAGCATGTCTACTCAGAGACCCCATCCAAAGGTCACCAACACCAAAGACCAAAGGTAGATAAATCCACAAAGATGGGGAGAAACTAGTGCAAAGAGGCTGAAAATTCCAAAAACCAGAAGGCCTCTTCTCCTCCAAAGGATCACAACTCCTTGCCAGCAAGGGAACAAAACTGGACAGAGAATTAGTTTGACGAACTGACAGAAGTAGGCTTCAGAAGGTGGGTAATAACAAACTGCTCCAAACCAAAGGAACTTGTTCTAACCCAATGCAAGGAAGCTAAGAACCTTTAAAAAAGGGTAGATGAATTGCTAACTAGAATAACCAGCCTAAAGAACAACATAAATGACCTGATGGAGCTGAAACACACAGCACAAGAACCTCGTGAAGCATATACAACTATCAGTAGCCAAATCGACCAAGCAGAAGAAAGGATATCAGACATTGAAGATCAGCTTAATGAAATAAAACAAGAAGATTAGAGAAAAAAAGAATGAAAAGGAACGAACAAAGTCTCCAAGAAATATGGGACTATGTGAAAAGACCAGATCTACGTTTGATTGGTGAACCTGAAAGTGACGGGGAGAATGGAACCAAGTTGGAAAACACTCTTCAGGATATTATCCAGGAGAACTTTCCAAACCTAGCAAGACAGGCCAACATTCAAATTCAGGAAATACAGAGAACACCACAAAGATACCCCTTGAGAAGAGCAACCCCGAGACTTGTAAGCGTCAAATTCACCAAGGCTGAAATGAAGGAAAAAATGTTAAGGGCAGCCAGAGAGAAAAGTCTGGTTACCCACAAAGGGAAGCCCATCAAACCAACAGCAGATCTCTGCAGAAACCCTACAAGCCAGAAGAAGAAAGTGGGGACTGATATTCAACATTCTTAACGAATTTTCAACCCAGAATTTCATATCCAGCCAAACTGAGCTTCACAAGCGAAAGAGAAATAAAATCCTTTACAGACAAGCAAATGCTGAGAGATTTTGTCACCACCAGGCCTGCCCTAAAAGAGCTCCTGAAGGAAGCACTAAACATGGAGAGGAACAACCGGTACCAGCCACTGCAAAAACATACCAAATTGTAAAGACCATCGACACTACAAAGAAACTGCATCAACTAACGGACAAAATAACTAGCTAGCATCATAATGACAGGATCAGATTCACACATAACAATATTAACCTTAAATGTAAATGGGCTAAATGCCCCAGTTAAAAGACACAGACTGGCAAATTGGATAGAGTCAAGACCCATTGGTATGCTGTATTCAGGAGACCCATCTCATGTGCAAAGACACATATAGGCTCAAAAGTAAAAGGATGGAGGAATATTTACCAAGCAAATGGAAAGCAGAAAGAAGCAGGAGTTCCAATCCTAGTCTCTGATAAAACAGACTTTAAACCAACAAAGATCAAAAGAGACAAAGAAGGTCATTACATGATGGTAAAGGGATCAGTGCAACAAGAAGAGCTGACTGTCGTAAATATATATGCACCCAATACAGGAGCACCCAGATTCATTAAGCAAGTTCTCAGAGACCTACAAAGAGACTTAGACTCCCACACAATAATAGTGGGACACTTTAACACCCCAATGTCAGTATTAGATCAACAAGACCAAAAATTAACAAGGATATTCAGGACTTGAACTCAGCTCTGGACCAAGTGGACCTAAGCAACATCTACGGAACTCTCCACCCCAAATCAACAGAATATACATTCTCCTCAACACCACATCGCACTTATTCTACAATTGACCACATAATTGGAAGTAAAGCACTCCTCAGCAAATGTAAAAGAACAGAAATCACAACAAACTATCTCTCAGACCACAGTGCAATCAAATTAGAACTCGGGATTAAGAAACTCACTCAAACCTCACAACTACATGGAAACTAAACAACCTTCTCCTGAATGACTACTGGGTAAATAACGAAATGAAGGCAGAAATAAAGATGTTCTTTGAAACCAATGAGAACAAAGACACAAAGTACCAGAATCTCTGGGACACATTTAAAGCAGTGTATAGAGGGAAATTCATAGCACTAAATGCCCACAAGAGAAAGCAGGAAAGATCCAAAATCGACACCCTAACATCACAATTAAAAGAACTAGAGAAGCAAGAGCAAACAAAAAGCTAGCAGAAGCCAAGAAATAAGTAAGATCAGAGCAGAACTGAAAGAGATAGAGACATGAAAAGCCCTTCGAAAAATCAATGAATCCAGGAGCTGGTTTTTTGAAAAAATCAACAAAATAGACCTCTAGCCAGACTAATAAAGAAGAAAAGAGAGAAGAGTCAAATAGATGCAATAAAAAATGATAAAGGGGATATCACCACCGATCCCACAGAAATACAAACTACTGTCAGAGAATAGTATAAACACCTCTATGCAAATAAACTAGAAAATCTAGAAGAAATGGATAAATTCCTGGACACATACACCCTCCCAAGTCTAAACCAGGAAGAAGTTGAATCCCTGAATAGACCAATAACTTCTGAAATTGAGGCAGTAATTAATACCCTACAAACCAAAAAATGTCCAGGACCAGACAGATTAACAGCCGAATTCTACCAGAGGTACAAAGAGGAGCTGGTACCGTTCCTTCTGAAACTATTCCAATCAATAGAAAAAGAGGGAATCCTCCTTAACTGATTTTATGAGGCCAGCATCATCCTGATACCAAAGCCTGCCAGAGACACAACAAAAAAAGAGAATCTCAGGCCAGTATTCCTGATGAACATCGATGCGAAAATCCTCAATAAAATACTGGCAAACTGAATCCAGCAGCACATCAGAAAGCTTATCCACCATGATCAAGTGGGCCTCATCCCTGGGATGCAAGGCTGGTTCAACATATGCAAAACAGTAAATGTAATTCCATCACATAAACAGAACCAGTGACAAAAACCGCATGGTTATCTCAATAGATGTAGAAAAGGCCTTCGACAAAATTCAACAGCCCTTCATGCTAAATGCTCTCAATAAACTAGGTATTGATGGAACACAGTCTCAAAATAATAAGAGCTATTTATGACAAACCCACAGCCAGTATCATACTGAATGGGCAAAAACTGGAAACATTCCCTTTGATAACCAGCACGAGACAAGGATGTCCTCTCACCACTCGTATTCAACATAGTATTTGAAGTTCTGCCCAGGGCAATCAGGCAACAGAAAGAAATAAATGGTATTCAAATAGGAAAAGAGGAAGTCAAATTGTCCCTGTTTGCAGATGACATGATTGTATATTTAGAAAACCCCATCATCTCAGCCCAAAATCTCCTTAAGCTGATGAGCAACTTCAGCAAAGTCTCAGGATACAAAATCAGTGTGCAGAAATCACAAGCATTCCTATACACCAATAACAGACAAACAGAGAACCAAATCATGAGTGAACTCCCATTCACAATAGCTTCAAAGAGAATAAAATTCCTGGGAATCCAGCTTACAAGGGATGTGAAGGACCTCTTCAAGAACTACAAACCACTGCTCAATGAAATAAGAGAGGACACAAATGGGAAAATATTCCATGCCCATGGATAGGAAGAATAAATATTGTGAAAATGGCCATACTGACCAAAGTAATTTATAGATTCAATGCTATCCCCATCAAGCTACCACTGACTTTCTTCACAAAATTGGAAAAAACTACTTTAAACTTCATATGGAACCAAAAAAGAGCCCACATTGCCAAGCCAATCCTAAGCAAAAAGAACAAAGCAGGAGGCATCATGCTACCTGACTTCAAACTATACTACAAGGCTACAGTAACAAAAACAGCATGATACTGGTACCAAAACAGATATATAAACCAATGGAACAGAACAGAGGCCTCAGAAATAACACCACACATCTACAACCATCTGATCTTTGACAAACCTGACAAAAACAAGCAATGGGAAAAGGATTCCCTATTTAATAAATGGTGTTGGGAAAACTGGCTAGCCATATGCAGAAAACTGAAACTGGATCCCTTCCTTACACCTTATACAAAAATTAACTCAAGACAGATTAAAGACTTAAACGTAAGACCTAAAACATAAAAATCCTAGAAGAAAACCTAGGCAGTACCATTCAAGACATAGGCATGGGCAAAGACTTCATGTCTAAAACACCAAAAGCAATGGCAACAAAAGCCAAAATTGACAAATGGGATCTAATTAAACTAAAGAGTTTCTACACAGCAAAAGAAACTATGAGAGTGAACAGGCAACCTACAGAATGGGAGAAAATTTTTGCAATCTATCCATCTGACAGGGCTAATATCCAAAATCTACAAAGAACTTAAACAAATTAAGAAAAAAGCAACCTCATCAAAAAGCGGGTGAAGGATATGAACAGACACTTCTCAAAAGAAGACATTTATGCAGCCAACAAACATATGAAAAAAAGCTCATCATCACTGGTCATTAGAGAAATGCAAATCAAAATCACAATGAGATACCATCTCACACCAGTTAGAATGGCAATCATTAAAAAGTCAGGAAACAACAGATGCTGGAGAGGGTGTGGAGAATAGGAATGCTTTTACACTGTTTGTGGGAGTATAAGTTAGTTCAACCATTGTGGAAGACAGTATGACAATTCCTCAAGGATCTAGAACTAGAAATACCGTTTGACCCAGCAATTCCATTACTGAGTATGTACCCAAAGGGTTATAAATCATTCTGAAAGACACATGCACACATACGTTTATTGCGGCACTATTCACAATAGCAAAGACTTGGAACCAACCCAAATGTCCATCAGTGATAGACTGGATAAAGAAAATGTGGCACATATATGCCATGGAATACTATGCAGCCATAAAAAAGGATGAGTTCACGTCCTTTGCAGGGACATGGATGAAGCTGGAAACCATCATTCTCAGCAAACTAACACAGGGAGAGGGACCTTAACATATCCAGGCCTGTCCGGGGGGGGTGGGGGCTAGGGGAGTGATAGCATTAGGAGAAACACCTAATGTGGATGACGGGTTTGATGGGTGCAACAAACCACCATGGCATGTGTATACCTATGTAGCAAAACTGCACATTCTGTACATGTACCCCAGAACTTAAAGTATAATTTTTTAAAAAAAAGCCTCTGGTCGGGTGCAGTGGGTCACACCTGTAATCTCAGCACTTTGGGAGGCCAAGGCAGACAGATCACTTGAGGTCAGGAGCTCGAGACCAGCCTGAACAACATGGTGAAACCTCATCTCTACTAAAAACACAAAAATTAGCCGGGCAGGGTGGTGTGCGCCTGTAGTCCCAGCTATTAAGGAGGCCGAGGCAGGAGAATCACTTGAGCTTGGGAGGCGGAGGTTGCAGTGAGCCGATACCGTGCCACTGCACTCCAGCCTGAGAGACAGAGTGAGACTCTTGTCTCAAAAAAAAAAGTGCTTCTGCACAATAGAAGAAATTATTAACAGGGTAAACAGACAACCTGCAGAATGGGAGAAAATATTCTCAAACTGTGCATTTCACAGAGGTCTAATATTCAGCATCTATAAGGAACTTAAAAAAATCAACAAGGGAAAAACAGCCCCATTAAAAAATGCCCATAGGACATGAACAGACACTTCTCAAAAGTGAGACATACAAGCAGGCAACAAGCATATGAAAAAATGTTCAACATCACTAATCATTAGAGAAATGCAAATCAAAACCACAATGAGATACTATCTCACACCAGTCAGAAGGGCTATTCTTAAAAAGTTAAAAAAAAATCACAGATGTTGGCAGGGTTCCAGAGAAAAGGGAATGCACATACACTGCTGGTGGATGGGAATGTAAATTAGTTCAGCCACACTGTGGGGAGCAGTTTGGATATTTTTCAAGGAACTTAGAACTACATTCAACCCAGCAATCCCACTGCTGGGTATATATACCCAAAGGAAAATAAATGATTCTACCAAAAAGACACATGCACTTATACGTCCATCATATTCACAATAGCAAAGACATGGAATCAACCTAGATGCCTATCAGTGGTGGACTGAATAAAGAAAACATGGTACCTATACACCATGGAATACTATGCAGTCATTAAAAGAAAAGGAATGAAATCATGTCCTTTGCAGCAACATGGATGCAGCTGGAGGCCATTTTCCTAAGCAAATTAAAGCAGGAACAGAAAACCAAATACCTTATGTTCTCACTTATAGGTGGGAGCTAAACATTGAATACACATGCACACAAAGAAGGGAACAGTAGACACCAGGGCCTGCTTGAGGGTAGAGGATAGGAGGAGGGTGATAGTCAAAAAGCTACCTATCAAGTACTGTGCTACTACCTGGGTGGTGAAATCATGTGTACACCACAACCCAGCAACATGCAATTTACCCATGTAACAAACCTGCATAGGTACCCCTTGAATCTAAAATAAAAGTTGAAAAAGAAAAAAGAACTTCATAGGGAACAAAAACAATTTCTAAGAGATGAAAGCTTTAATAACTAACTGAATTGTAACTAATATTCTCGGAAAGAGAAGAGATTATATTAATAAATTTTGAATGGTTTTTTTAATGAAAAGTCAGGGAATGAGAGCTTCTGAAAATTAAAAATATATTAGTAAAAATGGAAACTCAGCAGAAGATTTGGAAGATGAAATTGAGAATATTTTCACTAAACTGTAATTCCAAATCTCAACATGCTAGGTTTTCACTTGATTATCTAACAGAAGTCTAGCTGATTTTTTTCCCAATGTTCCCTTCCAATGCAATACCTGAGAATTCTCAAAACATAAAATTCTGAAGGTTTAAAAATATATTTTAAGATAACCTTTAAGCAAAAAAGGAAATCTTTTGCTTAAAAAATCAAAAAAATACAAATTACGATCTTTTTAGAACCAGACAATGAAAGTATTCTATTTATTACAACCTGTGGGATATGGACAGGAAGAAATTTGTAGCCTGTATACTGAAATAAATGAATTAGGCAATCCATTCAAGATGCATGAAAAAGGATGACATAGCTGGGCACGGTGACTCACACCTGTAACCCCAACACTCTGGGAAGCTGAGGCGGAAGGATCACTTGAGCCCAGAAGTTTAACGTTATGGTGAACTATGATCACACCACTGCACTCCATCCTGGGTGACAAAGTGAGCCTCAGACTTGAAAAGAAACAGGATGACAAAATAAAGTACAACTCTCCCTCCATATATGTGAAGGATTGATTCCAGGACTGCCTGTGTGTACCCAAATTTGCATATAGTCAAGTCCCACAGTCAGCCTTGCAAAAACCCACATATATGAAAGTTTACCCTCCTGCAGTTAAATATATATGAGTTTTGCATCCCTTGAATACTGTATTTTTACCTGCATTTTGTTGGAAATCCATGTATAAGAAGACCCATGAAGTTCAGACCGATATTATTCAAGGGTCAACTGTATATATTAGGAAGAAATCAAACACTTCTACGTAAACAACAACAAAAAAATCTATTTATACATACACACAGAGAGCATACTATGTAACAAGCACTGTTCTACATATTTTAATTCATTGTGCTCACAGAGCCCTATGTGTTGGATACTGTTATGTTACAGTTAACGAAAACTGAACCACAGAAGATTATGTAAATTGTCAAATCTCTCAATGTATAAAAGAATACATCAGAAGTAAATGGGTGTTATCCCAGGACTGGAACATTAGTTTATCCTTACAAAATCTGTCATTAGCGATTAAAGGAGACAAAATTATAAAAATTTAAATTGATTCTTTGAAGGCATCTCATAAAATTTAATATATTTTGTAGTTTGGGGGAAAAAATCTTAAAACTAAGCAAACTAAGATAAGTAACTCTTTAATGGATAAAGGGTTTTAGTTCCATATCCCAGAAATAACCAGTTAAAAATGACCAGTTGCTGTGTTAATTTATTAATTTAATATAATTTATCCCCCAAAATACGTTGTGGAACTTAGTAAGCTAGTTTTAAAGTTCCCATGGCATAATAAGGACACAGAATAGCAATGAGTTATGAAAAGAAACAAAGGTATGGTGGGGTACAGGAGAGATGGACTATATAAAACCATAGTAATAATTAAAGCAAGTATATTATTCACGTCAAAACAGAAAAATTATGCATAGCAATGGGTAGCATATGATAAAGATAGCATGTTAAATGTGTCAGGAAAAGGCTAGTCAGTAAAATGTTGGTTCTCCATGGTGGGGCAAAATAAATGCATATTAAACTAATGTCTGCATGAAAATAAAGACTTTAAAAGCATAAAAGTAATGGAAGAAATGTATAAGGAAATTATTTATAGATTTGAGTAAATTTTAAAAGTAACCCAAAAAAGTGACAAAATTCTGCATCACAATCAAAGGGCAAACTGGGTTGCATCATATGACCAATATTTTGTTTTATAAATAGGGTTCTTCAAAATCAATAGTAAGAACATAAATATTGTCCAGTTCAAAAGACAGACATTTTACCCAGGAAACAAACATAAATATTCCTGCTTCACTAGTGTTAAAATGCAGTAGCCAGATGTGATCATTTTAAATGTATGTGTATCAAACAACACAGCCACAAAATACATTAAATAAAAATTTCCAGACTTGAAAGGAGAAATAGATAAGTCAACAATTACAGTTGGAGATTTCAACACTTCTCATTCAGTAATTGATAGAACGATTGCAGACACTCAAGGATACAGAAGACTTAATAGTCAACACATTTGATTTAATCATTATTAGGGCACACTCCACAAAACAACAAAAATATATATACACTGTTTCATCCAGGTGTACACAGAACTTTTCCAGACCACATCTTTGGCAGATAAAATAAGACTTGATAAATTCAAATGATTACAATAATATAAATATGTTGTTTGATTAAAAATTGAATTAAATTAGAAAACAGATCTGGGAACACCAAAATATTTGGAAATTAAATGACACACTCTTAAGATGCATAGGTCAAAGAAAAAACCACAGGGAAATTCAAAATTATCTTTAAATGAATGAAAAGAACATGTGAAAATATATGGGATGGACTGGGCACAGTGGCTCATGCCAGTAATCTGAGCACTCTGGGAGGACAAGTTGGGAAGATTGCGTGGGGCCAGGAGTTCAAGATCAGACTGGGCAGCACAGCGAGACCCCACTTCTACAGAATTAGCCGGGCATGGGGATGGCATACACCTATAGTTCTAGCTGCCTGAGAGGCTGAAGCAAGAGGATTGCTTGAACCCAGAAGTTTGAGGTTACAGTGAGCTACGATCCACACCACTGCACTCCAGCCCAAGTGACAAACTGAGACCTTGTCTCAAAAAAGAAAGAAAACATATGGGATGTTTTCTAAGCACCCTAAAGCAGTGCTTAGAGGGACAGTTATCACTTAGAAAGGTCTAATATCAACAATATAAGCTTCCACCTTCAGCTAGAAAAAAAAGAGCAAACAAGACCAAAAATAGAAAAAAGGATATAATAAAATCAGAATAGAAATCAATGAAATAGAAAACAGGAAAAAATATAAAATTATAATTAATTAAACCAAAACCTGGTTCCTTAGAAAGATTTTTTTAAAAGATAAAGGTTCAGCTAAACCAACAAAAAAAGAGAAAAGGTATAAATTAACAGTATCAGGAATGGAAGAGGAAACATCACAGTAGGTACTACAGAAGTTAAAAGAATTATACGGGAATATTATGAACAACTTTATCCAAATTTCACACCTTGGATGAAATGGGGAAAAAATGCTAGAAAAACTCAAATTACAAAAACTGACTCAAGAAGAAATTGAAAAATCAGAATAGGCCTATATCAAATAAAGATACTGAATTTGTTATTAAAAGTCTTCCCCATAAGAAAAGTCCAAGTCCAGGCCAGGCATGGTGGCTCACACCTGTAATCCCAACAGTTTGGGAGGCCAAGGTGGGCAGTTCACCAGAGGTCGGGAGTTCGAGACCAGCCTGACCAACATGGAGAAACCTTGTCTGTACTAAAAATACAAAATTAGCTGGGCATGGTAGCGCATGCCTGTAGTCTCAACTACTTGGGAGGCTGAGGCAGGAGAATTGCTTGAACTCAAGAGGCAGAGGTTGTGGTGAGCTGAGATCGTGCCATTGCACTCCAGCCTGGGCAACAAGAGTGAAACTCCATCTCAAAAAATAAAAAATTTAAAAAAGGAGAAGTCCAAGTCCAGATGACTTCACTGATTAATTCTGTCCAATATTTAAGGGAAAAAAATACCAATCTTTCACAAGTACTTCCAGAAAATAATAGTAGGAGGGAATACTTCCAAAATCACTCTGTAAAGCCAGTATCACCCTAATATCAAAGCCAGACAAAGACATCTTGTCTTGTGTATTGAATATCACAAAGAATTAAAACTACAAATCAATATTCCAGCCACCCGTGGTGGCTCACGCCTGTAATCCTGGCACTTTGGGAGGCCAAGGTGGGAGGATCGCTTGAGCCCAGGAGTTTGAGACCAGCCTGGGTAACATAGTGAGACCCCATCCCTATTAAAAAAAGAAAGAAAACAAAGCAATGTCCCCTATGAACATCAATATAAAACTTCTTATAAAATATTAACATATCAAATCCAATGACATAAAAAAGATTATATACCATAACTAAGTGCAGTTTATTCCAGAAATGAAAGGTTGGCTTATTCAAAAATCAATGTAATACAACCATATTAATAGAAAAAATGACAAAAAGCACATTATCATTGACAAAACCCAACATCCATTGACAATAATTCTCACCCAAGTAAGGATAGAGGGGAAGTTGCTAAGCCTGATAAAGGACATCTGTAGTTAACATCACAGTTATGGTTAAAAGAAAAAAAAGGAGGGGCGTTCCAAGATGGCCGAATAGGAACAGCTCTGGTCTGCAGCTCCCAGCATGATCGATGCAGAAGATGGGTGATTTCCGCATTTCCAACTGAGGTACTTGGTTCATCTCATTGGGACTGGTTGGACAGTGGGTGCAGCCCACAGAGGGCAAGCACCTCACCCAGGAAGCACAAGGGGTTGGGGGATTTCCCTTTCCTAACCAAGGGAAGCCGTGACAGACTACCTGGAAAAACGGGACACTCACACCTAAATACTGCGCTTTGCTCAAGGTCTTAGCAACTGGCAGACAAGGAGATTCTCTCCCGTGCCTGGCTCGGCAGGTCCCATGCCCATGGAGCCTTGCTCACTGCTAGCGCAGCAGTCTGAGATTGAACTGTGAGGTGGTAGCTGGGCTGGGGGAGGGTTATCCGCCATTCCTGAGGCTTGAGTAGGTAGACAAAGCAGCCAGGAAGCTCGAACTGGGCAGAGCCCACCACAGCTCAACAATGCCTACTGCAACTCAACAATGCCTACTGCCTCTAGACTCCACCTCTATGGGCAGGGCATACCTGAACAAAAGACAGCAGACAACTTCTGCAGACTTAAACGTCCCTGTCTGACAGCTCTGAAGAGAGCAGTAGTTCTCCCAGCACAGCATTTGAGCTCTAAGAATGGACAGACTGCCTCCTCAAGTGAGTCCCTGACCCCTGTGTAGCCTAACGGGGAGACACCTCCTAGTAGGGGCCGACAGATACCTCATATAAGCGGCTGCCCCTCTAGAACGAAGCTTCCAGAGGAAGGATCAGGCAGCAATATTTGCCAATCTGTAATATTTGCTGTTCTGCAGCCTCCGCTGGTGATACCCCGGCAAACAGAGTCTGGAGTGGACCTCCAGCAAATTCCAACAGACCTGCAGCTGAGGGACCTGACTGTTAGAAGGAAAACTAACAAACAGAAAGGAATAGCATCAACATCAACAAAAAGGTCATCTACACCAAAACCCCATCTGTAGGTCACCAACATCAAAGACCAAAGGTAGATAAAACCACAAAGATGGGGAGAAACCAGATCAGAAAAGCTGAAAATTCTACAAATCAGAGCACCTCTTCTCCTCCAAAGGATCACAGCTTCTCGCCAGCAACGGAACAAAGCTGGACAGAGAATGACTTTGACGAGTTGACAGAAGTAGGCTTCAGAAGTTTGGTAATAACAAACTTCACCAAGCTAAAGGAGGATGTTCGAACCCATTGCAAGGAAGCTAAAAACCATGGAAAAAGATCAGACGAATGGCTAACTAGAATAAACAGTGTAGAGAAGACCTTAAATGACCTGATGGAGCTGAAAACCATGGCACAAGAACTTCCTGACATACAAGCTTCAACAGCTGATTCGATCAGGTGGAAGAAAGGGTATCAGTGATTGAAGATCAAACTAATGAAATGAAGTGAGAAGACAAGGTTAGAGAAAAAAGAGTAAAAAGAAACAAACAAAGCCTCCAAGAAATATGGGACTATGCGAAAAAACCAAATCGACATCTGATTGGTGTACCTGAAACTGATGGGGAGAATGGAACCAAGTTGGAAAACACTCTTCAGGATATTATCCAGGAGAATTTCCCCAACCAAGCAAGGCAGGCCAACATTCAAATTCAGGAAATACAGAGAACACCACAAAGATACTCCTCAAGAAGAGCAAGCCCAAGACACATAATTGTCAGATTCACCAAGGTTGAAATGAAGGAGAAAGTGCTAAGGGCAGCCAGAGAGAAAGGTCGGGTTACCCACAAAGGGAAGCCCATCAGACTAAAAGCAGATCTCTTGGCAGAAACACTACAAGCCAGAAGAGAGTGGGGGCCAATATTCAACATTCTTAAAGAAAAGAATTTTCAACCCAGAATTTCATATCCAGCCAAACTAAGCTTCATAAGTGAAGGAGAAAGAAAATCCTTTACAGCCAAGCAAATGCTGAGAGATTTTGTCACCACCAGGCCTGCCTTATAAGAGCTCCTGAAGGAAGCACTAAACATGGAAAGAAGCAACCGGAACGACCCACTGCAAAAACATGCCAAATTTTAAAGACCATCGATGCTATGAAGAAACTGTATCAATTAACAGGCAAAATAACCAGTGAACATCATAATGACAGGATCAAATTCACACATAACAGTATTAACCTTAAATATAAATGGGCTAAATGCCCCAATTAAAAGACACAGACTGGCAAATTGGATAAAGAGTCAAGACCCACTGGTGTGCTGTATTCAGGAGACCCATCTCATGTGCAAAGACACACATAGGCTCAAAATAAAGGGATGAAGGAAGATCTACCAAGCAAATGGAAAGCAAAAAAAAAAAAAAGGAGGGGTTGCATCATAGTCTCTGATAAAACAGACTTTAAACCAACAAAGATCAAAAGAGACAAAGAAGGCCATTACATAATGGTAAAGGGATCAATTCAACAAGAAGAGCTAACTATCCTAAATATATATGCACCCAATACAGGAGCACCCAGATTCATAAAGCAAGTTCTCAGAGACCTACAAAGAGACTTAGACTCCCACACAATAATAGTGGGACACTTTAACACCCCACTGTCAATATTAGACAGATCAATGAGACAGAAAGTTAACAAGAATATCCAGGACTTGAACTCAGCTCTGCAACAAGCGACCTAATAGACATCTACAGAACTCTCCACCCCAAATCAACAGAATATACATTCTTCTCAGCACCACATCACACTTATTCCAAAATTGACCACATAGTTGGAAGTAAAGCACTCCTCAGCAAATGTAAAAGAACAGAAATTATAACAAACTGTCTCTCAGACCACAGTGCAATCAAACTAGAACTCAGGATTAAGAAACTCACTCAAAACCGCTCAACTACATGGAAACTAAACAACCTGCTCCTGAATGACTACTGGGTACATAACGAAATGAAGGCAGAAATAAAGATGTTGTTTGAAACCAATGAGAACAAAGGCACAACCTACCAGAATCTCTGGGACACATTTAAAGCAGTGTATGGAGGGAAATTTATAGCGCTAAATGCCCACAAGAGAAAGCAGGAAAGATCTAAAATCGACACCCTAACATCACAATTAAAAGAACTAGAGAAGCAAGAGCAAACAAATTGAAAAGCTAGCAGAAGCCAAGAAATAACTAAGATTAGAGCAGAACTGAAAGAGATAGAGACAAAAAAAAAAACCTTCAAAAAATCAATGAATCCAGGAGGTGGTTTTTTGAAAAAATCAACAAAATTGATACACCTCTACCAAGACTAATAAGAAAGGAGAGAAGAATCAAATAGATGCAATAAAAAATGATAAAGGGGATATCACCACCGATCCCACAGAAATACAAACTACCATCAGAGAATACTATAAACACCTCTATGCAAATAAACTAGAATATCTAGAAGAAATGGATAAATTCCTGGACAGATACATCCTCCCAAGACTAAACCAGGAAGAAGTTGAGTCTCTGAATAGACCAATAACAGGCTCTGAAATTGAGGCAATAATTAATAGCCCACCAACCAAAAAAAGTCCAGGACCAGACAGATTCACAGCCAAATTCTACCAGAGGTACAAAGAGGAGCTGGTACCATTCCTTCTGAAACTACTCCAATCAATAGAAAAAGAGGGAATCCTTTCTAACTCATTTTATGAGGCCAGCATCATCCTGATGCCAAAGCCTACCAGAGACACAACAAAAAATGAGAATTTCCGGCCAGTATCCCTGATGAACATCGATGCAAAAATCCTCAAAATACTGGCAGGCCGAACCCAGCAGTACATCAAAAAGCTTATCCACTA